>NC_000001.11:109553835-109856865 GCF_000001405.40 Homo sapiens | reverse complement strand
GAATTCGGCCCAGTCAGAGTGTATGTATCTTTTCCCCTGTCAGACTTGAAGCAAATTAAAATAGACCTAGGTAAATTCTCAGATAACCGTGATGGCTATATTGATGTTTTACAAGGGTTAGGACAATCCTTTGATCTGACATGGAGAGATATAATGTTACTGCTAAATCAGACACTAACCCCAAATAAGAGAAGTGCCACAATAACTGCAGCCCGAGAGTTTGGCGATCTCTGGTATCTCAGTCGGGTCAATGATAGGATGAAAATAGAGGAAAGAGAACAATTCCCCACAGGCCAGCAGGCAGTTCCCAGTGTAGACCCTCACTGGGACGCAGAATCAGAACATGGATATTAGTGCCACAGACATTTACTAACTTGCGTGCCAGAAGGACTAAGGAAAACTAGGGAGCAGCCTATAAATTTTTCAGTGATGTCTACTATAACACAGGGAAAGGAAGAAAATCCTACTGCCTTTCTGGAGAGACTAAGGGAGGCATTGAGGAAGCATACCTCTCTGTCACCTGACTCTATTGAAGGCCAACTAATCTTAAAAGATAAGTTTATCACTCAGCCAGCTGCAGACATCAGAAAAAAAACTTCAAAAGTCTGCTTTAGGCCCGGAGCAAAACTTAGAAACCCTACTGAACTTGGCAACCTCGGTTTTTTATAATAGAGATCAGGAGGAGCAGGCAGAACAGGACAGATGAGATAAGAAAAAGGCCACCGCTTTAGTCATGGCCCTCCAAGCTGACTTTGGAGGCTCTGGAACGTGGAAAGCCTGGGCAAATCGAATGCCTAATAGGGCTTGCTTCCAGTGCAGTCTACAAGGACACTTTAAAGAAGATTGTCGAATAGAAATGAGCTGCCCCCTTGTCCATGCCCCTTATCTCAAGGGAATCATTGGAAGGCCCACTGCCCCAAGGAATGAAGGTCGTTTGAATCAGAAGCCACTAACCTGATGATCCAGCAGCAGGACTGAGGGTGCCCGGGGCAAGTGCCTGCCCATACCATCACCCTCACAGAGCTCCAGGTATGCTTGACCATTGAGGGCCAGGAGGTTAACTGTCTCCTGGACACTGGCATGGCCTTCTCAATCTTACTTTCCTGTCCTATACAACTGTCCTCCAGATCTGTCACTAGCCAAGGGGTCCTAGGACAGCCAGTCACTAGATACTTCTCCCAGCCACTAAGGTGTGACTGGGGAACTTTACTCTTTTCACATGCTTTTCTAATTATGCCTGAAAGCACCACTCTCTTGTTACGGAGAGACATTCTAGCAAAAGCAGGGGCCATTGTACACCTGAACATAGGAGAAGGAACACCCGTTTGTTGTCCCCTGCTTGAGGAAGGAATTAATCCTGAAGTCTGGACAACAGAAGGACAATATGGATGAGTAAAGAATGCCTGTCCTGTTCAAGTTAAACTAAAGGATTCCACCTCCTTTCCCTACCAAAGGCAGTACCCTCTTAGACCCGAGGCCCAACAAGGACTCCAAAAGATTGTTAAGGACCTAAAAGCCCAAGGCCTACTAAAACCGTGCAACAGCCCCTGCAATACTCCAATTTTAGGAGTACAGAAACCCAACAGACAGTGGAGTTTAGTGCAAGATCTCAGGATTATCAGTGAGGCCGTTGTCTCTCTATACCCACTGTACCTAACCCTTATACTCTGCTTTCCCAAATACCAGAGGAAGCAGAGTGGTTTACAGTCTTGGACCTTAAGGATGCCTTTTTCTGCATCCCTGTACATCCTGACTCTCAATTCTTGTTTGCTTTTGAAGATCCTTCGAACCCAACATCTCAACTCACCTGGACTGTTTTACCCCAAGGGTTCAAGGATAGCCCCCATCTATTTGGCCAGGCATTAGCCCAAGACTTGAGCCAGTTTTCATACCTGAACACTCTCATCTTTTGGTACATGGATGATTTACTTTTAGCCACCCGTTCAGAAACCTTGTGCCATCAAGCCACCCAAGCACTCTTAAATTTCCTTGCCACCTGTGGCTACAAGGCTTCCAAACAAAAGGCTCAGCTCTGCTCACAGCAGAAATACTTAGGGCTAAAATTATCCAAAGGCACCAGGGCCCTCAGTGAGGAATGTATCCAGCCTATACTGGCTTATCCTCATCCCAAAACCCTAAAGCAACTAAGAGGGTTCCTTGGCATAACAGCCTTTTGCTGAATATGGATTCCCAGGTACGGCGAAATAGCCAGGCCATTATATGCACTCATTAAGGAAACTCAGAAAGCCAATATCCATTTAGTAAGATGTACACCTGAAGCAGAAGCAGCTTTCCAGGCCCTAAAGAAGGCCCTAACCCAAGCCCCAGTGTTAAGCTTGCCAACAGGGCAAGACTTTTCTTTATATGTCACAGAAAAAAACAGGAATAGCTCTAGGAGTCTTTACACAGGTCCAAGGGAACAGCTTGCAACCTGTGGCATACCTGAGTAAGGAAATTGATTTAGTGGCAAAGGGTTGGCCTCATTGTTTACAGGTAGTGGCAGCAGTAGCAGTCTTAGTATCTGAAGCAGGTAAAATAATACAGGGAAGAGATATGACTGTGTGGACATCTAATGATGTAAACAGCATACTCACTGCTAAAGAAGACTTGTGGCTGTCAGACAACTGTTTGCTTAAATATCAGGCTGTATTACTTGAAGGGCCAGTGCTGAGAACTTCTCTCTTGTGCAACTCTTAACCCAGCCACACTTCTTCCAGACAATGAAGAAAAGATAGAACATAACTGTCAACAGGTGATTGCTCAAACATACGCCACTCAAGGGGACCTTCTAGAGGTTCCCTTGACTGATCCCGACCTCAACTTGTATACTGATGGAAATTCCTTTGTAGAAAAAGGACTTTGAAAAGTGGGGTATGCAGTGGTCAGTGATAATGGAATACTTGAAAGTAATCCCCTCACTCCAGGAACTAGCGCTCGGCTGGCAGAACTAATAGCCCTCACTGGGGCACCAGAATTAGAAGGAAAAAGGGGAAATATGTATACAGACTCTAATATGCTTACCTACTCCTCCATGCCCACACAGCAATATGGAGAGAAAGGGAATTCCTAACTTCTGAGGGAACACCTATCAAACATCAGGAAGCCATTAGGAGATTATTATTCACTGTACAGAAACCTAAAGATGTGGCAGTCTTACACTGCCGGGGTCATCAGAAAGGAAAGTAAAGGGAAATGGAAGAGAACCACCAAGCGGATATTGAAGCCCATCAACAGCCACAAGGCAGGACCCTCCATTAGAAATGCTTATAGAAGGACCCTAGTATGGGGTAATCCCCTCTGGGAAACTAAGCTCCAGTACTCAGCAGGAGAAATAGAATGGGGAACCTCACAAGGACATAGTTTCCTCCCCTCAGGATGGCTAGCCACCGAAGAAGGAATAACACTTTTGCCGGCAGCGAACCAATGGAAATTGCTTAAAACCCTTCACCAGACCTTTCACTTAGGCATTGATAGCACCCACCAGATGGCCAAATTATTATTTACTGGACCAGGCCTTTTCAAAACTATCAAGCAGATAGTCAGGGCCTGTGAAGTGTGCCAAAGAAATAACCCCCTGCACTGCCGGCCATACATTTCAATCCCTGTATCTTTAACCTCCCTGTTAAGTTTGTTTCTTCCAGAATCGAAGCTGTAAAACTACAAATCATTCTTCAAATGGAACCCCAGATGCAGTCCATGACTAAGATCTACTGCGGACCCCTGGACCGGCTTGCTAGCCCATGCTCCAATGTTGATGACATTGAAGGCCCCCCTCCTGAGGAAATCTCAACTGCACGATCCCTACTATGCCCCAATTCAGCAGGAAGCAGAGCAGTCGTCGGCCAACCTCCCCAACAGCACTGGGGTTTTCCTGTTGAGAGGGGGGACTGAGAGACAGGACTAGCTGGATTTCCTAGGCCGACTAAGAATCCCTAAGCCTAGCTGGGAGGGTGCCGCATCCACCTTTAAACACGGGGCCTGCAACTTAGCTCACACCCAACCAATCAGGTAGCAAAGAGCGCTCACTAAAATGCTAATTAGGCAAAACAGGAGGTAAAGAAATAGCCAATCATCTATCACCTGAGAGACAATGATTGGGATATAAACCCAGGCATTTGAGCCAGCAATGGCAACCCCCTTTGGGTCCCCTTCCATTGTGTGGGAGCTCTGTTTTCACTCTATTACATCTTGCAACTGAACATTCTTCTGGTCCGTGTTTGTAACAGCTTGAGCTGAGCTTTCTCTCACTGTCCACCACTGCTGTTTGTCGCCATTGCAGACCCGCCACTGACTTCCGCCCCTCTGGATCCGGCAGGGTGTTGGCTGCACTCCTGATCCAGTGACTCACCCATTGCTGCTCCTGATCGGGCTAAAGGCTTGCCATTGTTCCTGCATGGCTGAGTGCCTGGGTTCTTCCTAATCTAGCTGAACACTAGTCGCTGGGTTCTATGGTTCTCTTTTGTGACCCACAGCTTCTAATAAAGCTATAACACTCTCTGCATGGCCCAAGATTCCATTCCTTGGAATCCATGAGGCCAAGAACCCCAGGTTAGAGAACAAGAGGCTGGCTGCCATCTTGGAAGCGGCCTGCCACCATCTTGGGAGCTCTAAGAACAAGGACCCCCAGGTAACATCAGCTCATCAAAGTCATTCTCCATCCAGCTTTGTTCCATTGCTGGCAAGGAGCTGCAATCCTTTGGAGAAGAAGAGGCACTCTGGTGTTTAGAATTTTCAGCTTCTCTGCTCTGGTTTCTCCCCATCTTTGTGGTTTTATCTACCTTTTTTCTTTGATGCTGGTGACCCACAGATGGGGTTTTGGTGTGGATGTCCTTTTTGATGATGTTGATGCTATTCCTTTCTTCCTTTCTATTTGTTAGTTTTCCTTCTAAGAGTCAGGTCCCTCAGCTGCAGGTCTGTTGGAGTTTGCTGGAGGTCCACTTCAGACCCTGTTTGCTTGGGTATCACCAGCTGAGGCTGCAGAACAGTAAATTCTGCAGAACAGCAAATATTGCTGCCTGATCCTTCCTCTGGAAGCTTCACCCCAGAGGGGCACCCGCCTGTATGAGGTGTCAGTTGGCCCCTACTGGGAGGTGTCTCCCAGTTAGGCAACACAGGGGTCAGGGACCCACTTGAGAGGGCAGTCTTTCCGTTCTCAGAGCTCAAACACCATGCTGGGAGAACCACTGCTCTCTTTAGAGCTGTCAGACTGGGACATTTAAGTCTGCAGAAGTTTCTGCTGCCTTTTTTCAGCTATGCCCCACCCCCAGGGGGGGTGTCTACAGAGGCAGTAGGCCTTGCAGAGCTCTGGTGGGCTTTGCCCAGTTCGAGCTTCCTGGGCCACTTTGTTCACCTACTCAAACCTCAGCAACGGTGGATGCCCCTCCCCCTACCAGGCTGCTGCCTCGCAGGTCAATCTCAGACTGCTGCACTAGCAGTGGGCTAGGCTCCGTGGGCATGGGACCCACTGAGCCAGTCATGGGATATGATCTCCTGGTGTGCCATTTGCTAAGACCATTGGAAAAGTGCAGTCTTTGGGAGGGAGTGTCCCGATTTTCCAGGTACAGTCTGTCACGGCTTCCCTTGGCTAGGAAAGGGAAATCCTCTGACCCCTTGTGCTTCCTGGGTGAGGTGATGCCCTGCCCTGCTTCAGCTCACCCTCCATGAGCTGCACCCACTGTCCAACCAGTCCCAATGAGATGAACCAGCTACCTCAGTTGGAAACGCAGAAATCACCGTCTTCTGTGTTGATCACCCTGGGAGCTGCAGACCAGAGCTGTTCCTATTCAGCCATCTTGGAACAGACCTCCAGAAAATCTGAATACGTTCTTATCAAATGTATGAGTAATGCAAAGTTCGCAAGGATGACTAATATATTAAATGACAGATTCCACATTCAATTTAGTCAGAATAGCTAGAATGATGAACCAAAAGTCCCAAGATGAAATTTTATGGGGAAAAATGTAAAGCTAAACCTTCAGGTTCAAAAAACTACTTGTGAGAATAAACTGAAGGACTTAGATGAGAGCAACTCATGTGGGGAAATTTCTGGAGATTTATAGTTGACACTAGCTTAATAGGAGATAGCATTATGACTTGATTTCTCAAAAAGGTAACCAAATTTTAGACCACATTGATACTGTTCTAATATCAACTAACTCATCAACTGAGTTTCTTCCCAATAGATTAAAATGATTTTAAAATAGGTCGTTGAAATGTTTACTGGGGCAAATGCTCAGCATCTATCAAATACAAAATGAGCAGCCTGAAGATTCCACACTGTTCCTTCTAAATGGTGCCCTTCCTCACACAAGGAGCTAAGTATGTACCAGGCCAAGGGCTCGAAGAAGCAGAAATAGATCAGGCTGGAGCTGTGGGCATAGCCATTGCCCTACAACAAACTGCATGGGCTGCAGCAGCACTTGGTGCCCCGCCCGGGCACTCCCTCACTTCTGCCTTCAGAATTTCACACACAGATCTCTTGCAGCCCACACCAACTCCACACTATACAGAGAAAGGAATTCTGGGAGCTGTAGTTCCAGCTTAGCTAAATTGACACCATGCAAATCCAACACATCTGAAAGATTATTTTTTAACTTAAAAACCTTTCATTTTGAAATAATATTCAATTTCCAAAAAACTGCAAAAATAATTCCCGTATGCCTTTCACTGAGCATTCTTAAATGTTAACATCTTACATAACCATACATTATTACCAAAATCAGGAAATTGACATTGATACTGTTAACTACTTTACAGATCCTATTCAAACTAAGTTAATTGTCCCACTAATCTCCCTTTTCTGGTACAGAAAATCCAATCCAGGCTTCAATGTAGCATTTAGTTGTCGTGTCTCCCTAGTCGCCTCCATTCTGGGACAGTTCCTCAGTCTTCTGAAAAACATTTTAAGAATAAAAAACCAGAAAATGTCCAGAATGGTGAAGGCCTGGAAAGCAACGGCCCCGAGGAAATACTGCTGGAACTGGAGCTATCAGCCTAGAGTGAAGTCTCAGGGGATACATTAGTCATCTTCAAAGTTGTCTTCAACACTAAACGATCTTCCTGCAGAAGATGGAATGGATTTATTCTGTGTTGCCCCAGAGGGTGGAAATAGAATTAGCATATTCTGTGGAGTAGGTAATTCTATAGGTGGAATTACTACTAGGAAGAGTTCAACTTGTCACTATGTAGAACATTCTGTCGGTTAGAACTAACTGTACCCTAGGCCTGGGTGAGAGCAAACAGAGCTGGATGAGAGCAAACAGATAGGCCTGAGTAACAAGAAGCTAGGTGGAGGCAGGTGGGATGGGGAGGGCCTGGCAGGAGCAGGAATAGAAAGGGGCAGCTGGCCAGGGCCCACATGACTTAGGGATATTGCATTCAGGATGGAGAGCAAAATGGACAGAGACTTCATTGGCAGGCCCAAGGGAGAAGGTGGGTGAGGCAGCAGCAGACACAGAGGACACTTCCATCCAAATAGGTTTGCTACCAAATTCTATTAATAAGCAACTTGAGCCATTACCTGCAGCCCTACCTGAGGACAGTTCATCTAGTTTGTCCACTCTTCAAAGGTCTCTTTTAAAAGGACCTGTCATAAGAGAGAGGGTAATCTGGAGGGACAGAAATTGTCTTTGGTCTGGGAGTTCTGTGTTGGGAGCAGAAGCACAGCAGCACCTCTTAGGGGGTACTGAGGCATGCTAGGAGCTGGAAAGGAGTCAAATCCTTGGCATGGCTTAAGTCTGGGCAGTCCTTGTAGCTGAAGGTTTGACCAGGATCCTTCAAAGTGATGATATCCATCTGAAATTCATGTCACCACTGAAAACAAAGCCAACTAAATGGCAGTGAGGGAAAGCAATTAGCCAAAGCATACGTAAAGATCTTAGTTACATTTCTACTTTCAAAGTCAGTCAATAATTGAGATTTCTGGTCCAGCAAATATTTAGTTCAATAAAATCATCATGAGTAAGTAGCTAAGAAGTGTATCACAAGGCAACGTTGTCATTACCATGGTCTTATCCATCTGTCTGCTCACAGATTCACATATCTGTTTGTCCATCTTGCCATTAGTCAGTCCATCATCTGTCCCTCCACCCATCCATTCATACTTTCTCCATCAAGCAAACATTGATTAATTTACTTATGGTCTGCTGCGCCCAGTGGCCACACCTGTAATCCCAGCACTTTGGAAGGCCGAGGCAGGCAGATCATTTGAGGCCAGGAGTTCAAGACCAGCCTGGCCAACATGGCAAAACCCTATCTCTACTAAAAATAAAAAAATTAGCTGGGTGTGGTGGTGCACACCTGTAATCCCAGCTACTCAGGAGGCTGAGGCATGAGAATTGCTTGAACCCAGGGAAGAGGAGGTTGCAGTGAGCCAAGATCATGCCACTGCACTCCAGCATGGGCGACAGAGTGAGACTCTGTCTCAAAAAAAAAAAAAAAATTAGCTATGGTCTAATGGATGGTGGAGGGGTAGAGGTAACAAAACAATGAAGCTGTCAGTGGATGAAACCCAGACTTAAGCCAAGGAAATTTAGATTTCCATTTAAAACTCATCCAACTGAGAAAGAAATTTCTTCTTTTTTTTTTTTTTTTTTGGAGACAGAGTCTTGCTCTCTCACTTAGGTTGGAGTGCAGTGGCACCATCATGGCTCACTGCAGTCTCAACTTCCTGGGTTCAAATGATCCTCCAGCCTCAACCTCCCGAGTAGCTGGGACCTCAGGTACATGCCACCATGCCCAGCTAATTTTTTACTTTTTGTAGAGACTGGGTCTTACTATGTTGCCCAGGCTGATCTCAAACTCCTGGTCTCAAGCAATCCTCCTACTTTGGCCTCCAAAAGTGTTGGGATTACAGGTGTGAGCCATCACACCCAGTCTAGCAATTTCTATACATGATTCAAAGTGATTTATAGGCAATAAGTAAAAGTTATTTGAATTTCCACAGCAGGTTCAGATTTTATGTGACTCATGAAAAATTCTTGGAATTGAAATCAGATTCAACAAAATTCCATCAACTAGGAAGAGAGGGATCAATATCCAATCCCTCCCTCTTTCCAACTCAAGACTATGGGAACCTCTGTGATGAGCTGATGTGGTCCCTGCTGAGGACCACTGGTGGGAAAGGCCACCAAGAACCACCAAGGGAGAAACTTACCAGAGGGGAAGGGGATTGAGAAGAGGTAATTTGACTGTTACCTCCTGACCCAGATGCTCTGACAGGGTGGGCGCGTGTGTGGGAGTCCAAGTGTGGAGCTTTCTTGGCTGAGCATGTCACTGGTGCATGGGAATTTTCTTCCTCAACAAATCACCAAGGCTTGAGCATGGGTCTGAATTGTCAGTGCCATTGGAGCAGCGAGCTGGGTGAGGCTGCCTGTGGTCAATGATCACTGTCATCAAAGGATTTGAGTTCCTGGCACTGCTCTGTCACTCACTGGCCACCTGACTTGGCTCAGATTCCCAGCCATGAATTGGGGACATTATAATTTCCCTCTCACCAGAATCCTTTAGAGGCCTAAAGGCTACAATGAGAGGATACTGCCGGGGGTTGTGGGGGCGGTGTCAGAACCCTGGCATTGTGAAGTGGTAGACTCGCGGGTTGGTAAAAAGAACTTACCAGCAACAGGATATGTTTGAAAAAGGAAAGTTTATTAGAAAAAACACTGCAGAAGGGTGCAGCAGGACACCTCAGGGAGAGGACTGAACTTGCCATGGTAGATTTTTCCTTAGGGGTACTTATGGACCTTCAGGCAGGAGCTTGAGGGTAATTTGAACCATACTAGCCAGCCACATAAGTCATGATACATGATTACATTTGTAGAATTTTGGTGCCTTAGGTTGCACAATGAGTTTTGGCATGGCATTCCAGAGATTTATAAGAATTCTAGTTATGGGCCAGTCTCGGTGGCTCACACCTGCAATCCCAGCACTTTGGGAGGCCGAGGCAGGTGAACCACGAGGTCAGGAGTTCAAGACCAGCCTGGCCAACATGGTGAAACCTCGTCTCTACTAAAAATACAAAAATTAGCTGGGCATAATGGCACGTGCCTGTAGTCCCAGCTGCTCAGGAGGCTGAGGCAGGAGAATCGCTTGAACTGGGACCTGGCAGGCAGGGGCTGCAGTAAGCTGAGATTGCGCCATTGCACTCCAGCCTGGGCCACAGAGCGAGACTCCATCTCAAAAAATAAATAAATAAATAAATAGATAAATAAATAAATTCCAGTTACGTATAAATTTTGTGGGGGAAAGAAATCTGGAACCAGATGTCTGCTCTATATAATAGGAAAGTCTAATTACTTCTAATTTCCCCAGATGAGGAGTTTTGCCTCCGGATGGCCTGTTTGATGGTCACCAGGTGGTCTTTGCTCCCTTCTAAATCCCTCAGATAAGGAGTTTTTGTCTCTGGGGCCTGTTCAATGATCACTGGGTGATTTTTGCTCTCCTCAGATACTTGGGAGTGTGTTTCAGGAACCAGCTCCAGCCAGCTTTTTCCCATCCTTAGATGGGCAATCAAGCATCACCTCCTACTGATTAGCGCTTTGATCTCGGCTGAGAGAAACTGTCAACAAAACCTTAAATCATCAGTCATTTTGCCCTACTTTGAACAGTAGTGTTCTTTGATTTCTTTTTCTCTTTTTACCTAACATTTCTGAGCTTAATTCTGCTATAAGATGGGGGTAACAGAATGTATCTCATTGAGTTACTATAAAAATTAAATGAGGTATTAAGTGTCTACAGAAAGGCAAGGTCTGGTACAGGCTTGGTATGAGAAATCAATTCCTGCTTCATTGTTCCTTGGATCTATAGCTTTAATGAATACGTGAAGAGTAGGTCCTCAGAAATAGTTAATCATAGCTAAAATTTATTGAGCACTCACTTTAGGTCAGCACAGTGTTATATGCCCTTTTTATGTTAACTTGTTTAATCCTTATAACAGACCTATGGGTTGTGTACAAATACAATTTCCATTTTACAGAAAGAAACTAGGAACACAGAGAAGTTAAGTAACTTGCCCAAGATCACACAGCTGGTAAATAGTAGAGCCAGTGCACGAACTCACACATTGCATTCCCAGAGCCCTTGCTCCTAAGTGCTGTACTACACTGCATCGTTACTGAGGCAGAAACACAAAGTCAGTCCCAATTCAGCTTGAAAGTAGCTAATGGTAATGAGATATAGTTTACCTCTAATTTGTGGGAAACTTGGCCAGATGGGGCTTAGTTCCATCTACTTTGCTGTGCCTTTCTAAGTCATGTCAACGATGTGTTTTAGTCTGTTTGTCTCCCTTGATTTCTTTATGCTGCTCACCTCAAGTCGGAGGCAATTTGACCTTTTATGTTTTAATACTGCTAAATGGTCAAGGGCTTGAGGGAAAGGGAGAGAAAGCAACAGGATTAACACAATATTATGTGTCATAAATGGATTGTATCCTGGATCTAGCTAGACATTAAAAAATTAGGTCAGATAGGAACGGGGAAAAAAGGGAGATCCTCTTTTAAGCAACATGATTAGAAACTAATTGCCATCTGTAAGGCACAGTACAAAATAAGGATTTCCCATATCAAAGAAGCTGGGAAATTTTACCCCGTGGCCCCAGATATCAGTAGGAAACAGAAAGAGAAGTCCATCAGTACCAAGGTGGAGGATGCAAGGAATGAGAGACACATAAGCAGCCAGGAAACAGGAGTCACCATGTTAACCCACCATACTGGGTAAAATGGCCCAGAAATACAAGGGAAGGGGAACCCACCCCCCAAGCCAAGGATGTGGGAAGGGCAGGAT
Source organism: Homo sapiens (assembly GCF_000001405.40). NCBI lineage: Eukaryota > Metazoa > Chordata > Mammalia > Primates > Hominidae > Homo > Homo sapiens. The sequence goes on along the minus strand of NC_000001.11, from coordinate 109,845,087 downwards.
TCTACTTGGAGGGCTTTTTGCCTAGCTCTTTGTCTAGTGTAGCAGACAGGAAGGATTCCAGTTGTCATAAAAACAGGGGTGAACTATGCTACATTTATGCTCTGAGCACTGACCATGCATCTGACCCCTTGGTGAACGCCAGGATGCACAGATGAACAAAAGATCTTACCTACCTTACTGAAACTCACCATCTCCTGGGGCAGATGGACCAGCAACGGTGTGATTGCCATGCTGTGTAATGGTTGCTTTTATGGACTTGGGGTAAGAGGAGCAAAGAGGAAGTGGGTCCAGGTAGAGATAATATGTCTGAGCTGCAACTTGGAGAATAACAAGGTGTTTTCTAGGTGGATGGCACTGAAGTTTTGTTATTCCTGGCAGAGGAATCATTTGTAAAGACACTGGAATCCCAACTGGTTTGCCATGTTGGGGAAAGTAAGTTGTTGGGTAGGATGGGAGTGGAAGGCCTGTGTGTGAACATGCGATGTAGGAGCAGGAGACTGGGCAGAGTCAGATCAAGGTGTTAGTTTATCCAGAAGGCACCACTCACCTCTGACAGTTGCTGAGGTCACCAAACCTTCCCTGCTGGGGTGCCGTGCCCCCAGGGCAGTACTTTTCAAACTACAAGTCACAACCCATTGGATAATGAAATCAATTTAGTGTCTGAAAACTAGAATTTTTTTATTTTTTATTTTTTAATTAATTAATTTATTTATTTATTATACTTTAAGTTTTAGGGTACATGTGCACAATGTGCAGGTTAGTTACATATGTATACGTGTGCCATGCTGGTGCGCTGCACCCACTAACTCATCATCTAGCATTAGGTATATCTCCCAATGCTATCCCTCCCCCCTCCCCCCACCCCACAACAGTCCCCAGAGTGTGATGTTCCCCTTCCTGTGTCCATGTGTTTTCATTGTTCAATTCCCACCTATGAGTGAGAATATGCGGTGTTTGGTTTTTTGTTCTTGCGACAGTTTACTGAGAATGATGATTTCCAATTTCATCCATGTCCCTACAAAGGACATGAACTCATCATTTTTTATGGCTGCATGGTATTCCAGGGTGTATATGTGCCACATTTTCTTAATCCAGTCTATCATTGTTGGACATTTGGGTTGGTTCCAAGTCTTTCTTATTGTGAATAATGCTGCAATAAACATACGTGTGCATGTGTCTTTATAGCAGCATGATTTATAGTCCTTTGGGTATATACCCAGTAATGGGATGGCTGGGTCAAATGGTATTTCTAGTTCTAGATCCCTGAGGAATCGCCACACTGACTTCCACAATGGTTGAACTAGTTTACAGTCCCACCAACAGTGTAAAAGTGTTCCTATTTCTCCACATCCTCTCCAGCACCTGTTGTTTCCTGACTTTTTAATGATTGCCATTCTAACTGGTGTGAAATGGTATCTCATTGTAGTTTTGATTTGCATTTCTCTGATGGCCAGTGATGGTGAGCATTTTTTCATGTGTTTTTTGGCTGCATAAATGTCTTCTTTTGAGAAGTGTCTGTTCATGTCCTTTGCCCACTTTTTGATGGGGTTGTTTGTTTTTTTCTTGTAAATTTGTTTGAGTTCATTGTAGATTCTGGATATTAGCCCTTTGTCAGATGAGTAGGTTGCGAAAATTTTCTCCCATTTTGTAGGTTGTCTGTTCACTCTGATGGTAGTTTCTTTTGCTGTGCAGAAGCTCTTTAGTTTAATTAGATCCCATTTGTCAATTTTGGCTTTTGTTGCCATTGCTTTTGGTGTTTTAGACATGAAGTCCTTGCCCATGCCTATGTCCTGAATGGTAATGCCTAGGTTTTCTTCTAGGGTTTTTATGGTTTTAGGTCTAATGTTTAAGTCTTTAATCCATCTTGAATTGATTTTTGTATAAGGTGTAAGGAAGGGATCCAGTTTCAGCTTTCTACATATGGTGAGCCAGTTTTCCCAGCACCATTTATTAAATAGGGAATCCTTTCCCCATTGCTTGTTTTTCTCAGGTTTGTCAAAGATCAGATAGTTGTAGATATGCGGTGTTATTTCTGAGGGCTCTGTTCTGTTCCATTGATCTATATCTCTGTTTTGGTACCAGTACCATGCTGTTTTGGTTACTGTAGCCTTGTAGTATAGTTTGAAGTCAGGTAGTGTGATGCCTCCAGCTTTGTTCTTTTGGCTCAGGATTGACTTGGTGATGCGGGCTCTTTTTTGGTTCCATATGAACTTTAAAGTAGTTTTTTCCAATTCTGTGAAGAAAGTCATTGGTAGCTTGATGGGGATGGCACTGAATCTGTAAATTACCTTGGGCAATACGGCCATTTTCACGATATTGATTCTTCCTACCCATGAGCATGGAATGTTCTTCCATTTGTTTGTATCCTCTTTTATTTCCTTGAGCAGTGGTTTGTAGTTCTCCTTGAAGAGGTCCTTCACATCCCTTGTAAGTTGGATTCCTAGGTATTTTATTCTCTTTGAAGCAATTGTGAATGGGAGTTCACTCATGATTTGGCTCTCTGTTTGTCTGTTGTTGGTGTATAAGAATGCTTGTGATTTTTGTACATTGATTTTGTATCCTGAGACTTTGCTGAAGTTGCTTATCAGCTTAAGGAGATTTTGGGCTGAGACAATGGGGTTTTCTAGATATACAATCATGTCGTCTGCAAACAGGGACAATTTGACTTCCTCTTTTCCTAATTGAATACCCTTTATTTCTTTCTCCTGCCTGATTGCCCTGGCCAGAACTTCCAACACTATGTTGAATAGGAGTGGTGAGAGAGGGCATCCCTGTCTTGTGCCATTTTTCAAAGGGAATGCTTTCAGTTTTTGCCCATTCAGTATGATATTGGCTGTGGGTTTGTCATAGATAGCTCTTATTATTTTGAGATACGTCCCATGAATACCTAATTTATTGAGAGTTTTTAGCATGAAGTGTTGTTGAATTTTGTCAAAGGCCTTTTCTGCATCTATTGAGATAATCATGTGTTTTTTGTCTTTGGTTCCGTTTATATGCTGGATTACATTTATTGATTTGCATATATTGAACCAGCCTTGCATCCCAGGGATGAAGCCCACTTGATCATGGTGGATAAGCTTTTTGATGTGCTGCTGGATTCTGTTTGCCAGTATTTTATTGAGGATTTTTGCATCAATGTTCATCAAGGATATTGGTCTAAAATTCTCTTTTTTGGTTGTGTCTCTGCCCGGCTTTGGTATCAGGATGATGCTGGCCTCATAAAATGAGTTAGGGAGGATTCCCTCTTTTTCTATTGATTGGAATAGTTTCAGAAGGAATGGTACCAGTTCCTCCTTGTTAGAATTTTTTTAAAATAGCAAAATAGATTAGAACAATGCCTTTCAAAGGATCAATTATAGAGGATTTACTTTTTTTTTTTTTTTTGAGACAGAGTCTCACTCTGTTGCCCAGGCTGGAATGTAGTGGCATGATCTCTTCTCACTGCAACCTCCGCATCCTGGGTTCAAGTGATTCTCCCACCTCAGCCTCCCAAGTAGCTGGGATTACAGGTGTGTGCCACCACGTCTGGCTAATTTTTGTATTTTTAGTAGAGACAGGGTTTTGCCATGTTGGCCCGGCTGGTTGCGAAGGGATCTGCTTTTTTTTTCAGTTCCAATCTGTCATGAATGGATACTTTTGCAAAATGCAATAAAACAATAAAAATGAATTACTAGGAAAAGGATCATGCTCATAGATATCATACTAATGTCAACTTACTGTAAGTGTCTAAAATGCTCTGTTTTTGTTTTTGTTTTGGTTTTGTTTTTGTTTTTTGAGATGGAGTCTTGCTCTGTCCCCCAGGCTGGAGGGCGGTGGCGCAATCTCGGCTCACTGCAAGCTCTGCCTCCCAGGTTCACTCCATTCTCCTGCCTCAGCCACCTGAGTAGCTGGGACTACAGGCACCCGCCACCAGGCCTGGCTAATTTTTTTGTATTTTTTTAGAAGAGACAGGGTTTCACCATGTTAGCCAGGATGGTCTCGATCTCCTGACCTCATGATCCACCCGCCTTGGCCTCCCAAAGTGCTGGGATTACAGGCGTGAGCCACCGCGCCTGGCCAAATACTCTGTTTTTAACAGCTTTATTGAGATATAATTCACATATAATTCACCCATTTAAAGTGTACAATTCAATGGTGTTTAGTACATTCACAGATCACCACAATCTATCTTAGAACACTTCGATCAATCCTAACAGAAACCTTCTACCCATTAGCAGGTAATACCCATTTCCCTCAGACTCCCATTACCCCAGCCCTAGGCAACCACTAAACTACTTTCTACCTCCATAAATGTGTCTATTCTGGACATTTCAGAAAAATGGAATCATACACCATGTGGTCTTTGGTGACTGGCTTCTTTCTTTAGCATAATGTTTCAAGGTTCATCAGTATGTGTCAGTATTTCATTTCTTTTTATTGCCAAATAATATTCTATTTTGTGGATATACCATATTTTGTTTATCCATCCATCAGTTGATGGACATTTGGGTTGTTTCCACTTTGGGGCTATTATAAATAACGCTGCTATGAGCATTCATGTACAAGCTGTTGGGTATACACCCAGGAATGGAATTGCTGGGTCATACGGAAACTCTATGTTTATCTTGTTGAAGAACTGCCAGACTGTTTTCCACAGCAGCTGCACCACTTCACATTCCCACCAGCAATGCATGAGGTTTCCAATTTCTCCACATCCTCACCAACACTTAAGATTATCTATCTTTTTTATCATAGCCACCCTAATGGGTGTGATGTGGTACTCCATTGTAGTGTTGATTTGCATTTCCCTAATGGCTAATGATGTCGACACTTTTTAATGTGCAAAACACTTTAATTTCTCTGACTTTCTGCACTCATCTCCTCCCTGGCTGGTGATAAGCAAGCAGTTCAGGGACCAAACTTCGAGTAGCACTGGCCTGGAAAATATGAGTGCATCACTTGGAGTGAGGTTAAGTGTTGTTTCTATGGAATTTTTGCTTCACCTAGATACATATGTTTATATATTCAGGACTGCGACATAAAATGTATTTGTATTGCTTACTGTTTGCAAACCCCTAGCCTGAAGATTTCCTGCCATTCATCCTCACCCAAAGTAGAACAGGTCATCCTTGAAGAGGGACATTGTCCTTCTAAACATGCCTATGGCAGAAACCAGTCTATGGCAAAGTGCCACTATCTCAGCCCTGGGAGAATCTGACTGGCAGCTCCAAAATATGAAGTTAATTTAAAAAGCGCTTAAGTCCCAAACCATTTTAATCAATAAAATAGTCTCCTTGTTTTGAACTCGGTAAAACATTTAAAATTTTTTCTTAATATTTTCATTGTGTAACCACCCAAAGTTGCTTTGCCTGCTGCCTAGACAGAGCCGATTCATCAAGACAGGTGAATTGCAATAGAGAAAGAGTAATTCACGCAGAGCCAGCTATGTGGGAGACCAGAGTTTTATTATTACTCAAATCAGTCTCCCTGAGCATTTGGGGAGCAGAGTTTTTAAAGATAACTAAGCCAGTGAGCCAGGAGTGCTGATTGGTCAGAGATGAAATCATAGGGAGTCGGACCTGTCTTCTTGCACTGAGTCAGTTCCTGGGTGGGAGTCACAAGATCAGATGAGCCAGTTTATTGATCTTAGTGGTGCCAGCTGATCCATTAAGTGCAGGGTCTGCAAAATATCTCAAGCTCTGATCTTGGAAGCTATTTAGGGAGGCTCAGAATCTTGTAGCCTCCAGCTGCATGACTCCTAAACCATAATTTCTAATCTTGCAGCTAATGTTAGTCCTACAAAGGCAATCTAGTTCCCATGCAAGAAGGAGGCCTGCTTTGGGAAAGGGCTGTTACCATCTTTGTTTAAACTATAAACTAAGTTTTTTCCCAAAGTTAGTTCAGTCTATGCCCAGCCTACAAGGACAGCTTGGAGGTTAGAAACAAGATGGAGTCAGTATACTTAGATCTCTTTCACTGTCTCAGTCATAATATTGCAAAGGCAGTTTCAATCCTTCCCTTTGGGTTTTATAATGCCCTCGTCTTACGATGTAGGCTATGAAGATGGGAAAAGGTTGTAAATCGCTCTGGCTTCTTCCTGCCAACAGAGGACGTAGTGGAAATGGGAGTGCATCCCAAGGTGAGAAGAGTTGAACTGCTTTGTAACTGTCTGAGTGACTCATGCAGGCCTGGCTGGGCTTTCATGGCAAAAACATTAGTACTCTCAACTATAGTTTTACTACAGTGTTTAAGTGAAACAGCCTATTATAAGGTAAATAATGAGTCCTAGGCTGAGGAGTACAATTCCCAATTTTAAAAACAAAGATTTGAAAGCATTAGTTTGAGGACTTCTAGCCCACAAAGAATTTGGAATTTAGTCTAAACTACAGAAAAAAACCTCAAGAATAGCTAACAACAGTGTACTATAGTTTTTCTTTTGAAGCATAAATTTTCTCTCTCCAGTCTTCATTTTTTTAAAAACAAATCATGATAGAACTGATTCGTTTACAAAATAAACTTTAGTCTTACTGTAATTGGCCTAATTATTTGTAAAAAGTACAGCAAGAATAATTATTTTTCATGTAGACTTTTTTAATTGGCTTTGATAGAACTCTGTTCCATGAAGAATCTCAGATAAGACTTTTTAAAAGCCAAGCCCAGCTGTGGGTTTGTACCGACAAATACCTATGAGTTGGGCAAATTCCTCTCCTCTTGAGGTCCCAAGACAACTTGGGGTTCCTGGGCCTGTTAGAAAGTGAAATTCCTTACTTACCACAGGTCAGGAACCTTGTACGGGGACACTGTGCAGACAAGGTATGAGGTCAGATTCCCCAACAGGCTTTAATTGGCTCTATAAGTCAACTTTGATTCTTTAAAGGAAGCATGCCATTCCATTCAAAACCTTGGTAAAATAATCAGTTTCTCCAACTGTGTTCTGTTACAGAAGAAAATAGCTTCTTATTGCACTTACACAATTAACTATACTGCCATAAATTGAGAATATTCACAAATAATTTCCAAATTCTGGAGAAATCAGGTAGAGAGGAACAAATATGCTCCAAATTTTGTTCTCAGGAGTATATCTTATTCATTTGTTAAAAGTTGCAAATACCTCTAAAGAAATAAGTTCCCTTGACTCTGGAAACAAAATGTTTAGCAATGTTTAACACATTAGCTCTCCATGACAGTCCTAGAAGTTTGGTTTTTTTCTCTATTCCAATAGCACAAATTTTAAAGCCCTATTAAAGCTACAATTGACTAGGAATTTTGATTACTTCTATGGCATACAATTTTACATAACAATATTATTATCAATGTACACTAAATTATATCAACATTGTAGAAGTTTCCCATAATTTTGGAATACATACTAATAATATATTTATACAAATACAGTCCAAAGTGAACCAAACACCCTTCACTCTTCTATTTGAAAGTTTTTCCTCTATTCAAATGTCACAATCTCCAGAGTTATTTATCAGAATCCTGCATTTAAGAGCACCTGTTACATTTTAAAACTGATTATAAAACCATCTTTTAAAGAGGACCAAAACGAGACAGCAATTATCTGTGGATGACAAAAACATTTTAGGGCAGCCACAGTTAAAGACACAATTGACAAGGAAATTTACCTTTGTAGCACACAGTCTGTTAACATAATAATTATAATTATTACAGATAACATAGACTAAGTCATATTAGAATTATAGGAGTTTTACATTACTTCAGAACATATACCAATAACACATTTACACAAATAGAGACCAAAGAAAGCCAAACACCATTTCATATTTGACAATGTCAGGCCTCTGAGCCCAAGCTAAGCCATCATATGCCCTGTGACCTGCACGTATACATCCAGATGGCCTGAAGCAACTGAAGATCCACAAAAGAAGTGAAAATAGCCTTAACTGATGACATTCCACCATTGTGATTTGTTTCTGCCCCACCCTAAGTGATCAACGTACTTTGTAATTTCCCCCACCTTAGGAAGGTTCTTTGTAATTCTCCCCACCCTTGAGAACTTACTTTGTGAGATCCACCCCCTGCCCGAAAAACATTGCTCCTAACTCCACCGCCTATCCCAAAACCTATAAGAACTAACGATAATCCCACCACCCTTCGCTGACTCTCTTTTCAGACTCAGACCGCCTGCGCCCAGGTGAAATAAACAGCCTTGTTGCTCACACAAAGCCTGTTTGGTGGTCTGTTCACATGGACGCATGAGACAGACAATGCTTCCTGTGTGATTTTTGTACCAAATAAGCCAAATGTCATTTTTGGACTTTAAAGAACCTAATATCTAAAATATTAGGTTAGAAAGAGACAGAATTTATAATTTGATATTGGAAAGCTTGTCAAATATCAAAGGTTTAAAACACAGGATATCACAAAATAGATCCCAGATCACCGTAAATCATTCATTTGGCCGAATTGATAACTCCAAAACAATTTTTAAAAAAGAAAAACCTTCACTCTGATAGAGAAGACTTAGCTTTCCAAACAAGACCCAATGAAGATAGCATGAGGCCAACTCAATCTGTCTCTTATCTCTCTCCTCTTTTTTTTCCCTGCCATTTACCCAAAGGAGAAAACAAAACCCTTTCATTATCTTTTAACATTACATAAAAATCATCTTCAAAAGAGAAAACCAAATTTCTTGTTTGCATTAGTGCATCTTTTAACGTTAAAGCTAGTTTTTTAGATAAAATTTTATATCTCTATCCAGTTTTAATTAGTTTCACCATAAGGCAAGATTTTCATAAACTTTTTAGAACCCTTTACAATTTTCCATCAAACAGCAGATCAATTTTCTAAGAAAACCCTGTTATTCGTACACATGGGCCCAGATTCTGGCCCCACATCAGTATGATTTTAATGTTTTAACCTATGGGGAAAAGCTAAATAATTTCTTTTAAATCTTAGCCAACTTGTTTATACCCACAGAAGTTTTACAAGATCAACCCTTTTCAAACCCTTTTCACTTTGCTTAAACCTTCAGTTTTGTTCCATTACTCTTTTAGGTTAAGACAATCTTTAAAACCCTCTGAACTAGACAAAATTACATTCCCTTTAACAAAAGCCATATTCCCATGCCTTCTTATAATCTTTTACCTAAAACACATTCCCTACACACCTTGTATGTAAAACTGTTTCTCCAGCGGTCTCGACTACATGTTGCAATGTTAACTCTTAGCACCTTTTATTTTTAGTGAAAAACCTGACAAGTAAGCGATTTTAATTATGTACTAGGGGTGGAGCCTAGGACATCAGACAGAAATGAAGATAAGGTCTGACTCCTTTTAGCATAGCTAGCGGACATGGCTCTCCCCATGTCCGCAGGAATTATCTATAATCTAATGCTCCAAAGTAGGTAAATCGAACAATTTTCAAAAGTCAAAGAAACAGTTTGAACTTAAAATATTTAGCAAGTCTGATACCTGATCTTAATTTAGACCAAATGTCTACATTTTCAAGACATTTTATTTTACCAATAATCTTTAAAACTGTCTTTATTTCCAAAAGATTACTAAAATGACGAGAAAAAAAGGCATTAAAATTTCTATTTTTCTGACAAAATATTTGATTTAAGCGCTTATTTTTCTAAGCCAATTAATCAGAGCTCTTTTATATCTAAACATACAACACATATAAATATACAGAGAGAAGATTAGGCACTTGTAAGGTTTTTCATTTGCCAGTTTCTTAATTGGATTACTGGCTTCGGGGTGGAGCCCTTGGAGGAACAGGGCCTGGAAAGCATGCATTTCTAAGGCCAAATAAGCAGCAAATAAGCAGCTGAAGGCAGAGACACATCCCCAAAATTAAGGGTGCCATTTTATACTGATCCTGGATCCCAAAAGGAGGGAAATACTACTGGAGAGGACAGTGCAGTGCTTCTACCCTGCATTTCATTGCAAAGCAACCCAAAGCCAATCAGCCCATTTTGCAATCAGCCCATCCCTCATGAGAGTCTCATCTCCCAGTGGGGGGTGGGGATGTCTCCTTATCTTCCAGGTGGCCAAGAGCATGCTTCTCTGATCCAAGTGTGCAAAGAGTCAAGTACCCCTCCCTAACTACTATTAGCCATCCCTTAGAGTATATTTCCTACCTAGTTATTACACACCAAAGCTCTCTCATAATGCAAAGTAATTTCTGATGCCCCCCAAACTCAAAACCGTCAGACAACACAATGCAAAACAGAACAAGCCTTTGATTTTGAGAGGGATCTATCCGCTATTAATTCCTGGGGTTTCATGATGAAAACAGAGTGTTTTGGGTTTTTTTCCCCAAAGCGGGGTCTGCAGCACCTCCTCTGTTTTTCCCAAGGAGTCCCAAGCTACCAGAAGTTATCTTAGGGGCTCTGATGTGTGTATTAAGAGTGGCAAGACAAAAAAATGGAGAAAAATAGTTCAGTCGACTTAGAAGGAAAAACCTTTTTCCAGAAAAACAAGTTCCAAGAAGAGAAAAACAATGGCCTTTTAAATACATCTATAGCTTGTTTATCCACTTTTAATTAACCTAACTTTTAACCATAGTGCTCTTTAAAAAAGAAATCTTTTCAAATCTCTTATTACCTGACTTTAGCCATGCCAAGTGGCCAATACTTCTAGCTTCTGAACTTTACCAAATGTAACCTCCTAGGTGCTTCAAAGACATGGTAAGCAGTTTCTTTTTTTTATAAGATTTAGAATCTCCACAAGGTAGTTCAGAGAAAGGAAAATTCAAGAGAGGAAATCAGAAGCTATCTACGATGGGAAAAAACCTCAATAAATGGCAACGTTACACAAATAACAAACCAGAAATGAATCATTTCAGCAGCCAACAATTGAACCCAGGCCACCAGTGTCAAAAGATAAAGCCTTAGCTACCGAGCTATACAGCATTGAGAAGTTCCTATTGCTTTTCCCAGAAGGAGCCTAGAGAAGCCAATTTCAAGCTTGCAAGGCTTTTAATTGCTCAAGAAAAATTTTTAGGCTGGGCACAGTGGCTCACGCCTGTCTGTAATCCTAGCACTTTGGGAGGCTGAGGCGGGTGGATCACTTGAGGTCAGGAGTTCGATACCGGCCTGGCCAACATGGTGAAACACTGTCTCTACTAAAAATACAAAAATTGTAATCCCAGCTGCTGGGGAGGCTGAGGAAGGAATACCCCCGGGAGGCAGAGGTTGCATTCAGCTGAGATTGCACCACTGCACTCCAGCCCTCGTAATGGGAGCAAGACTCCATCTCAAAAAAAAAAAAAAAAAAAAATTAGGATTATGACATGAACCCCAAAATTCCTGTCGTCTGGGTGGTAGAAACCAAAAGAAAGTATCTCCCATGGTCATAAGGTTAAACTCTTAAGGACACAAAACAAAACAGAGAAATTTCATACCGTATTGGTTTCAGGGACCCATAGCAAAGTTTATAACTGACCAGCCTGCCAAGCTGACTTTAAAAGCAGGCTTAGGGGTCCTAAACCCATGTTCTATCCTGTGATACCCCTCTCTCCATTACAGAACACAGAAAGACAAATTCTTAGCACAAAGCACACCAGATTTTTACAGCTTAAGACTAGTCTCACAAATCCTTTTTTCTGTTAATCAAACCCTTGCAGAGGAGACAAATAGTTTACCGTTTATTCAGACAGAGAAAGCAAGACAGATCAGAAACTTGGCCGGTAAGAATTTTTTACCCTTTTTGCTGTCATACCTGGTTTCTGGGTTCCATTTCCCTGCAGCTTCCAGAAGAATGGAGTGGCTTCTGATGACCCTGCTTGCTTGTGCTATAGCTTTGGGGTTCAAGCCATTTTACAAGAGAAAATCACCCTGTAAGACAAGATTCTTTATTTGCAAGATGCTGCCTGACGGGCTGCATGGGAAACCAAATTAACATTTTCCATCCCAGCAAAATACACATAACAAAACAGACATTAGTCACCTTATTCAGCAGCCAATATCAGCCTGGCAAAGCTCAAACTTTTTCCCCGTTGGCCTCTGTTGTCTTTGATCCACTCCAGGTGGGGACGGACTACCTCCAAATGGTAATTCACAACGGGGTATCTGAGCAATGGGAAGAGCAGATATTCACCCCCTGAGACAGGCCTGTTGAGCCTTCTTTAGAGCTCATCGAATGTGACCAGACAAATAAGGAGGGTTCTCTGAGTTAGGCCTGCTGGACTTCCATCAGCAACCTCTCTGAGATTCCTTCCAAATATACGAACACATGCAAAGACAGAAGGCCTTCTAAATCAGATCCCTAACCAAGAACTCCAAGAGTATCCCTCCCAAACTATTCTCCTAGTCTCCTTCTGAGAAAACTCCTCGAAATCTTCCTGATTGAAGACAAGTCTCCCAAACCAGGACTCTTCCTATTAGACCTTCGGAGCTGTGTGACTAGTTAGAAAGAGCCAACTGAGACCCCCACAGGAGCTGAACAGACACCCTGCAATGGTGCTACAGACACACCACCATAGGGCTACATAACCAGTCAGGAGAAGGAAGAAGCCATTGGCAGTGCCTAGGATACTTACCAATCCAGACAGCCCACAATGGGGCTACAGACATCCCACCATGGGGCTACAGACAGACGCCCTGTGATAGGGCTACAATTAAGTGGTGTCTCCCTAGGACTCTTTCTCCACTGCAATTAAATCCATGCACATCGGGTCGGCAGTGCCCTGCCAGTAGAGAAATACCAGAGTCAGCCCCCAGTCCAAGAGAACCAGGCTGCCGCTTGGGCTGACTTCTGGATTCATCGCTGGGGGAGGAGGCCACTGAACCATGGGCAAGTAGCCACAAGGGCAATCCCAGACGAGCCCCCAAATTTGTAACCGCCCAAGGGGTTCACCTTGCCCGCTGCCTAGACAGAGCTGATTCATTGAGACAGGGGAATTGCAACAGTGAAAGAGTAATTCATGCAGAGCTGCTGTGCTGCAGACGGGAGTTTTATTATTACTCAAATCAGTCTCCCTGAGCATTCAGGGAGCAGAGTTTTTAAGGATAACTTGGTGGGTGAGGGGAAGCCAGTGAGCCAGGAGTGCTGATTGGTCAGAGATGAAATTACAGGCCAGGTGCAGTGGCCCACACCTATAATCCCAGCACTTTGGGAGGCTGAGGCAGGTGGATCACGAGGTCAGGAGTTCAAGACCAGCCTGGCCAACATAGTGAAACCCCATCTTTATTAAAAATAATAAAACTTAGCCGGGCGTGGTGGCAGCCACCTGTAATCCCAGCTACTCGGGAGGCTGAGGCAGGAGAATCGCTTGAATATGGAGGTGGAGGTTGCAGTGAGCCAAGATCGCACCACTGCACTCCAGCCTGGCCAACAGTGTGAGACCCTGTCTCAAAAAAAAAAAAAAGAAAGAAAGAAAGAAATAATAGGGAGTCGGACCTGTCTTCTTGCACTGAGTCAGTTCCTGGGTGGGGGCTACAAGATCAGATGAACCAGTTTACTGATCTGGGTGGTGCCAGCTGATTCATCAAGCGCAGGGTCTACAAAATATCTCAAGCAATGATCTTAGGAGCAGTTTAGGGAGGATCGGAATCTTGAAGTCTCCAGCTGCATGACTCCTAAACCATAATTTCTAATCTTGCAGGTAATGTTAGTCCTACAAAGGCAATCTAGTCCCCAGGCAAGAAGGAGGCCTGCTTTGGGAAAGGGCTGTTACCATCTTTATTTAAACTATAAACTAAGTTTCCCCCCAAATTAGTTCAGCGTACACCCAGCCTACAAGGGCAGCTTTGAGGCTAGAAGCAAGATGGAGTCAGTAAGGTTAGATCTCTTTCACTGTCTCAGTCATAATTTTGCAAAGGCGGTTTCAATTGCATTTAAATGCTCTGTTGATTTGATAAAAGTTTTTAAAACCTGACATTATTTCATGAATATGTGATTGCTTTACAGAGTTACTTTGCTCTGAGGTATACACCAAGGCAGGTTATGCCTGGGTCTACCCTCAGTGGAGGCGTATGTATATACCACACTTGAATATGTGCCCATACTTTTATGCATATGTGTACACACATGCAAATGTCTTTGCTTTAAAAGACAATGCTGCTCACCCTTGTTCACTACAGCATTACTTACAATAGCCAAGAGGGGGAACCAACCCAAATGTCCATCGAAGGAGGAACGGATAAAGAAAAGGTGGTATACACATGCGATGGAATATTATTCCATCTTTAAAAAGAAAGAAATCCTGTCATACGCTACAACATGGGGGACATTAAGCTAAGTAAAATAAACCAGTGTCAAAAAGACAAATACTGTATGATGCCACCTAGATGAAGCATCTAAAGTAATTAAACTCAGTCTGGACACGGTGGCTCATGCCTGTAATCCCAGCACTTTGGGAGGCCAAAGCGGGTTGATTGCTTGAGCCCAGGAGTTTGAGACCAGCCTGGCCAACACGGTGAAATGCCGTCTCTACAAAAAAAAATTACAAAAAATTATCCAGGTGTGGTGGTGCACGCCTGTAGTCCTGGCTACTAGGGAGGCTGAGGTGGGAGGATCACCTATGCCCAGGAAGTTGAGGCTGCAGTGAGCCATGATCGCACCACTGCACTCCAGCCTGGGCAACGAGTGAGACCCTGTATCCAAATAATAATAATAATGAAAGTAGTCAAACTCATAGAAACAGAAGATAGAATGGTGGTTGCCAGAAGCTAAAGGGAGGAAGAATTGGGAAATTGTTATTCAAGGGGTATGGAGTCTCAGTTTTGCAAGACGAAAAAGTTCTAGACAGTTCCAGAGTAGACAGATTTAACAACCTGTACTTAAAAATTGTTGAGTAAATTTTATGCTATGTGTGTTTTTTTTCACCATAATTTAAAATAAAATTGAATTTTTAAAAAGTTGATGCTACTTGGAAGCCACACCATTTAATAGTCAGAAATTGGGTACTGGGCCAGGCATGGTGGCTCACGCCTGTAATCCCAGCACTTTGGGAGGCTGAGGTGGGCAGATCACCCGAAGTCAGGAGTTCGAGACCAGCCTGGTTAACGTGGTGAAACCCTATCTCTATTAAAAATACAAAAATTAGTCGGGGGTGGTGGTGGTCGCCTGTAATCCCAGCTACTCGGGATTCTAAGGCACGAGAATTGCTTGAATGCAGGAGGCAGAGGTTGCAGTGAGCCAAGATTGTGCCACTGCACTCCAGCCTGGCCAACAGAGCAAGACTCTGTCTCGAAAAATAAATAAAAGAAATTGGGTACTGGATCTGACAGAACTGAATATAAATCCCTAATCCACTTCTTCGGAGCTATATAACCTGAGCAAGCAATAACTCCCTTTGAAGGGTGAGTGCCTTTAGCTGTAAAGCAGCTAAGTTCTTAGTGCCATCAGGAAGGTCGTCCGGGAGAAAAGTGCCTGGCAGGAATTCAGGGAAATCCAAAAAGCTGTGTCTTCCAGCTGCAGTATGCAACCCACAGCCCCTTTGCATTGCACTCCCATCTGTGTACCTGTCTTCTGTCTGTCTTCTGGTCTATGGAGCCAGTTTGCAGAGCTGTGGCACTACTGCCTGGCCATGGTCCCTGTGCAATCACAGCGAGCCCCTCTCTGAGGAAACAGCCTCCTTGCCATCTAAAGCTAAGTTGTAACATCTGAAGACAACTTTCTTCTCCTTGAGAAATTCTCTGAAGCTCCATGGCCTCGAGCCTTAGGGTTCCTCTTGAGGGTTTTGTACCAGCTCAGCTTGGCTTCCAGCCTCATAGGGGGCAGCTGGAGACAAGTTGTGGGATTTCAGGTTGTTTCTGGAGAACCAGCGGGGACTTTCTGTGCCCAAAAAAACTTCCCAGCCAGTCAACTCATCCCTTGGCTTGACACTTAGCTCTCTCATAAAATACACACATTCCTGAGATCATACTAATACGCTTACAATTAAATAACTTTACAGTTTCCTAAGAACTTTCACATGCAGAATACCTGCCCAACCTGATCACAGACTGAGGTAGGGATATGATCTCTGCTTTTACAGATAAAAATTTAAATGAGCACCTACCATGCTGGGCACTGTTCTAGGCTTTTTCTCAAGTAATCTTCTCCCATTTAGTTAGTAAGTGGCCCAGGGAGGCCTCAGAGCCTGGTCTTTGGGGCTCTTTCCAGAACTCCTCAGCTGCCTTCTGAATCATTTTCACCTCAGGCCCCTTCCAGAGAGGAGGTTTTTCTCAGGGAAAGCGTGTAGCAGGAGGCTTCCTAAAAGAGACAGGCCTGCCAATCAGGAGCGTGTGCAGTTGGGGTGGCAACGAGGGAGCCACAGGAAGGGGGAGCCCAGGACTGCAATGATCTCAACTCTGGGCCAGCCTTCCCTGCCCGAGTTCCCTGGGCTCTCTCAGTGTCTCTCTTCAACCCCTCCCCACACCCGCCCCATCCCCTGCCCCTCCACAATGTAGTGGACAGGATCGCTGGCTTGGGAGTCAGACAGATCTGGGTCCAGGTGTCTGCTAAGCTCAGCTTCCCTATCAATGCAATGGGGTAATAAGAGTGCCTAACCCTTAAGTGGCTCCGAGGATTCAGAGAAATGGTGTCCATGAAGTGCTCAGCACCATTACTAGCACAAGGTAAGAACTCAGTAGATGCTGCTCTAGTGGCTTAGGCCCCTCCCTCCATGGCCAACTCCATCCTTTCCGTCCTTACCTCCAGTCCCACCACCCATCTCTCTCCGTTCCCTCTTTTCTTACCTAATCCTGCTCCAGCCAAATCTCCACTCTTGAAAAAGCCACAGAAAGTTGCCTAAAAAACAGAGACAGCTGGGACAGTAGAAGAGAGAAGCGGCAACCGAGTCCCTACCATGTCCTGTTCCTCATGGAGGGCAGCCTGACCCCTCAGGCCCAGCCTCAGGGACCAAATCCAAATGCCCTTTTTCCTGTTTACTGTATCAACAGCCCTGGCATTTAACTTGGCCCAAGTGAGAAGAGCTGTGGTTCGGCTCAGTCCTGAGGAGCAGCAAAGGTCCTGGGCTGGGAAAGCCACTGGTCCATGTCCCCATATGCTGTCTCATCCTGCAGACAGGCTCAGGGCAGAGAAGACTTGGAGCCGGCAGGCGGGCAGGCCTTGCTAGGCTCAGACCACCGAAAGAGCATTCTGTACAAGCTCAGTCTGATGGGCACCCTCCTGCGAGTGACATCCCAGAGGCTGTCATCAGTCTTTAGAAGTCCTACCTCTCTCCCTAGCCCCCTACCCCAGAGTCCCACCACCTTGGAATTCTCTCATCCTGTGCAGGAGTGTCCCACCATGGCTGCCTTGCTGTCATTCTTGAGGCACTCACATTCTACCCACGTTAGGCCTTTTCACCAAGTCTATACAGATGAACTATAAGGATTGAAAGACCATGGGTTTTGGATTCAAGCCTGAGCCACACTATGTATGTACTAAGCGTTCCTTACCCACTTGGGACCTCAGTCTCTTCACATCTAAAGTGAGTATAACAGGCTGGCACAGTGGCTCATGCCTATAATCCCAGCACTTTGGGAAGCCAAGGAGGGTGACTCACTCGAGGTCAGGAGTTCAAGACCAGCCTGGCCAGTGTGATGAAACCCTGTCTTTATTAAAAACACAAAAATTAGCCAGGTATGGCTGCATGTGCCTGTAATCCCAGCTACTCAGGAGGCTGAGGTGGGAGGATCACTTGAGCCTGGGAGTGGGATGTTGCAGTGAGCCGAGATCATGCCACTGCATGCCAGCCTGGGTGACAGAGTGAGACCCTGTCTCAAAAAAAAAAAAAAATTAAAATTAAAGTGATTGTAACAACATTTTCTTCGTAAGGTTACAGTGGGGATTAAATAAGATGACCTATGAAAGTACCTACCCACTGTGTACATATAAAGGGTGCTTGATAAATATTGCTTACTCTCGCTTCTTCGGGAGGGAGGGTCCTAGGCTGCAGCTTAGTCAACCAGCCAATTAGTGCCCTGTTCCTTTCAGAGTGCTATTTGGTGCCCTAGAAATGATTAACGGGATAAGAAATATTGCTTCTGCTCTGGAAAAATTTCAAAATGATGAAGAAAACTGTAATTCACGTGCTCCATAGCAAACCAAGATGGCGCCATCCGCATCTTCTTCGGGTTTCACGTGTTGGGCAGCCACCACGGCTGTGCCTGGGGCCCGGCCAGCACAGCTGCAGTGAGTTTCCTTCTGATAAGAAGTGGAAGCTGCAGTACTCATTTGGGGAACTCTGTCCTTTTATTCAGGAAAAACTCCCCAAATGGGCCTTTTAGTTACAGAAATGTAAACCAAAAGTCCTGTCCTGAAATGGAGCTGTGATTTTTAGAAGATTTCTGCTGTATCTGTTAAAGACAGAGTTGCTCCCTGTAAAACAGGCTGCTGTGGACAAAATGTGCTCCTGCAAGGGGAGGGACAAGCCTCATGATGGGGTATTGCCATGTTTCTTTCCATTTGACCCCTAGCCCAAGCCTGGGACCCCTGTTGTTAGTGATATAAGGGCCAGACACTGATGACTACTTTGTGAGAGGCTTCATGGGACTCTGGCCACAATCATAGCTGCTGAGGGACACAGGTGGTAAAGTGAGGTAGTAAGTGAAATGCCAGTACCTCTGAAAGCAGTTATGGCTGCCTCTTTTTCTCCTAGTAGATTCTGTGAGAAGTCATTGCTGGCACACAGGAAAGCTATTGATAGCAGAGTAGCTAAGAAAGCAGACACAGGAGGTGAACTGCCTGGGTCTTGGGCAAGCCACCGAACTTCCCTGTGCCTTGGTTTCCTTGTTTACAAAATGAGGACAATAGTAGTGGAAGGGAACTCAGTGATGCATGTAGAGTGCTTAGGACAGACCCTGGCATGGGTTGTGTTTTGCATAAATGTTGGTTGTTACTTTTAAGCTACCTAAAAAACTCTAGTTATATTTGCCTTCCAGTGAATTCTCTTGGGTTTTCTAGGTATGCAATTATACCATCTGCCAGTTCTTTCCCCCGTAATCCTACTATTTCTATTTCCTGCATTTTCTCATTGGGTATATTGCAGGCCTTTTCTGGGTTCCTTGGAATGGGGAAACCATGTTGTATTTTCAAGCTGCTTTGGAAAGGATGGATGTGAGATGAGAGTGGCCCAAAGCAGAGTGATGGGGAGGAAGCTGTTGTGTGATTTAGGTGTGATGTGAAGACTTGGCTGTGGATAACACCCTAAAGACAGGAAAGAGGAGTTCTATATAAGAGGCACCTTAGAATAGAGTTGACTGGACTTGTCATGATACTGATCATAAAAATAGAATCTAACACCAACCATCAAAATAATTCCATTACAATGTATTCATCTGAAAAGGAAGGAAAGAAGGGGACATTTTCATAATCTCAGTTTATGGTTAGTTTTGAAACACCAGATTCAGGAGAAGTTTGCAAATACTTTCATTATCTCCACAGTGTGACACAATTTGACTATTTCTTAAATACTTTACAATTGGTTCATGTTTGCAAAAATGACTCTAGTTTACAAAGCCACCTGATATATTTGGCCTTATTTAGTTCTCACAAAATCCTCTTGGCAGATATATTCATAATTGAAGTATTGGACGTGAAACACTGTGACATGGCAGTTAAAAGCGTGGTTCTGGAGACAGACTGCCTGGATTTCAAAGCTGGCTCTGACACTTACTAACTGTGTGACTTTTGTCAAATCCCATAACCTCTCTCTGCCTGTTTCTGCATCTGTAAAATTGAGGCAGGCCGGGCACGGTGGTTTATACCTGTAATCCCAGCACTTTGGGAGGCCGAGGTGGGTGGATCACCTGAGGTCAGGAGTTCAAGACCAACCTGGCCAATGTGGTGAAACCCCGTCTCTACTAAAAATACAAAAATCAGCTGGGTGTGGTGGCAGGCGCCTGTAATCCCACTACTTGGGAGGTTGAGGCAGGAGAATTGCTTGAACCCAAGAGGCGGAGATTGCAGTGAGCCAAGATCACACCATTGTCCTCCAGCCTAGGCAACAGGAGCGAAACTCTGTCTCAAAAAAAAAAAAATTGAGGTAATAATAGGCTCCCCATCATGGGGTTGTTTAGCAGTATGTTAAGTAACTGTAAGGGTTAGCTGTTATGAATATCTGGGAACTTTATGGCTTGCAAAGCCCTTACCTGACCTTCTTGGATGCTCCTATGCCCTTGCAATTCACGCTACAGTTACACCAGGGGCTGTCCTGTTACCTGTGTACCTGATGAACCTGTCTCAACCTTGAAACTCTGTTTCAGTCAACACAGTGATGCTCCCCTGGGTGCATGAGGTGGAAGGGAAAGGCACAGACCTGGCTGAGTTGCCCTGCCGAGTCCTGGAGGCACAACACGAGCTTAGTTCCCTAGGCCCTAGGGGTCTGTGGCAGCCCCTCTGAGTAGAGTGGCCATATAGTTTATGGTGCTATTAAATAATTAGAACAAGAGGCAAAAGCCAGACCTGCAACGGGTAACCAGGATGTGTGGTCACCTGACCTATAGCAGACCTGTTTATCCTCATCCTCACACCAAAGTCTGGTCTCCTGCAGTGTATAAGCCTAACCTTCCCTCCCTGCCCTGCCTACAACAGGCGGCTCTTCTTCTGCACGCAAGCACACACAAACAGGTCCCCATGACTGATTCTGCTTCGGGGCCTGTTTTCCTTGGTCACCCCTGCTAAGACATGCATAGAAGAAGGAAAACAATGAGGAAAGAGAAGGCAGAGTCCTGTAAGCACACGCTGGGGGAGGCAGTGGTTCTGAGGAGCAATTTGCAGGGGTGCTTGTGAGGAGGAGTAAGGTGTGGTGGGGAAGAGACGTTACGGTGTGCGTGCGTGTAGGGCAAATGCAGAACCAGGCTAAGCCCTTGGCAGGGCTGGGAGCAACTGTTTGGCTGCAGTGGAAAATCCCAAATGAGAGGCAAGAATTCCATTCAACAAATATTTGTGGCACCTACTCAGTGCAAATAAGAGGGCCAGGCTGAGTCACTGAGCACAGCCCCGTCCTGGCACCACGGTGTTGTGGACAGAGGGACCTCCAAGACCACTGGAGCGGATGAGAGGCTTGGAGAGGGTGCAGGAGCCGGGCCGGGTGCTGAGGACCTCCAGGCCCCGAGCGAAGCCTCAGCCCTGTGGAGACCAGAGTTCAGCAGCCAGCTGGGGCTCCACCCTCTGGCCAAGAACTGCTGAGTCACAGACCACTGGGGACACTGCCCAGGCTGAGCCAGGGTGACCCTGGGGGTCAGAGGGAGTTGGAGTTGCTGCCATGATATGGGGTGGGCAGGCCGGAATGGAGGCGTCCACAGGCCCGTGGAGCTAAAAAGCCCTTCCTTCCTCCGCTTCTGCGCTTGCCTTCTCAGGCAGCCCCAAAGTTGAAGATGCTGAGAACAGGGGGTGTGAGGCAGTGGGGGTGAAGGCAGCAGACTTCCTTGCCGAGATCAGGGACCTCCGTCCACCTCACTCTTCTAGTTTTCACTCAATCCCTTTCTCTGTCCAGCCTCACTCACCTGCTGCCCGAGTGTTCTGTTTTGCCTCAGGGTCCCTGTCCCACTGTGGGTCCACTGCCCCTACCCTCTCGTGCCTCACTGTCCAGCCTCAGGGCTCAATTCAGCCTGTGGACCCCTTGTCTCCAAGCTCACTGCAGCAGGCCCCAAGGCCTTGGGCAGCAGCAGCAGGTCCCAAACAAAATGACCCCATAGAGCCTAGCGAAAAGGTCAGAAAACATCACCCCCTGATGACTGGATGAGAGCAGACTTCTGTGGCCATTCCCCAGGAAATGGTACCCCAAAAAGGTCAAAACAGAAGTAGCTGCTGCTAAAGTGCTACCCTAGTGATGCCTCAAGTTTGCAGAGCTGTTTACAGCTTGCAAAGCAGTGTCACATCTGCTTATAGAAACCTCAGTCACAGTGAATCCCCACTGCACAGATAGGAAATCAAGGCTTAGGGGTATTAAGTGACCAGCTCAAGCTCAGCAGCTGCTAGGCGGTATAACCTGGACTCGAATGCAGGCTTTCATGATTCCAGGCCCCACACTCTTTATGCTAGAGCAAGATCTGCTCTCCTTCTTCACCCAAGAGTGGACTGGCAAACCCTCTAGAGGCTGTGCTGGCCTCCCCATCTAAGCAGCCATGCTGATGATTTGTCACAGCTCCCACCACATTCTGCATGTCCTTTCTCCCTTGCACCTCCTTCAGTTTCCCCGGCCCTGGGATGCTGCCTGACCTTTGTCTGCAATGTCCTTTCCCATTCTCCTCTCACAGCCAGTCACTACTCCTTCTTCAAGAAGTGCCACCTCCCCTGTGAAGCCTTCCCTGTCATGACCCAGCAGAGCCAACCCCTCTCTCTGTGCCCCTACATCTCTCTGTCCTCGGACCTCTGCATGCAATGGCATTGACCCGATAAATGGCAATTAACCATTTGTGTATCAGTGTCCCAGCCCTGGACCCCCAGAGCACTCTCCTGTTTCTCCTGAGTGGTTGTTAAATGAATAAACAAATACAAGTCCAAAGAGTCCTCTCTCGGGTCACTAAGGAGCTTGCATCAGGAGGGCACCCTGTTATCTTGAGAAAATGGAGAAGCGGAGGCCAGGAGCATGACCTCACAGGCCCTTGAGCCACCCAAGGGTCACACATCCTCCTTATTTTTGGCCATTCTCCGTGAGGACATTACTCAGCAAGCCCTCAGCTCCACCCACTCCTCATTGCCTTACCCAAGGAAGGGACAGCTCATGGAGTCATCTTTCCTGCCTGGCTCGGTCCTTTTTTTCCACTGTTCATGGAACCTCCCTAGAAGCACCTGCTCCCTTAGCCCTGGCCCTATCCCCTTGCCCTAGAGAGGCTGCCCTGGGTTCTCCCTCAGACCTCCCACCACCCTCTGATTGGACCGGGGGAGTCGCCAAGTCTGAACCAGTGACTCACCCTCCGATCTTTGAGGCCCTGCATTTGGTGAAGACAGTGGTGCCAGAAGTCTCCTGACCTCCCTCTCTTGAGCCAAGGGCTGACATCCGTGGCCTTCTGCACAGCCACTCCGCCCACCCCCACATGGACCCTCAGCACACAGCTCCAGGAAGCCCTGAGAGAAGGCTACCCCATCTTGGAGTCTGGACCTTCTGAGTGTCGGAGCTGTGGTCTGAGAAGCCTTAACAGCCCCTACCTGCCCAATCATGGTTCCCACCCTGGGCCCTCGGGATGCTTCGCATTCTACCATTGTTCATTCTTTTGATGACGCCCAAGGCTTTAGGGAAAGGCCAGCTAATCTGGGTTGGTTATTTACATCCCTCCGAGGAGCCAGCTGGCAGAGATGGGATCTGCTAGGGAGGGGAGGCCTGGAGAAGAGCACTGGCTTCTGGGCAGGGCATCAGGACCAACAGTGACCCTGGATTCTCAGGCTGGGAGAGCTGGAAGCCAACGATATGATCACCTCAGGGAGGAAGGAAACAAGTTCAACTGCCTCCCAGTCCTGCCTTGGGTCACCCCAGGTGCCAGGGCCCAGAGGAGGAGGGCTGAGGAGGAGGCAGGGCATAAAGGGGTTAACCTGGGCTGCCCAGCCTCAGTGTAGAGAAGAGGCTCCCAAACCGTCTCTGGCTGTAAGTAGTCAGAAACTAATTTGCCCTTCTGAGTGTAAGTAGAGGTAGGAACTAAGGCCAGCCTGGGCTTCTCAACCCACAGCCTCCCCAGGGTATCCCCCTCCTGCTCCCTCACACCCCCGCCCTTCTCTGAATCCTTGCCCCAATCCCAGGAAGCCGGCATTACTGGCATGGGGCACAGGCCACTGACTCATCAGCACGAACAGCAACCTCCTCAACCACACTCACACCAGCCACATGTGCTTCTCTCTGCGCCTGCTCAATTCTCCAGCCAAACAGGTCCTTCTCCAGCTGAGAGGAAGATGACCAAGCTGGCCTCGGCAACAGTTGCACCACTGGTCCCAGTTGCTCTGGGTGCTCATCACAGAGTTCCGCCACAGCGTGTGTGGGTGCTTGCTCCACTGGCACCTCCTAACTGCTCTCCCCACACCTCTCTTGCAGTCAGAGTGGGCTTTTTCAAAAGCAAGTAAGGCCACATTACTGTCCTGCTCAGAGTCCTTCGATGGCTCCCTGCTGCCCTGGCATGAAGGACTTGCCCTGCAAGCTGGTACTGAGATGGTCAGGATGTGACCCTTCCCTCCCACAAACCTACCCTCTCACTTTTCCCCAGCTCCAACCACCCAGGCTACAGTCATCCCTCGGAATCTCTTGGATATTGGTTCCGAACCCTGCTGCAGATACCAAAACCCACGGATGCTCAGGTTCCTGATATAAAATGGTGTGGTATTTGCATATAACTTATAAACATCCTCCCATAAACTTTAAAATATCTCTAGATTACTTATAATATCTAATACAATATAAATGCTATATAAATTGTTGTTATACTCTATTGTTTAGGGAATAATGACAAAAAACAAGTCCCTACATGTTCAGTACAGACACAATTTATCCAGGGTATATGCAGTTGGTTGAATCCACAGGTGTGGAACCCAGAGCCATGGGGGACCTCCTATCAAACAATTTCCCACTAAGGGTCTGCTCTGACACCCCGCCTTTGCCCGTACCATTCCCACAGCTGGGGATACCTTGCCCTTCATTCCTGGTCTGGCTCCTACATCCTTAGAGGATCTGCTCTCTAGGTTTTCCCTGACCTTCCAGCAAAGTAAGATGTTTCCTACCACCCCCTCAAAGGGCAGGGACCACCCTTAGCTTGGCAGGAGCCCTGCAGCCCAGCACAGTTACAGGCCACAGAATGCCCACAGAGCACCAGCCTACTATTGGTGGCCCTAGTATGAGTTGGCAGGGATAAGCCTTAAATGTTGAGTGGCTGCAGGACCTAAATGTCCTGAGGATTCAAATCCTCCAAAAAAAAAATCAGGACGTGTCTGACCACTCTCATTAGCTGTACCCCTGACCAATGCCACTCTCCCCACCCATCCTTGCCTTGGCTGGGGACACCAAGCTGAGGACACTAAGCTACCTGGAGATTCCAGCCTGGGGTGAAGACCTCTCCTGTGCCTACCCCCAAGACTTACCCCAAAGCCTCACCTACTCCTCCCCCTGTTCCTCTTTCAAGGGCAAGAAGGAGGCCCAGGCAGAAGGCAAAGAGGGAAATCCCTAGTTCCCCAAGCATTGCGGCTCCGGGAGGAGCCCTGGGGATTGAGGGTGAGAAAAGCAGCCCAATGACCTCTAGGGCCAAGAAGTAGAAAAGACCACCCAAAATGTCTAGTGGGGGTAAAGGAGAAGGTAGGAGGGAATGAGTGGGGAAGTTGTGCTAAGAACGGAGACTATGAAGTCAAACTACCCTGACTCAACTCCTGACACTGGCTCTGGGTAAGACCTTCTTTCTGAGTCCTGGTCTCCTTGTAGGAGAAGTGGGCTAACGGTGGTGCCTATAAAGTGCTCAGCACAGAGCCTGGCAGACAGAAGTGCTCAACAAAAAGCAGCCGCTGCTGCTGCTACCAGGACTGGGGAAAACGGCCCCAGCCTGGGAGACTCTGGGCAGGTCCCTTTTCATCTCCAGGCTGCAGCCATCCAGGCTGTACAACAAGATGGGCCCACCCGCCTCCTGGGTTTGTGGCAGGAATCAGTGGATTCGTGGGCAGAAGAGGTCCCCACAGTCACACTTAGCCTCTCTGCCCAGGCCACCAGGCCCAGAAAGCATGTGCCTGTTCCCAGCTCCTGATCAGCCACAGAGCCACAGGGAAGATGGGAGACAGGGCCATGTGGCCTGGCCACTGGCTTGTCCCTTTGGAAGCTCTCCCCACTGCCCAGCTGCCCAGGCTCTTACCCTTGACTTTTTCCCTCATGCCTGGCCCTATCCTCCCTCTCCTTTGTATCCCCAGAAGTTGGTCCCTTTCTCTGCTGAGAGTGCTTGCCTGCTTTACTTCCTTCTACTAGTGAGGCTGGTGACTGTGGGGCGTCTTGATATCTCATGGTCTTACTTGCAAAGGCTACAGTGTTCCATGACTATTTGGATTCATCAGAGCCATTGTCTGGGGCTCAGGGAGCAGCTCTTCAGCTATCCTATGCACCTCGTCCACACCCTACTCTGCCTCCCACAAATGGGCCTCACAACACAGGGAGTCAGGATGGACTAGGGGGCCAGCGCAAGGGTGAACACTCAGTAGATTTACGTCGGAGGTGCAGCTCATCCCCTCACAGCTGGGTGGCCTCTGTAGAGCTGGGGTGTCCCTTCCAGGATGGATGTGACTTTGCTTTGCCAACAGCAAAGAGGCATGTGAATGGGAGGCACGTCTGTCACCCTTTGGGGTGGCCGTCTGGAGACCTGAAGAGGAGAAAGGGGTCTCTGTCTTCTCTGTGCCCAGAACCAGCTGAGATGGGGCTGCTGAGCCTGCCTAAAGGGACAGAACAGAGCCAGGAAGCAGGGGAGGCAGTGCCCAGACAGAGGTCACAGGGCAAGGACAACACTGGAAATGCTTGTCCCCAACAGCAGAGTCGAGGAGATGCAATCTTTTCATTACATGCTCAGGCTTCCTGGGCTGCTGGCCAGGGTATACGCAGCCCTCAGCTTCCTCTACAGGCCCAGCAGGGACACTGCCTCCCTCTGCCCTGACCCCCTCTGGGAAAAGAGGAGTTCTGGGACCCCAGATCAGAGGCAAGGAGGCAGCAGACCCAGCTGGCTGAACTTGGAGCTCTCATCTCTGGGGTTGGGGGTGAGAGCAGAGCGATGAGGCCCAGACCAGTTCAGGACTCCCCCACAACACACCCACTTGGGCTCTGCCAAGACCTGGGTGGGGCTGAGGATGGGAGGAGCATCAGTCCTGCCCCCTGGAACATCCAAACCCCCTGGTCCAGGTTTTCTGAAGGCAGGACTCAATGAGCTCATGGGCCTGCCATACCCAGCCCTGTGTAAGATAACAGGGAGGCGTGGGTTCTGTGGGTGAACTAGAGAGTGGAACTTATCCTCTCCCCAGGAAGACACTTAGAATTTTTTTTCTAGTGTGCTATTTTTGCTGGACCAAAAAATGTGTCTGCCTGTCCAGGTCAGAGCTGCCAGTCTGCAATCTCTTCACCTGGTTTCCTTTTACCTCCAGAAGATCCCAGTATCCACACCCCCAGCCCCATCTGAGTCCAGGTGAGCAGGGGCCCCTCTCTGATGGGTCCCATAGGGCAGGGCTCTGCCTTTCCAAGAAGGGCCTTTCCATGCGATGTTCCTTCAAGGCTCACAACTCTGAGATGAGTGTTTTAATCCCTATTTCGCTAGTGAGGGAAGAGAGGCAAGCACAGTGACAAAATGACAGGAGTTGCTGAAAGTGAGCATTGGATCTGGCTGCTTGTGGCTTGCTGTCTCACAGAGAAAACACAGCAAACCAACTTGGATTTGCAGATCAGTTATGGGTTTTAGAGAGGGATTTTTTGTATCAAAGCGCATCCAATCCCTTGGTTTACAGAGGGGAAGTCTGGGACACAGAGAGAGTGATACCTCACCTCAAACTTGGGAGAACGAGGACTAGAAGCCAGGTCTCTTCACTCCAACTTCTAGGCTCTGTTCATGTAAGACATCAGGCCATCCCTGGGCAGGACAGAGAGAATGGGCACCTGTTCATTTCACCCCAGGGCCCTGGGGGAGGCCACTCGTCCTCCTCCTGCCCCTCTCCCACAGGTCCTTCCCATGAGGAGAGGAAAGGAGGCTGCTCCCCTTCTAGTCTCAGCACCCAGGACCATCCTCCGCTCTTGTGGGCTATTTATCCACACACTGCCCAGTAAATGTGAGCAGAATGGAACCAGCTTCACCCCACACCCAGGCCTGAGGACTTTACATTGGTTCCTCCGGGACACCCATCTGAGGTCTGTGCCCAAAATCTGAAGGATAATTCCTCACCCTGCTCATAGTCACAGGCTTTGCAATGACCCCAGCAGGAAGAGAATATGGAAGGCACTAAGGTAGAGTGTGTGCTGCTGGGAGACCTCTCCAGGCAATCACAGCCCTGATCTCAAAAGACCTCAAGGGCCCACCGGGGGCAAGCCCAAATCAGCTGCCCAGGACAGCTCGCTTTGCACAGAGAAAGGCTTCCCCATCCTTCCTCCAGCCAGCCAATACAATGCAGGAGGTAAGAGCTCTGATCCCAGAGCCCTTCAGGCTGGGTTCAAACCCCAGCTCAGCCACTTGGTAGCTATGTGCCCTTGTACATGTTCTTAACCTCCCCATGACTTTGTTTTCTCATCTGTACAAGGAGGATAATACTAATAGCTACCCCACAGGACAGTCATGAGCAGTGTATGGGTTAATAAACATTCCGTGCTTGGGACAATGCCTGACAATTATAAGAGCTATATAAGTAATTGGTTGATTATCATTGTTGTTATTATTTTCTGAACCAAGAGAGACTATGGATATCAATCAAAGCAGACAAAAACCTAACACGCTGCGGGAGGTTCTGTGGAGGAGGGTGCAAGGCCTGTTGGGTAAAGGAGTGTCACCATCCACAGGCAGGTGGCTCACCAAGGGGATTACATCAGGCAGAAATTGCCATTAATAGCAGTTCCCTCTTGGGCCAGACACAAGCCTACAGAGCACGAGGAAGTGAGAAATTTTACTATTGCAAGAATGAGAAATATTACTACTGGGCAGAATTCCATTTTTAGAACCTGGGAAGTTATTTTGAGGGTTGGTGTTTTCATTTTTTTTAATAGCCTCTGCACTCTAACAATACTCAGGGCAAGAACTGCTCTGAGGAGAAACCAGGGCACAGTGGGGAGCCCTGCCAGCCTCTGTGGTTGCTGGGCAACCCCTCACCACCAGCCAGGCTAGTGGAGAGCAAGAGTAGGCTCCACATCCACACACCCCTCCTCACAAGTGCCAGAACTCATTAGATAAGCCCCTCTCAAGGATGTCTAGAGGAAGCAGCCTCATTTTCTTTTCAGCCTGGGCAGCTTGGAGTGAGGAAGGCAGGCCCTCAGGAAAGAGCACGCTGAACAGCTGCAGGCCAGCCTCACTTTTGACAGCTATGTCAGGTTCCTGTGGCTGCTGTCACAGATCGTCATGAATTTGGTGGCTTAAAACAACAGAAATGGATTCTCTCATAGTTCCAGAGGGCAGAGAAGTTCAAAATCAGTATCACTGGGCCAAAATCCAGTTTCAGTCAGGCTGCACGCCCTCTGGAGGTGTCGTGGGAGAATCTGTGCCTGGCCTCTTCCAGCTTCTGGTGGCTGCCAGCATTCCCTGGCTTGTGGCCACATCACTCCAGTCTCTGCCTCTGTAGTCACATGGCCTTCTCCTCTTCTGTTTTGACAAATCTCCCTCTGCCTCTCTCTTAAGGGTATCTGTGATTGCATTTAGGCCCTACTAGGATAGTCCAAAACTATCTGCCCATCTCAAGATCCTTAATCACATCTGCTATGACCTTTTTTTCCATATAAAGTAACATTCACTGATACGAAGGGATTAGGATCCAAAGTCTTTGGGGATTATGATTCAGCCTACTACCCATGCCGACATCTTCCTCTAACAAAGCAGACCAGCAACTCACCACTCCACCCCCTGGCATCCTGGCCCAGTCACTCTTCACCACCTGGCACCAGGTGGTACACCAGGCTCAGGATGACTGGGTACACGGCCCTGCCCCTGAGGCCCTACCCACCCTGGAGTTGTCTCTTACAGACCCAAAAACAGGCCAAGCAAGGCTGGAGTTTCCTGGAGCAGCAGGGGTGTTTAGCTACACACTCAGGATGTGGCAGCTCCCTTGAGGCCTCCAGTTACTGCCACAGAGGGAAATAGGGAGCTACAGACCAGAGGCCAGCACTGTAAAAATTTTCTTTAAAAAAATCTTTTTATTACACTATACAAATTCAATAAAGGAGTAGAAAAAATAGAAAATGCAAAGCCTGCGGAATTCTAGCCCCCAGGGATCATTATAAAATTTGTTGTGCAAGCAACCTTCCTTCTAGACCTTTTTCTATTCAGATAGAACCACAGACTTACAGTTTGAAAAACCACAAATGGCATTATATACTATACATTCTGTTTTTCAACCGGGTTTTTTCAATAAATGGTTTATTCTGGGTGCCTTTCATGGCAGTACATAGAGCATTTCTTCCATCTTTTTAAAGGCTGCGGAGGATCCCCCCACTCTCGGCCATGTGATTGAACCACGATTAAGTTACCCTGCTGATGGGCATTTGAATTGTTCCTAGTTTTGTAGCTGAAACCAATGTAGTGAGATAATTTAGGGAGAGACTAATATCTGACTAGTTTACATTGTTACAGGAGGCTCACACAGACAAGGAGGCATTTTTCTCTCACCTCCATATACCACCTCAACAGTACCTCAAAGCAGTCAAGCCTAGGATGAAGGAAGTGAGGGCTTCCCTTGCTCCCAAGAAGAATTAACAAAATGTTGTTCTCTGAGGCAGAGCCTTACTAGACAAAGAACCAGATGGTCTGCAAGGAGGAGGGACTCTGTCTTTGTGGAGAGGCTTCCACTGCAAGCACACAAACATCTCTTCTCAAACTGAGAGAATGTATTGCCTCCAGCATCAGAAAAGCCCAGAGGCTCAGTGGGATTCAGGTATGATTTGATCTAGAGGTTTACAACATCATCAGGCTTTAGCTCATTTATCTGTAATTCACTTGGCTCAGGCTTGCTCCGTAGATTAGCTTCATCCTCAAGCTCATTTTTATCCTTGCAGAAAAAGAACTAGAGCGGTTCAGATCACATATCTATCTATGACACCTATAGGAAAAGAAGATCTCTGTCCTAATACTTCCAACAGAACTGCATTACAATGAGAACAGCTTAGGCCATGTGCCCGCCACCGAACCAACAGATGTGGTGGGAGGATAAAATATTCCGACAGAGTCTAGGTCACATGCTCCCCTCTGGAGCTGAGGTACAGATGGCTTTCCCAAAGTCAGAGGGATTTATTTTCCAACAAAAAGTGAGCTGTTAGAGGAGGGGAAGTGGGGATTTATGAGAGTTTTTATTTGTTTGTTTGTTTGTTTAGACAAAGTTTTGCTCTTGTTGCAGGCTGGAGTGCAATGGCAGGATCTCAGCTTGTCGCAACCTCCACCTTCCAGAGTGAAGCGATTCCTCTACCTCAGCCTCCTGAGTAGCTGGGATTACAGGCATGCGCCACCATGCCTGGCTAATTTTGTATTTTTAGTGGAGACGGGGTTTCTCCATGTTGGTCAGGCTGGTCTCAAACTCCTGACCTCAGGTGATCCGCCACCCTTGGCCTCCCAAAGTGCTGGGATTACAGGCATGAGCCACTGTGCCTAGCCTATGAGAGCTTTTAAGGGTGTATGGGCTTAGAGAGAAGTAAGTGAGTTTACTGGACTGTATAAACTCCACACCCCAGATGCCTGTAGAATCCCAAGGGGATTAAGACAAAACACTACCCTGTGGAGGAACAAATTCACACTGACTCCCCTAAAATGCACCATGAACTCCCTGATGTGTGGTGTTTATCCTTATTCTATAATAAATTCCTAGCAATGGAATTACTGAGTCAAAGGGCTTGCATATTTCAAACTTTAATAGATATTACAAAATTGCCCTCCAAAAATGTTTCTACCAATTTTTCCTTCCAACTATACAGCCTGTGAAAATGCCCATTAACCCACATCTTGTCAATACTAAATATTATTCATCTTTTAGCTGAACACAGTGGCTCACGCCTGTAATCCCAACAGTTTTTGGGAAGCTGAGGTGGGCAGATCACTCAAGGTCAGGAGTTCTTGACCAGCCTGGCCAATATGATGAAACCCTGTCTCTACAAAAAATACAAAAAATTAGCCAGGTGTGGTGGCACATGCCTGTAATATCAGCTACTCAGGAGGCTGAGCCAGGAGAACCACTTGAACCTGGGAGGCAGAGGTTGCAGTGAGCCGAGATTGTGCCACTGCACTCCAGCCTGGGTGACAGAAGGAGACTCTGTCTCAAAAAGAAAAAGAAGAAGAAGAAGAAGGAGAAGGAGAAGGAGAAGGAGAAGAGGAAGAGGAAGAGGAAGAAGAAGAAGAAGAAGCAGAAGAAGAAGAAGAAGAAGAAAAAGAGGAAGAAGAAAAAAATATATATGTATATATATATTTCATCTTTTTAATGTTTGCCATCCTGATAGATTTAATTTGATTTTTTTTAAACTATGGGGGAGGTTGAACATCTTTTCATACATATAATAGCTAATTATAATACTTTTTCTATGGATTACTTGCTCCTGGCTTTTTTTTCATTTTTCTGTTGGGTTGTTTATCTTTTTCTTGTTGATGTGGAAAAGCTCTTTGTAGCTTGGAGATACAAACCCTTTGTTTTATCTGTTGCAAGTATTTTCCCCAGCTTGTTCTTTGTGCTTTGACTTTGTATATAGAGCTTTTGTTGTCCAGAATGTTACAAATTTCATGTAGTTAAATGTATTAGGCTTTTCTGAGTTTCTTCTTAGAAAGGTCTTCCCCACTCTAAAATAAAAAAAAATAGTCACTCCTGTTTTCTTTCATGTCTTCTGTGGTTTCTTTTTATATTGAAACATTTTATTTCTCTGGAATTTATTTTATTATATTATAGATGTGAGGCAGGGATGCCTTAGCTGTTTTTTGTTGTTTTTTTTTTTTTTTTTAAACAGCCGCTTACGATGTAGGGACTTTTTTTTTTTTCTGAGACAAAGTCTCACTCTTTCAAACAGGCTGGAGTCCACTGCAACCTCCGCTCCCCCGGGTTCAAGTGATTCTCCTGCCTCAGCCTCCTGAGTAGCTGGGATTACAGGCGCCCGCCACCACGTCTGGGTAATTTTTGTATTTTTAGTAGAGATGGGGTTTCACCATGTTGGCCAGGCTGGTCTCAAATCCCTGACGTCAGATGATCCACCGCCTCGGCCTCCCAAAGTGCTAGGATTACAGGTGTGAGCCACGGCGCCGAGCCGGATGTAGGGACTTTTAAGATTCCAGAGCCTCTGCAACTTTCCTGTGGTTCTGATTTTTGTTAACATCTTGTTTCCAGGGAGCGATGAGAAGGAACTAGAAGGAAGGCTGGTGCTTCTCTTCAAGTCCAGGGACAGCCAGGAAAGGAGGACCCAGTGAGAGTGGGACATACTCCTCAGACGATGTTAGAAGAATGAATGCAGGGCCTAGAAGAGGGGAAACAGGCTGAGCCTCTGCAGCAAAGAAGAAGGGAGGCAGGAAGAGTCGCTCTTCTCTTAGGAAGAGTCCAGAGAACAAGAGAGAAAGACCCTAGTAGCGGCTGTCGCACCCCATGGACCCGATACCAGGGAGCATTCTGTTCTTTACTGTCTGCATTCCAATCTTCCAGCCTAACTGGGTGGGCTCATTAGTATGTGTTCCACAAGTTTTTTTTTTTTTTTTTTTGAGACGGAGTTTCACTCTTGATGCCCAGGCTGGAGTTCAATGGCATGATTTTGGCTCACTGCAACCTCTGCCTCCCAGGTTTAAGCAATTCTCCTGCCTCGGCCTCCCAAGTAGCTGGGATTACAGGCACGAGCCCCCATGCCCAGCTAATTTTTGTATTTTTAGTAGAGACGGGGTTTTGCCACATTGGCCAGGCTGGTATTGAATCCCTGACCTCAGGTGATCTACCTGCCTCGACCACCCAAATGGCATCACAGGCATCAGCCACTGCGCCTGGCCGTTCCTCAAGTATTTTTTGTGCCCCTACTCTGAGCCCAAGAAAGCATCACTGCATCCTGGTCTAGTCATAATGGAAGTTGGGACTAATGGCTCTTAGACAAGAAGAATGCTGTGGGGAATCTGCTGTGCTGCAAGAGGCAGGAATTTATCATTTTTTTTGTTTTTTGTTTTTTGTTTTTTTTTTTTTTGAGACAAAGTCTCACTCTGTTGCCCAGGCTGGAGTGCAGCTCACTGCAACCTCTG
Organism: Homo sapiens; assembly: GCF_000001405.40. NCBI lineage: Eukaryota > Metazoa > Chordata > Mammalia > Primates > Hominidae > Homo > Homo sapiens. Next base: position 109,811,336 of record NC_000001.11, on the reverse strand, counting down.
CCTCCTGGCTTCAAGTGATTCTCCTGCCTCAGCCTCCTGAGTAGCTGGGACTACAGGCACCCACCACCACACATGGCTAATTTTTGTATTTTTAGTAGAGACAGGGTTTCACCATATTGGCCAGGCTGGTCTTGAACTCCTGACCTGGTGATCCACCCGCCTCAGCCTCCCAAAGTGCTGGGATTACAGGCGTGAGCCACCACGCCCGGCAGGAATTCATCATTTTAGAAAGACTTCCTTCAAACATGGCATTTAAAATTTCGTTCTTCAGATCTGAAAAAGTAATCTTCTGGCTCTGTTAGATAAAAGAAAATGGGTGGGCTCATTGGTGCTGTCATGGCAGTGTGCTGAAGAAGAACCCTGGCCTTGTGAGACTGAATGTATGCAAGAGTCCACTGGAGAGGCTGAGAATATCGCATGCAAAGATTCTTGATGTTCTTGAGCAAAACCCTAAAAATGCAACATACAGAAAGCATACAGAACTGTTTACAAATGAGAAGCTGGTTAAAATGGTTAAATGGTTAAAGCAGAACCAGATGTTAAAAAATAAGAAGACTGACTTCAAGGTGGCCAAATAGAAGAGGTGATTCTTCAGGCTAAAAATGAATGAAGTCTGGTGAAAAAAATAATGCAGTGGAAACCATGAGACCTCTTAGCTGACGAGCCTCCTGCCAATCAGTGGAAATGGCCAATATAATCATTAAATGACTTTGGTGGGTTGATGGGAAACTGGTGTAATTAAGTGTTCTGGTATATTAAAAGTACCTCCATATTATTGACATTTTACAATCAAGAAAACCAATACAGAAAATATTTAGTTGTTAAAATTAGTGGTTACAGCAACACAATCTTGTGAATCAATTTTTGATTTGTAAATTATTCCCGCAAATTATTTCAAAGATGATATTTCTTTGAACATAAAGCTTGTGGGAAGATTTGAAAATTAATTAGAAAAATTCCTACAGATCGTCAATGCAGAGGCCAAAATCAACAAAGTGGTTTCTTTAGTAGTATCTTCAATATATCATTTAATTTTTTATTATCCTGACAAAGAAAGGGCCCTTAATTATTATTGTCTAAACAAATTGGTAAGTCACAGTTTGAAGTAAATTAGTAAGAGTGGATATTTTCAAATGTGATAAAATAGCACAAGTGGCTAGTGATAAAATTGGAAGTTACAGTTAACCTGGTTGGCTGTGATCTTACGTATAAAAGGAAAATTTAAGTATATTATGAGATACTGATTACAAAAATCCATAGTAAATGTCATTTTATTTTAGTTTTTATTTGAATTATTGTTCCATTTATTCTGTTTTCATATAGTCTTAATTTTATCACATTTTGTTGTTACTCTATTACTTTTGGAAACCATCAAATTAGAATTCATTGTACAGTTGAAGAAATTGATTTAGTACTTGAAAGAAATATTTCTTGCACATAGGTAGTTGGAAAATTTTTCCTTGGGTTGCCTTTAAGGAAGTTGGCTTTCTGGCCCTTGGCCTTTAATTTTCTTCATCAACCCAACTACATCAGAATAGAATTCTCATAAAAGAAGAGACATTAAGAGTTCTCAAAGTTTATCTGGCATATGGATAGGCTTATATTCAAAACATCTTAGTCATGTGGCTATAAATTCAAAGTAGAATCACGAAGTAGTTTTAAGTTTCTGATATGAGCATAGGTGGGTATGAAAACAAGACAAATGCTGTTCAAGGAAAAAAGTTGGCAAGCTTAAGGTTAAACAAAAGTAAAATTACTTTTCACGTGTTCTCACCTTTTCTTCCAACCTCCCTATCATTTCTAAATACCTGTTTCAATTGAACTTGGTATCTCTTTCCTTCATAGATAGTACTTTTGTGGGTTGTGTGCACGTGTGCATGCACACATTTGCATATATTTGTGTATTTTGCTGTCTTGTGGAGAAACGAAATCTTTCAGAATGAGAAAAAAATGTATTTCTTCTTTTTTCCAGTATATTTCTTCCCTCATAGACCTGTAACATAAATGCTAGCTAAATATTAAAGTGGATTGAGTTACTTCCTTTAAAAAAAAAAGGGGGCTCTATAATTAACTGTCAGGCCCGCTGGTGCCTTTCCTGGGAGGGGCTCAGCACTTCTGGCTGGGTTGCCTGTGGAAGGTCACCATTGTCAGCAGCCATCCCAGCCCCCATAGCAAGGACTGGCCATCCAGAGCTCACAAAGCAGTCAATCCCAGCAGCTTCCACAATAACATGTGTATATCTCTGTCGCTATACGTCCACATTGTTCTGGAATCATCTTTTGGGCCATCTTCCCTACTTGAAGACACTGTCATGCATCTTGGTGTGGTAGGTGCTCCGCAAAGTGCTAAATGAATGAGCGAGTCAGTGACAGTAGAGGGCAGGATGTAGTGCTGGGGATGCAGGGCTGTTCCAGGCTGAGCCTAGCTGGGGACCATGTGGGAGCAGAGGCCCAGGCCAGAGCTCAGCCTGTAGGAGGGCATAGACCCTGACAGCTCTATAGGGAGTTTTCCAAGAGCAGAGGCTTTGGATATAGGGTTGGCTGAGAAATTACCATCGTCACCTGGTCCCATGCCCATAACCCTCTATCCCCTGGGTGGGTGATCTCTAGTGGGCAGCCCCCGATGATGAATGGCAGCCCTCCCACTCTCAGAAGCCCCATCAATTGCAGGCACTGTGGGTCACTCACCTGCCTGGCATTCCCTGAGCCCTTCCCTGCTGACTCACCGTAGTCCTGGCTGGTCCAAGCTTCCCGCCAGCGGCCCAGCCAAGGCCAGAGGAGAGGGAGGTAGGAGGCCAAGGAGACTGCATCAGGACCCAGGAATGCTCTGCTGGGTGGGAGGCAGGGGGAATAACTTCCACCACTCTGAAGGGGTGACCAGGAAGTGGACTGTCTAATGGCTGATGGATGCCTCTGTCCCCTAGTCACAGCCAGGCCCTCACCAACCCCCATTCAGAGAACAAGGTCTCCCCAGGCCCTGACCCCCTGCTGAGTCAAAGCACCATCCATGGCCTGTGATGGCCCATGCTTGCCTGCCACTGTACTGGTCGTGTGTGATTGCCTGTGATATGTGTTATGCGCCGAAGGGTGTGGTTGAATGTGATTGTGGTTGTGTAGAGTGGTACAAGTCTGTGTGTGACTGCATGTGACTCAGAATCCCTGTGTGTAACAATGTCCAGCTGTGATTGAGTGCAGATGGAAGACTGAATGTGATTGCACCTGGTGCCTTATGGTTTTGTGTGATTGTATGTCATGGTGTGTTAGGCATGATCACCTGTGGTTATGTGTGTTCTAGTGCTTGTGTGGTGCTGAGTGTGATGAAGCATGCCTGCAGGTGCATGTGGCTGTGGGTGGCTGGGTGTGGCTGGGTGGGGCTGTGTATGATTCTTCAGGACCATGCACACACATGTCATCCCCCACAGAACATAGGCTGCAGACCCCAATCTTCTTGGCACAGGCACAGGCCCAAGAAGGTCAGGGGTCTGCAACCTATGTCCTGTGGTGGGTGACAGGTGTGTGCGTGCCTGCTGTGCGCATCCTCCTTTGCTAGGTTCTGCCCCTGAGGAGCCCGGACCTGCTCCCATTTATGAAAGGAGGTGGCGCCAGGCTGCACGGTGCTCTTCCCCGCCGTTACCGACCATGTTTAGAGTGTTTTCTTGGAAGCCAGGCTGGGCTTCGGGGGAATGCCAGCCCGTCTGAGCCCTCGCAACAGCTGACTCCCAGGCTAACAAAGTCTCAGCTCCACCCTGACCCAGACCCAGGCTGCCTTCCACCCTGCAGGAGCACAGCCAGCATCTCCCAGCCCTGGCCACCTGCTTCCACCCTCCCCAAACCTCATCTGGGTGCAAAAGGAACACAGGAACCCAGCTCTGCTTCTTTTCCAACCCTGAAGACATGCTTTGTAAGGGCTTTACCACTGACTCCTTGAGGGAAATCAGATGTGATAACAAAAACATCCCTGGAAGAAACTGACAGTTTCAGATGTTTACAGGCTCTTACAGGCCTGGCCCTGGGCTACTGCCTCTGGGCTTCTGTCCACTTTTCTACCTGAGGAGAGAGGGTGAACTTCCAGTCTGGCTGCCCCCAGTCCCAGGCCAGGTGACCCCACCCACGCAGTACCCTAGCTTCTTGCTGCCACCACCCCCTCCCACAGCTGAGGAAGGCCTCTGCCTCTCTGAGGAGACTCCAACTCTCAGGGCCAGGGTCCAGCCCAGAAGTGACAGGAAGGATCCCTCTGGCTTATTTCCTGCAGATCAAAGTTGGGCAACAGCTGCCCAGATGTGTAAGCCTCAAACTGCTTCTGTCCCTGCCGGGAAAGAATACACTCAGGGTCTGGACCATCTGCCCCAGCTGGTTCTGGGCCAGGCTGGGGGTGAGGGATGTGGGACAGAGTTGGTAGGAGGCTGGAGCCAAGTTCTGGAAGGAAGGGTGGCGGGAAGGAAGACACTGTGGGTGGGAGTCAGAGCAGCCTGTATGAAGAACCGGACTAGGGCCAAGGCAGACACGCTCCACTACTGACACCAGGGGGCCCACAGACTTGGGTGGGAGGGAGTGTCACAGAGAGGCAATCCTGGATCAGTGGCTCAGGTCACCGAAACTCTGGTCCTAACTTTGCCGCCTAGCAGCTATGTGACCAGAAAAAACCGCTTTCCCTCTCTGGGCTTTGGTTTATCCACCTTGAAGACTGAAAAATGGTGGAAATGAAGTATGTAAAGTGCAGAGCCCAGTGGCACAAGTAGGTGCTCAATAGACACAACTCACCTGCATCCTAAAGACAGTTGTTCACCCCAAGCCTAAGGCCCTTCCCGGCCCAGAAGCTCTATGTCTGTGAAAGAATCAGGCTTCTATTCCCACATTAGAAGGGACAGGGCCCAGCTGGGCACAGTGGCTCACGCCTGTAATCCCAGCACTTTGGGAGGCCGAGGGGGTGGATCGCAAGGTCAGGAGATCGAGACCATCCTGGCTAACACAGTGAAACCCCGTCTCTACTAAAAATACAAAAAATTAGTGGGGCGTGGTGGCAGGTGCCCGTAGTCCCAGCTACTCGGGAGGCTGAGGCAGGAGAATGGTGTGAACCCGGGAGGTGGAGCTTGCAGTGAGCCGAGATGGCGCCACTGCACTCCACTCTGCTTTGGGGGTAGGGGTGTGAGGGGAGCTGAACAGAAAGAATGGAAGAAAGCCTGGAGCATCCAGGAGTTGGGAGGGTGGGTGGGCGTGGCGGCAGGGCCGAGGCGCTTCCCCTGGCAGGATCTGGACTCGGGGACCTGCCAAGACTCTTACTGCTCCTCCCAGCTGTCACCTATCTTGCCCATCCAACCCATGCCTGCTCCCTTCTCCCCACCAACCATCACTTGTACCCTGAGGCTGTAGCTCTGAACTCAATTACATCATTCTAGGGGGTACAATGGCTCAACACTTACAGAGCAGCCAAGCTAAAGCCAACATCCTAAGCTCAACAAGCTAAGCACCAGAGGCTGAAAACATTGGTAAGATGGGTTCTTATCTTCCAAGAACTTTTAATTAAAATGATAATAACACCTGTTGATCGTTCCAGCTAATACCACTTAGCAAATTCAACTGCCTTCAAGATCCAGCCACGTGATAAAAGTGACCACAGCAGCGTGGTGGAAGCAACAGGGCAGGTGCAGACTGAGGACAAGCTGTGAGCCAACATTTCAAAGTGGGCCAAAGTAAAGACAGCTGCTTCTGCTGCCTTCTGTGACATTTCCTGAGTTCTTACTAAGTGCCAGGCATTCTTTCACTTAATTCTCTCCAGAAATCTAGGAGATAGAGATTAGCATTGTAGGATTCAGACTCTAGCTCCTAGAGCTCTGGAGTGACTCCATGTCCATGCCTTTCTGTGACCCCCAGCCCTCAAATAGGGCAGGACCTGTGAGTAGCTCCTAAACAAGGAAATATAGCAAAGGGAATGGGACGTCATTTCTATGATTATGTTATATTATAAAAAACGTGGGCTCGCAAGGATGACATGCAAATTCATGAAGCATTCCATAAAAGACGGGGGCTTGGCCAGGCATGGTGGCTCACACCTATAATCCCAGCACTTTGGGAGGCCAAGGCGGGCGGATAACCTGAGGTCAGGAGTTCAAGACCAGCCTGGCCAACATGGTGAAACCCCATCTCTACTAAAAATACAAAAATTAGCTGGGCATGGTGGTGCGTACCTGTAATCCCAGCTACTCAGGAGGCTGAGACAGGAGAATCACTTGAACCTGGGAGGCGGAGGTTGCAGTGAGCCGAGATCGTGCCACTGCACTCCAGCCTGGGCAACAAAGAGAAAAACTCCGTCTCAAAAAAGAAAAAAAAAAAAAAAAAGACCTGGGCTTACTAGCAGACTGGTGCTAGACATTTTCTTCCTTGCTGAATTTGAAGAAGTGTGTGCCATGATCTGAAGGGGCATACAGAGAGGCTTTGTGGTAAGGAATTACAGGCAGCCTCTAGGACCTGAGAGCAGCCCCCGACCAACAGTTACCACAAAGATTTTAGTTCTACAACCACAAGGAGATGAATTCTGCTAACAACCTTCATAAGCCTGGAAGTGGATCCATCCCCAGTTGAGCGTCCAGATGAAGAACCCAGCCCTGGCTGACACCTTCACTGCAGCCCTGGAGAGGACCCAGCTAAGCCTAAAAAATGTGCGCTGTTATAAGCCCATAAGTTTGTGATAATTTATTATGAAGCAATAGAAAACTAAGGTAAGTACTATCTCCATCTTACAGATGAGAAACCTAAAGCTCAGAGACTTTGACCACAGGCACACACTTAGCATGAGGCACAGCAGGGACAGAGCCCAGTCTCCAGACTCAGCAGGCTGGTTTTCTCTTTAGGACCCCAGCTGCAGAGCTGGTCATTGTTCTCTCAGTGGCCACCTAGATACAGGAAGAGCAACCTGCATAGTATTGATTGAAATACCTTTTTTTCCATTTTAATTTAACAAACATTTGTTGAGCCCTCTCTGTGTGCCCAGCACTGTGCCAGGTGCAAGGGATTCCAGGTTGTGGCGGGTACAGTGGTGGACGTGGACAACAGACAAGCCATGTCAGTGTGATAAGGGTTACAGCATGAGGAGAGACGGGATGTGCTGGGAGCATGCGATGGGCAGCCAGCCTCCGCCGGGTGCCAGGGAGAGCCTCCCACAGGAAGTGATACACAGATCCCTTGGGGTGGGCCTGGTGGTGAGCCAGCCTCTCTGAATTGCAAGTGAGTGAGTAGGTGAGAGGGTGGGTTTTACTGGCGAAGGGTCCCCAGAGAAGAGGACTCTTCCAGCAATGTGAAATCACCCTGCTTCCGTGCACTGGCTTCCAGGACACCTGTCTCAAGGACCCAGGGCCTCCATGACTGCCCTATGACGCCTAAGAACTCAGATCCCAGTGAGCACCACTTCCCGGATGCATCAGGGTGGCTGGGGTGGAGAAGCAGTTGTTTGGCTGTGACTCTCCTCTTCTAAACATCCCCAGACATCTGGCAGGGGAAGCACTGTAGGTTGGGGTGGGAGGCAAAGCAGGGAAATAGGGGGTACATGGATGAGGGTATGAGCAGAGCCAGAAAAAAGAGCAGGAATTAGAAAGGGGCACCCCCTCCTATAGCCCAGCTGCAGTCTGTAGTGACTTGGCAGACCCAGGAGTCCTTGCTGATCAACTGGCTGGATGGTATGGATAATGCAGGGTCCCAGGAGGAAGCCGTCAACATACTCAAACTGGGGGATTTGAGAAGTATTCAATAAGGAGACTATTGTCAAAGGTCTTGGAAAAGGATTGCAGGAACCTGGACCAAGAGCATCAGGCTTTCCTGATGCTGGACCTGATGGCCCCAGGGGAGGTCACTGGACCTGCAGAGCTCTGGAGCTGAGTAGATAGGGCTGCCTGGCAGCAGCTGTGGCCTCATGGAGGGATGCAGCCAGGCTGTGGCTGCCCCACAGGAGGTTAAGTGCCCTGACCTCACTCTCCTCTCTGCCTCCCATAAGCTATCGGCGCTCCCCAGTGACCAAGGCAGAGGGTAAGGGCACCCATAGACGTAGTTCCCACAGTCCTAGGGGGCAGAGCAAGGTGGAGAAAGTTGGCAGGCAGACTGGAAAAAGGCACCCAATCCTGACTCATTTTCCTTCTCTGTACAAGAGTGTTGATGAGCATGCTTATGTTTTGCTTGTTCCAAATTTGAAAAGCAATCATGTATCTAACGGTCCCAGCCTGGAGTCTGGCAGGCACAGGCTGGTTGCCAGCATTTGGTTTCCAAGAGTCAGCAACAAGAACACAAAATCGGGGCCACTGAGAAGTCAGTCACCAGCCCCAGAAGCCCTGGGCAGCAGAACAATCACTGACAAGAGGTTGGCTCAGGAGGTCTTAGAGTCCTTGCCAGGAATGGAACCCAGAAACCCTTTCTCCACACACTCACTCACACCCCAATCCTGCAGCTGTGGGAGGCTGGAGAGCAGCAGCAGCAGGCCTGTAGGCAGCGCAGCGTCGGCCTTCAGGGTGGCAGAGGGGCAGGCAGCTAGACCAGGAGGCCCAGCTCTGCCTAGAATCGTGGGCCCAGCTGGTAGGAAACTGGGCAGTGCTGAGTTCACTTCCCCCAGTGTGGGGATCCTCCTATGCACCCTAGACAGTAGCATCTAGGTGGGAGGAAGCTCACGGCCCCACTGGGCTCCAGGGCAGCTGGGAAGCCTGATTATCAGCAAGTAGCCGCCTGGCCCTGGATGTCCCCAGCCTAGGGCCCGAACAACCCAAGCCCTCAGAACGTCTCCAGGCCCAGCCCCACCTTCTGCCCACCTGTGATATTTATTCCCCTTCAGCGCCCATAACAAAGGCCCCTGGTAAGACCCGCAGCCCTCTGCCCTTTTCTTTATCACTGGCATCGCAAGTTCACAGGAAGAGGGTTTTCAAAGCAACAGAGTCAAGATTGCACTGCGGTCAACGTTTTTCAAAAGAAAAGAAACCAAAATGGATCAAAGAACTGCAGGTGCAGCAGATTAAGACCCTGCCTGTGACCTGTGCCGGGAAATGGGCCAGGGAAGGGTGCGAATGCCTTGGGGTTGGGGCAGCCCCTTCCACTGATTTACTGCTTTTCCAGCTCTCCAGGGCAAGGGCAGGGGAAGGGTCAGAGAGGTGAAGACCATGGCGTGTGAGAAGACTCAAATGTTTGGGAGCCAAACCATCGGGAGGCATCTTCACTCACCCAAAATGCCCCATGCTATGAAAGGAGGGCCAAGCATACAGGATCAGGGCTCAGTCAGAGGCCCACGGGGAGCACCTGCTTCCCTGGTGGTCAGCTCCTCATCCTTTTCCTTGTTCCAATCCTCTGCCCAGGGAGGCCCTCTGTAATAAATCCGTCCAGCCCCCCTCCCCCCTGGGCTGCCAGAACTCTCTGTGGCTCTCATCTGCACCCAGAGAAACAGGCTCTGAACTGTTCACCCACCTCGGGTTTGCACTGAAATCCAGCCTCCATGCTGGATTGGTAAATTGAGCTTTTCTAAGCAACAATCTGTCTGTTTCTTACAGATTGACTGTAAGCTCCAGGACTAAAGTGCTTCCTAGAGCTTAAAATGAGAAACATGAAGTTCCTATACCTCCTACGAGACAATGATTAAATTTCTCCAGCTGCTTGTAAGAAAGTTATTTGGCCTGGCATGGTGGCTCACACCTGTAATCCCAGCACTTTGGGAAGCTTAGGTGGATAATTTGAGCTCAGGAGTTCGAGGCCAGCCTGGCCAACATGGTGAAACCCCATGTCTACTAAAAATACAAAAATTAGCCAGGTGTGGTGGCACACACCTGTAATCCCAGCTACTTGGGAGGCTGAGGCAGGAGAATCGCTTGAACCTGGGAGGTGGAGGCACCACTGCACTCCAGCCCAGGTGACAGAATGAGAAATAAATAAATAAATAAATAAATAAATAAATAAATAAATAAATAAAAGGTTATCTAATGCATTTAGTATGGGTTATAAAGTTTTTTGTTTTACTGCTCTTATTTTCCTTTTGCTTCATTTTTTTTCTGGTTTCTTTTTAATTTACTTGATCTTGTTATGTTGAATGAATTTTTAAACTCTTTTTCTAAGTTGTGAAGTGCAACAAATATTTGGAAAAGCATAGGGAATTATAGAATGAACATCTTTGTACCCACCAACCAGCTTTACCAATTCTTTTTTTTTTTTTCTTGAGACAGGGTCTTTGTCTGTTGCCCAGGCTGGAGTGCAGTGGCACAATCATAGCTCACTGCAGCCTCAAACTCCTGGGCTCAAGCACTCCCTCTACCTCAGCCTCCTGAGTAAACCACACTTGGCTAATTTTTACATTTTTCGGAAAAGGCAGGTCTCGCCATGTTCCCCAGGCTGGCCTGGATCTCCAGCTCAAGCAATCCTCCCACCTTGGCCTCCCAAAGTGTTGGGACTACAGGTGTGAGCCACTGCACCAGCCCAGCTTTAGCAGTTCTTAACATATTGCCACATTTGCTTCAATTTCTTCTTTATTTTATTGTAGTAAAATATGCTGACATAAAATTGACCATTTTCACCATTTCAATTTCTTTTTGAAACATAATATTGGAAATACAGTTAAAGGGCCCTATAACCTCTGTCCCATTCTCTTCTCTCCTTCCCTTGAGATAATTACTATTCTAAATTTGATTCTTCTATAAAACTGATTACATGTACATTGTAAAATAACCCATTGTACAGTAAAGAAAGGTATAAAGCACAAAGATAAAATTCTCCTGTTACCCCCAGCATGAAACTCACTCCCTCTGAAGAAACCACTGTCAAAGCTTCCTATAAATCTTTCCAGGTATTGTTGTTTTATATTTAGGAATTATATTGACTTGTTTTCTTTCTTAACACAAATGGAATTATGTTATCCATACTGCTCTCCAGCTTGCCTTTTGTTTCCTATTATCAGTGCTCCTTGGACATTTCTCCATGTGAATGCTACTGAATCTATCTTATTCTTTTGAACAGCTGCATGGAATTCTACTTGATTTAATGTTTCCATGGATGGAGATTTAGGTGGTTTCCAGTTACTTTGCTATTTTAAACAAGCGTACACTGAACATTCTTTTTTTTTTTTTTTTTTTTTTTTGAGATGGAGTCTTGCTCTGTCGCCCAGACTGGAGTGAAATGGTGTGATCTTGGCTCACTGCAACCTCCACCTCCCCAGTTCAAGCAATTCTCCTGCCTCAGCCTCCCGAGTAGCTGGGATTACAGGCATGCGCCACCACACCCAACTAATTTTTGTATTTTTAGTAGAGATGGGGTTTCACCATGTTGGCAAGGCTAGTCTCGAACTCCTGACCTAAGGTGATCCACCCGCCTCAGCCTCCCAAAGTTCTGAGATTACAGGCGTGAGCAACCGCACCCGGCCTGAACATTTTTGACAGAGTTTTTGCTCACTTGTGGGAATACTGTGTATCTGTAGAATAAATACCTAGAAGAGGAATTCCTGGATAAAAAGGTACGGAACATTTGACACCTCAAAAGCTATTGCCAAATCTAAAAATGATCAACTTAAACACCTACTGACAATGTCTGAGAGTTCCTGCCTCCCCACATCTTCAAGAACATGTCTTTTCACACCACTGGCCTTTTTTTTTTTTTTTTATCTTCTGTGAACTGTCTGCTCCTATGCCTTTCCTCTAGCCTTTCCTGTGTTTATTTTTCACATGTAACTCTTTGATCCATCTGGAATTAATTTGGGATGCAGCATGAGATAGATGTTCTTTTCAATGAACATTTATTCATGTTTCCCACTCTGTAAATGATTGAATTAAGTGCCAAGACAAAGGGAAATGCAGATCTCTCTCCATTCTTAATAGGCCAGAGGCTACCTCATTTTGCCTCCCCACTTAGAACTAGCCCACCCGAGGCTCAAGGTTAAGAAATGGAACATTGGCTGGGCGTGGTGGCTCACGTCTGTAATCCCAGCACTTTGAGAGGCCAAGGTGGGTGGATCACTTGAGGTTAGGAGTTCAAGACAAGCCTGGTCAATGTGGTGAAACCCCGTCTCTACTAAAAATACAAAAATTAGCTAGGCGTGATGGCAGGTGCCTGTAATCCCAGCTACTTGGGAGGCTGAGGCAGGAGAATTGCTTGAACCCTGGAGGAACAGGTTGCAGTGAGCCGACATCATGCCACTGCACTCCGGCCTGGGTGACAAAGCAAGACTCCATCTCAAAAACAAACAAACAAACAAACAAACAAAAAAGAAAAGAAAAGAAATAAATAAAATATTGTCTCTGCCCACCCCATTTTCATAATGGATGGGCTGGACACAGCTGCTCTGCAATATCCAGTCAGTTAGTTGTTCAACAAATACGCAGCAGCAGATCCCATCACTGGGATTTGGGTTTTTTTCCCCCTAGGAGAAGTGTATTGCATATGTGGGGAGTGAGACACATAGATGTTTGGTGGCCAGAGGAGTGACTCTAGCAGATTGCTAACAGTCTATGAAAATCCATTCTCCTTTCTTCTTCTTCTTCTTCTTTTTTTTCTTTTTTTTTTTTTTTTTTTTTTTTGAGGCAGGGTCTTGCTCTGTCGCCCAGGCTGGAGAGCAGTGGCACTACAGCTCACTACAATCTCAACCACCTGGGCTCAAGTGATCCTTACACCTCAGCCCCCTGAGTCGCTGGGGCCACAAATGCACCAATGCATCTGGCTAATTTTTGAAGAGATGGGGACTCACTATGTTGCTCAGGCTGGTCTTGAACTCCTGGTCTCAAACAATTCTTCCACTTCGGCCTCCCAAAGTGCTGGGATTACAGGCATGAGTCACTGTGCCCAGCCTCTTCTTCCCTTATAATGCAGTTGAAGCTGTCTAAGTAGGGGGACAGCATTTTCCGGCCCTATTGCATTTAGATGACACCATATAACTACACTCTCACAGGCGGAATGTGAGTAAAACTGGCACGTGCCCCTCTGGGCTGTAGTGGTTTATAAATATGGCCACAAATTCTTCCACTCTCTTCCCATCAAGAGGTGGGGGGTCTACAACACCTCCACTTGAACCTGGGCAGTCTTCTATCATAGAGTACCATGGGAAGAAATGTGACTTCTGAGGCTTAGGATATAGAAGGTTATGTAGCTTCACCTTGTTCTCTGGGAACACACACTCTTGAGCCCTGAGCCACTATAAAAGAAACCCAACTCCTTTGAGGCCACCATGTTGGAGAGGCCACATGTTGGTGCTCTGGTACTGGCTCAGCCTAGCCCAGTCTTCCAGCCACGTGCCAGGTAAGCAAAAATGCCTCCAGACGGTTCAGCCCCCAACCATTTGAGTCTTCCCAGCTGAGGCCCAGACATTGCAGGGCAGAGACAAGCCACCCTCTCTGTGTTCTGTCCAAATTCCCCCGGAATCCCTCACAGACTCACAGAATCTGTGAAGATAATGAAATGGTTGGTGTTTTACAGCACTAAATTTGGGGTGGTTTGTTCTTCTGTAATAGACCACCGGAAGGAAGCCAAGACCCAGAAAACCAATTCCCCTTCCTGCTGGCTTCAACCCAGATGTGGCACTGACCCAGCCTCAAGTCCTAGGGATGACAAGCCACTGCATGGAAGGACCTGCATTGCTAAATAACCACATGGAGTGCTGCTGCTTGCTGATGTGAAACACTTTGGAAGGTTACATATAAACATCTTTTTTTTTTGAGACAGAGTCTCACTCTGTCACCCAGGCTGGAGTGCAGTAGCATAATCCCAGCTCACTGCAACCTCCACCTCCTAAATTCAAGTGATTCTCATGTCTCAACCTCCCAAGTAGCTGGGGTTACAGGCTCCTGCCACCACACCCGGCTAATTTTTCTATTTTAATATGTTGGCCAGGCTGGTCTCCAACTCCTGACATCAGGTGATCCACCTGCCTTGGCCTCCCAAAGAGTTGGGATTACAGGCGTGAGCCACTGCACCCGGCACATATAAACATCTTTATTCCTTAGGCCAAAAAAACACAACAAAGATATAGCAGGGACCAAGGCAGACGCAGTCTCTACCCTCTGTGAGCTTATGCCTGGCTGAGGACGAAGGTGGAGGGGAGAGGTTGCTACAACAGATCAAACAGTTCGGTTGTTTAATAACAGTTGTAATCAGTTCTAAGCAGAGATATATAAGGAGCTGTAAAAATCATTCATGGAGGCTCTGACCCAAGCTGGGAGAACACGGAAGGTAACCCTGAGGAAGTAATGCTAGCTTGGAGACCAGAAGGGTGAGTAAAAACTAAGTAGGATCGGAGGAAAGGATAGGGCAAGAATGTTCTGGCATCAGAAAGGGACACAGCATGTACAAAGGCTCTGAGTCAGAAAGGAGATACTGAATTTGAGAAACTGAAACAAAACAAAACTCAGTGTGGACCTTGTGGGCTGGGCTGAGGACTTCAAATACAGTCTCTAAGAAATGAGGATCCATGGGTCCATGCCAACAGGAGATTGTCCGATCAGATAAGCCTTGGGAGGCTGTGAGGGGAAGAAGCTGGGGTCAGGAGGCTACTGGACACTTTCTCTGGGTTGGGGCTATGGAGATAGAAGTGCTAAAATTCAAGAGATATTTGGGAGGTGGCTGATAAAATTTGGAGGGAAAGAGAAACTTGTTAAGAGAAGAGTCAAGGATGAAACGCTAGTGAGCTGATGTCTAGTCTATGAGTAAATTATGATGTCATGGCCAGAGGAAACCGAGATGTGGCCAAATACAAAGGGAGCTCAGAACATAGAAAAGGGATTAGCTTTGCTAGTAGGTGCCTTTGAGCATGTCATCTTCCACGTCTTTGTCTAGAATGTGAAAATAATCATGGCTCTGTCTATGACACAGGACTCTTTTAAGTATAAGGATGATGGCTGCATTCATTCACCTAAAAAAACTTGTTGAGTAGAGCCTACAATCTACAATAAATAAGATTGGCCGGGCGCAGTGGCTCATGCCTGTAATCCCAGCCCTTTGGGAGGCCAAGGTGGATGGATCACTTGAGGTCAGGAGTTCGAAATCAGCCTGGCCAACATGGCAAAACCCTGTCTCTACTAAAAATATAAAAATTAGCCAGGCGTGGTGGTGCATGCTTTTAGTCCCAGCTACTCAGGAGGCTGAGGGATGAGAACCTGGGAGGCAGAGGTTGCAGTGAGCCGAGATCGCGCCACTGCACTCCAACCCAGGTAACAGTGCGAGACGCCGTCTCAAAAAAAAAAAAAAAAAAAAAAAAAATACAATAAATAAGGTTAATACATAAAGTATATAGTGTATTCATGAAAAGTGCCAAGGAGAAAAAATTAAGTGGTGGTGGCTAGAAGGAAGAGTAAATTCTTAGGTACAATGTTCAAGGTATATACTCACTAGCAGGTTGGATCTAGGTTCTGTGGAAACTGAGGTTTATACAATGAGGGGATGCGAGATGCTCCTTTATAAAAAGAAGATAAAAATATCTTACCTTTGCAAATTTTACAAAGATATGTGACCATCTGAATAGATTTCTGGGGCCTTGGAAGAGGCCCCTGTGAGTGCAGGGACCCAAAGCACAAAACTGCATATTTCTCCGGGTGTCCACCTCCGCTCAGGAGTAATGGAGCAGCAGGGCAGGGCAGAGGATGGGCTGTGGGTATCACAATAAGAACCTGTTTCCAGGCCGGGCACTGTGGCTCATGCCTGTAATCCCAGCACTTTGGGAGGCCGAGGTGGGCAGATCACGAGGTCAGGAGATCGAGACAATCCTGGCTAACACGGTGAAACCCCGTCTCTACTAAAAATCCAAAAAAAATTAGCCGGGCGTGGTGGCGGGCGCTTGTAGTCCCAGCTACTCGGGAGGCTGAGGCAGGAGAATGGCGTGAACCCGGGAGGCACAGCTTGCAGTGAGCCGAGATCGCGCCACTGCACTCTAACCTGGGCGACAGAGTGAGACTCCTTCTCAAAAAAAAATAAAAAATAAAAAATAAACCTGTTTTCTGTGACTTAGAGCAAATCATCCAACCACTCTGACCCTCAATTTCCTGATCTGTAAACAGGGACAACAGTATCACATCTTTACAAGGTTTTAAGAAGTAAATAGCAGTGTGTATGTGCTCAGCTCATAGTAAAAAGTGGTAGCTATGTTTAAAACTTTTAATTCCTACTAAATACAGATGGCAAACTACAGTCTCAATCTCTGGGAGGGACCAGAGAGAACTCAAATAAAAAGGGAATTGCAAACTGAGAGCAGGCAGGCAGGCCCCAGGCTGCCTGTGAGTGCTGGGCTCAGTGGCGCCAGATGTATACACTGTTTGCGTGGCCTCTGACATGTTGAATGGGTCTGTGGCAATGACCCTCACATGCTCCACTCTGGAACAGAATCTTATGGAGACCAAACATCCAGGAAAGACCCAGCTGTCCCCATAGGCGTGGGCGTTTGCATGGAAAGAGCAGAAAGAGCAGAGGCTGTGAGCTCGGGAGGACCTGGATCAGAATCCTGCCTCTGCCAGCCTGTGAGCACCTGTGAGCGCAGCCAGTGACTCCCCGGTCTGAGCGGCTGCCTCCTCATCTGCAGCCTGGCAAGACAGTCCTAACACTGCTGCACAGGGGGCTGTGAGGATACAATGAGGTGAAGTGCCAGGCATACACAGAGTGAGGTAAATCCTCCTTCCTTTCTTCCTCTTCCCCATCAGGCACTCCAGGGTCTGCAGCCGAAAGACCAAGCTGTGACGCCTGGGGCACTCGGTGACTCTGGAAGTTCTCCTTGGGCCCTGGGTGTGTGGCTGCCTTGGCAAATGCTCACTGGCAGATAACAAAGCCAGTTTGACCCGCAGTGGGTGCCCATGACGTTCAATGACCTCAAACAATTAAACCCATAATCAGAGAGTGCTTGGACTTGGCTGCTGTGGGTTTGCCTACCCACGAGTCACAATCATCTTGCTGGGCTTATACGTCGGCCGTTAGCCCTCAAAGTCCTGTTGCTAAGAGATTATGAACCAAATGATGTTTCCAAAAAACAACCACTACAGGATGTTCCAGGAGAGAGCCATAATAACAGCCTAAACGGAACGGACCTGCTGTTATTGATAAAACCTTATAGAGTTGAGGATTGGGTAACTGAGGTAGCCTCGCCATACACATCCTATGTAAATTACTGGTTTGCAAAGGTTTTGAATATAATAAAATGGACTCAGCGATACAACTGTAATGGATGTAGTCTAATGTCTTCATAATTCCAAAGGTTCTTTAGTCAACCAAGATGTATTTGTTGGTGGTGCATATTACGACCATCTCAGCTACATTTAGTTGCAGGCAGTGACTAAGTCTAACATAGCTGTAACCACCCCCGTTTGGCAGAGTGCCTGTTTGCAATAATTAAGTGATTTAACATAGCCATTCACACCCACCTCCATTATTGCTTTGTTGCTGAGGCAACAGGAACCAGTCAACTAACAGAAGCCAGGTTAGAGCAGGACAGAAGGAAGTCAGCAAACCGGCACTTGCCAAAAAATGGCTGTTATCTGGCACCTAGAGTCGTTTTGCCCATGGGATTTTCCTGGGAAGATGCAGCCATTCTGTTCTGTGTCTTCACCAAAGGCTGCTGGGTCATCCCCAGATGATCTCTATCAGGCAGATAGATTAGTGCAAAGTAGCTGTTCCATAATCTGTTATGAAAGGAAATCCTGATCTCTGCTGGCCTCTCTCCAGACCTGGGAGCCTAGTAGTGTGATACCAGCCCCCGACACTCCCTTCCTGCCCCCTGTCCCTGATCTCCTCCCCTCTCAACCCTCGCCACCCACCACTGCTTTCCGTCTGCTTAGGCCCCCTGGCTGCAGCGGACTTAGGGTCTACATTTGATCTCCCTGGGGCAGGTCACGGAGAGAAAATTTTTGTATTCTTCTCTCCCATTTTATAGGTGAGGGAACCAAGGTCCAGGGAGACAAAGCTAAGCGTCAAAGTCACACAGCTAGTAAGTCAGGAGACAGGCTCATGTCTTCTAGCCCCAAATCTCAGGATCTTCACTGCTCACCAGACCCAAGCCCCCTATGATAGTTGCGCAGGAAACTGCTGGATGTTGCAACGCCTCCTAGAAAGGGTCAGCGTTTCCATGGGCTGACCCTGGTGACCCTCAGTCACTGCGTGGCACCCAGGGGAGGGGACAGAGCCACAGGAACTCTACCCTTTTTCCTTCCTCCAAGGGGTAGAGGATCAAGCAGAGCATTTAAGATCCCAGCCTTGGAAATGTATTCTGCCACAACCAGAGTGAACTTGGACAAGCTACTTACCTTCCTGCAAGGCAGTTTCCTCTGCAGAAAATGAGGGTAATACTGGTACCTATCCACCTGATAAGGCTGCCCTGGGGAACACCTGGGATTAAACAGGTAACAGCGGTCAGCAGGATGTGTGGGAAACAACGCTAGCAGCTGCACCCCGACTCTCACAAGATCCACATTTTCACCACGACCATCATCATCCACTTCTGCTCAGGACCTGAGGTGCAAGTGGGGCGGGAGCCTGTGTCCTGAGGGGCCTCTGGTGACAAGGAGACAGATTTCCCAGGATTCCTGAGATCTTTAATCCTTGGGAAGCTGGGCTGGAAGAAGCAGCTTTATGGGTTCCGTGCCCATCTAAACACATGTGCTTCCAGTTGGCTCTCCTGGGCTGGAATTCCCCAGGCCCCCGCCCAGGCCAGCTCCCGCCACTGCCCCATGCACCCCTCACTCCATGCTGACTCCCTTGGCAGGCCCGGGGGTCCTCGAAGGCTGGCTGCCTCCCCTCGCCAGTTATCAATTCCAGCCTCGGGGCGCCTCCCAATTCCGTCTGAAAGTTTCTGGAGGGGGCCAGGTCTTGCCACTCTGAGAGTCTTAAAACCCCAGCCCAGAGAACGGCTTCTAAAGGAGGCCTGGGAGAGTGGGAGTGGGGGATGAGGTGTAGGAGGGTGGAGATGAAGCTGAGGTGGAGGGG
The DNA here is from genome assembly GCF_000001405.40 of Homo sapiens. Lineage (NCBI taxonomy): Eukaryota > Metazoa > Chordata > Mammalia > Primates > Hominidae > Homo > Homo sapiens. Next base: position 109,792,443 of record NC_000001.11, on the reverse strand, counting down.
TCATTAATTCAGCAGCTCTGCCACTTGGTACCAGCCCCCAGGGCAGCGGCTCCAGTTGTCCTGTGGGGCCAGGACGCTGTTTCTGCTGAGTCATCCTTTCTTGCCCAGAGGGATCCTGGCCCCAAGCCACATTCCTAGTGGGGTCTGAGTGCTGCAGAGTAGGAAGCTTCCTTTCTCACCAGCCCCCAGCGCTCCAGCCATGCAAACAGGCTGGTCTCTCAGCAGCCTCTGCCGGCAGCGAACATGCTTCTCCGTTTGTCTGCATTCCCCCAGCCCCCCAGCCCACCTGGATCCCAAGTTCTGGGAGCTAAAAACACTCCCCAGGGAGGTACAGGAGGCGAGGCTGGCCCTAACAGGAGGGGGCCAAAGGGAGATTAAGGAACGATTTTAAATTTCTGCCTTCCTACAAGGGGCCCTCCCGCTGTAGGGGTCCAATAGCCCCACTGAAAAGGGCTGAATCTCAGCCCAAAGGCAGAGGCAGCAACCCCAACCTCTCTGTGTTGTGTGAAATGTCAGCGTCCCCAGACAAGCAAGGTAGCCACACCTGCGGAGCTCATGTATCAGGAACAGGCTAAGAACACCTACTATGTGCTAAGCACTGCTCTGGGCGCTGGCCTTGCAGCAGTGAGCAGGGCAGATGCGGCCCAGTCCCTGGCGTTTCTCCCAACCTTTCCAGTCCCACCACCGCTGCCTCCACTGGTGGTCTCCTCCCAGACTGCCCAGGTCCAAATCTTGGCTCCCCACTTCTAGCGATGGGATCTTGAGCAAGTTACTTTACCCCTCTGTGCCTCCATTGCCTCATCTGTAAAATGGGGTGAAGTAATGCCTACCTCATGGGAACGATGAGAGAGGTAAATGAGTTATTATGTGTAAAATGCTTAGAACAGTTTCTGGCACAGAGCTCAATTCTTTCCTGTGTGTTCTGAACTCTGTGCCTGGGCTCAGCCCTCTCTCCTCCTGGAATGCCCTGCCCCTCTTCTGGAACCCATAAGTCCAGCCTCTTCGCTGAGTTTCCAGGTGAGAAGACCAATTAGGGGCAGGCCCACAGTCAGCCCACAGCCTTACTAGGGCCACCAATACTGGCCGAGTGTTTTCCTGTTGCCAAGGGTTTTAAACAGCCCTGTGAGGTAGATAGGGGAGGGAATTCGGTGAGGGAAAGACACCCGCCTGAGGTTGCAGAACCAGCGAGTGTTGGATCTGAGAGTGGAACTTGGATCTTCTGACTGGAAGTAGCACTGCCTCTGTCCCACCTGGTGGCGTTGGTCCTAAGAAACCTTCAGATATCCTGAGGCTATCACCAGGGCCTCTGAAGCTAACCCAAGGCTCGGCACCCAGAAAATGGGGCCTTCCTAGCCCTTCAGAGGCCCTGGAGTCAGTTGAGCTTGTCTCAGAGCCAGCTGGGGTCCACGAAGGCCTCAAGACAGGGGGCGCTGGCTAGCAGAGCCCTGAGGAGGGCCCTGCAGGAAGAGCTCAGCGGAAACTCTGAGCAATGCTGGCAGCCACAGGCCTCTGGGCTTCCTGCACCCTCCACACAGGCTGCCCTGTCAACATCAATGTCAATGCGTTTGTGAAACCCTGCCGGGCAGGCAGTGGGAACTCAAGGGGCCCCAAGGGTTCATAGGCTGTGGTCACCCTGTTCCTTTGCAGCCCAGGAGAAGGTGGCTTTCTAAAGACTGCTGTCCACAGTGTAATGGGATGCAGCTGCTGCCGAAGACAGTTACCTGAAGGAGGCCCCACGGTCTCCTTAGGCCTTGGGCCTCCAGATCCCATGGCTTCTCCCTGCAGGTCCATATCTTCTGGGGTCCCCACAGATTCAGAGAACCCCCAGACAGAGCAATAGAGTGGACCTTGTGGTCGAAGGACTTTGGAGTGAAAGACATGTGGGTTATAAGCCCAATCCACAGCTTTGCTATCTGTGTGACTTTGGGAAAGTTAGTTAACCTCTCTGTAGAGAGCCTCAGTTTTCTCATCTGTAAAATGGTGACAGAAAGTACCTACCTTGTCCTGAAGATTAAATAAAACAATGTAAATGGGAGACCTGGCATACCATAAGCTTTTGATAAATAGGAACTGATGTTTTTGTGACCACTGAGTGATAGCAGATATTGGAGGTACAAATACTATTGCATTTCTTCGATTTGTATAATTTCAATTAAAACCATCCAGACCTAATTTACTATACTTGAAAGAAAAACATACCTTCCTCTGGAATCTTCCTCTCCTTTCAAATTGCCCAAGAACCTCCAGGTCTCATGTACTCAAAAAGTGGAGGGGGAGGTAGAGGCTCCAACTTCTGCACCTTGGCCAGGAGAACCAGGACGCTGACCCGTTCCCACTGAGGTGGCACCTGTGGATAACTGCTCCCACGTGGTCAGAAGGCTGAGTGTCCTGTGCCAACCAGAGCACCACACAGGCCACATGCATCTTCTGGGGGCTGACTTCAAGGATGGCAGAGGATGGCTGACAGTTTGCTGGGGCTTCAGGTCCACCCCTTGCGGTCAGAGTCTGAGTCCCTTTTCCTTCCCCAGGATCCACACTGGGGTTGGGGCTCCTTCTTTACAGACCCCAAAACACAAATGGCCTCCTTACTCCTGTGTCTGAAAGTCCCCAGAAAGCTGCTCCCCTTCGCCACCCCCAGACCCACCCTCCATAGTAAACCCCAGTGCTGAGTCACCTGAAGACTACCAAGGTAACTCTTGCACAGAACAGAGGGAAAAAATGGTCTATATGGGGCTTCCTGCCGTATTTTTTTTCTTCTCAGTAACTAGGCAGCAGGGAGAAGCCAAAGTGAAGCCAGCATCCAGCGGTGGAGCCTTTGCCTTTTCTCTTTATGCTCCAGGTGCACCAGAGGTGAGCAGGGGACGGGAGGGTTTCATTTCTGTAGCCCCAGGCGTCAGGCTTCAGAGCCTGAGCTCTCAGCCAGGATATCTCTACAGCTCAGTAAATGCTTGCTGACTGACTGAGAGCAAAATGATCTCTCTGAGGGGGTGGGATCAGGCAGAGATGCTGGGATGGGCAGAGAAGAGGAAGTAGACCAGGGAAACGGCCAGGGGTGAGGCAGATAGGTCTGCAGATGGGCTGGGAGCAGCCTTGTAGGAGCAGAGGAAAGAGAGTACTGTTCTAGGGTGGCCTGAGAGTAAGGGGTAGTGAGGGAAGTGGCCACTAGGGTTGCTGCAGGACACCAGAGGCATCTCTGGGAAACCTGTGGAGCCTGCTGAATGCCTCCAGGTGCATGGTGGGGGCCGGGGAGCAGAGGCCTCATGGACGTAGCAGCCCCAAAAGGGCAGGTGCATGGGGGGTGGTTCCCAGGGGTGTTCAAAGGCAAAAATTAAAATGGTAACTCCCTCTGCGAAGAGACCCCTGGGCATGGTCCAAACTGATTCAACAGCAAGCATACTGCCCTTGACAATGTCCAGAGCCCAGGCCACCACCTAGAGGCCGCACCAGCACTCTCTGGGCCCATGTTGCTGCCCTATGCCAAGACGCAGGTCCCTGGAGGCACGAGCAGCCTGGAGCTGACCTGGGCTTCCTCAGGTGCAACAGGCACATGGAGTGTCTGAGAGGCACAGGAGCAACAGCCAGTGCCCCCTGCAGAGGACCACTGGGGTCACAGACTTCAGACCTGATGACCTGGGCTCAGATCCCAGCTCTGCACCTACCAGCCGTGTGACAAGGTGTCCTCTCTGAGCCTCAGTCACACACTGCCTTAACGGTTGGGCCTCATGGAGCTGTTTGTGAAGGTTAAATGGGAAGACATAAAGCACTTAGCCCAGAGCCAAGGACATGCTGAATAGGATAATGGTGGCCTCCTTTGGCGCTGTGCTGGTGCAGGTGTGCCGAGGAACTGGGCAGGGGTGACAGATACCTCTTCTAACCTAGTTCCTTTCCAAGAACCTAATTGGTGTCTCTCCCTCCCCCAGGCAATTGGAAGGAGGAGGCTGGGCCCCAGCCCCAGAATACGGGAGGTTTCTCACCGTGGTAGGGAAATTGCTGGGTTGGGGGTGTGGGCAACCACAGTGATCGTCTCTCTGCAGGACGGATGCGGCTTTGCTGACAGAGAGTCTGCGGCCTGGACATGCCAGCGGTGCAGGTCTGAGGTCAGCACTGGGGAGCCGGGCTGGGCCCCACCAGGGCGAGACATCTGCTTTCAATCAGCTGCCCTTCTGCCCGAGAAGGGGGTGAGGGCTGAGACCTCCCCCAAGCCCAACTTCTCATCACACAGAATGGACACTGAGGGCAAAGGAGGCAGGAGAAGCTCTAGAGACCCAGGTCAAAGAGATAGAGGTTTATTTTTGTTAAGCCACTTAAACTAAATCCTTCAATAGCTCTCTTTTGCAAGGCCATGCCCAGTCCGGCCAGTCAGCCCCCAGCCTCCCCCCGCGCCGCCCCAGCTCATGCTGCCTTGTCGCAAGCCTCTGGCTTGTCCGCCACTCGAGGGCTTTGCACTCACGCCCTGGGGGCCCCTGCCCTGCCCTGTGCAGGCTGACTTGTCATCCTTCAGCTGAAATCCCACTTACTCAGGAAAGGCTGTGGACGCATTTCTCCAACCCTGTTGACAATCTTGTTGAACACAGTTTGCTTTGTACCTATGTGTTCATCTGCATGGCTACTGAATGTCTGCCCCCCACCCCACTCTAGACTGTAAGCCCCATGCGGGCAGGAGCTAAGGCTGTCTTCCTCAGGACAATATCCCTAAAATTCAGAGCAGGGCCTGCCACAGAGTATGCGCTCAATAAATACTTGCCGAATGAATGAATGACTCATGCCTCTAAATATTTATAGCAGTTTCCTTCTGTAATCTTCAATGGTTTGAGTTCCACCAGATCCCTGCAGGATAATCAGTGCTTACGCCCATTTGACAGGCCCAGGTGAGTTAATGACCCTGGCTCCCAATCCATCCTGACTCACAGTATCAGGCTACCTTTGTCTAGGAGGAGGAGGAGGGACAAACTGGGAGAAGAGAGGCACGTGCCACAGAACCGGAGACCAGAGAGAGGGCTGGGTGAGAGACCAGCAAAGGGTGGGGGCACTGCCGGGGAGCCACATGCCAGCAGCCAGGCCCATCACACCCCATGTCAGCCTGTGTGGAATCACTCCCCATCCTGGAGAAAGTCCAGGAAGATGCCCACTGGGGATGTGCCCCAGCGACCACCCCCTATCCCTGCCAGTTCTCACATCCTTCTCCTGAAATGGCCATGCACTAAGCGGGCTTGCAGTCAACCACCCCAGGGTCAAACCAACGTGCTGCCTCTGACAGCTAAGCAATCTCAGACAGTTTAGTCAACTTTCTGAGCTTCAGTCTCCTCAAATGTGAAATAGTACCATAATAGAGCTGGCCTTAATGAGCAGTGGTGAAGCACCCATGAGCCCATGAAAGTTAAGCACACAGCAGGAAGAACTGGGTCTCTATGTTTCCACGGCCGCCATTGGCTCATGGGGACCATCCGTTGGGTATTGAGTGGTCTTGCTCTTGGCGGTAGACAGGGCTTATTCCCCTCCACCTGGGAGTGTCTTGAGGACAAGGACCTTTGTATCCCCCAGGGCTCCCAGGCCAGCCCAGACCCAGGTTGGGCTCTCAGCTAGATGCACGAACACATGAGTGTTTGTTTGGATCCAGAGTAAAAGCTCTGTGAATTTCCTGCTGATGTCAAGAGCAGGAGAGCTGGGGGGAGGAGATCTCTTCTGCCACACCCAGGCACTGAAGGATGGGTGTGCAGAGGGCAGAGCTGGGAGGAGCAATAAACGCCAGAGAAGAAGAGGACAGAGCATGACTGGAGCGGGCGCAAAACCCAGAAAAAAGGCTGTGTTGGAGTTCAGGAGGCCCTGCAGAGAGCAGATTTGGCCTGGGACCAAGAAGTGTAGCCTCAGAGCCTGGGAAGAAAGGACAGGAGGCCTGGGAAGGCATGGCAGAATTAGCCCAGACCTTGATCTGTGGGTTGGAAAGAGGCTGGGTGTCCCTTAATAGCACCTGCTTAGCACAGTGCCTGGCACACAGCACATGCTCAGTAAACATTTGTTAAATGAATGAATGAAGAATGAGGTTTTTCCATAACTTCTGTACTAGTCTCTCCACCTCTGTCCACTCTAGCTGTCTGTACAGGCTTCCTCAGAACGCCACCACAGGAAGCAAACTCTAACCCACCCACTCCCACTTGGAAGCTGTGGGCATATCCCCCACCGTCATAGGCAGCGGCCACACACAGGGGCCTGGGCGCCAAATCAGGAACCCAGACCTTTCCTGATGGGCCTGAGCCATGTGTTTTGTTTCATTATATATTAAACTTGAATTAATTGCTAACATTTAAAAATAAATGTGCCCGTGTAAAAACCCACATTGCCAGCTTCTCTGTAAGAGTTAGTTAGATGATATATTACTCTGGGTCTGCCCCCCAACCTGGGACAATGACTGAACAGAGGGGACAAGGCCTGCCTTCCCCAGGGCAACCTCTTTCTGCACTGGCATCTTCATGCCTCTCCTCCCACTCTGGTCCCTGCAGACAATTGAGTTTAGGACCCCTGCCCACAGGCTAAAATCCAAACTCCTCAGTCAGGCCCCCAAGGCCTCGGTGACGTGAGCCTCAGGATAAGCTTCTTATCTGTCCCCACTGTCCTTGTCCCCAAGGTTCTGGCTACCCCATGCTACATGTGGTTCTCCAATCACCTGTGTTCTTCCATGCCTCTGAGTGTTTGCACTAGCAGCACCATGGCTTGTGGTGCCTGTCCCCACTGTGGGGACTGCACTGGTGCCTACCTGGTCTTTGGTGCAGGCTCAAGTCCTCCTTGGCAGTGGAGCCTCCTGCAGCTCCTCTCTGGGCCACCACAGCCCTCAACCCCACAGCCACCCAGGCATGGGGCTCCCCACACTCTGCATTGTGCCACGGGGCAGTGGGCTCAGGAGAGCATGGAATCACATCTTATTCTTACTTTATCTCTGGTACCCAGCATAGGGCCAGCCTCTGGACGTAGAGTACAGCCTCCTGGGCCCAGCTCAATACATTCCTTGAAAGAATGAATTAAATAGAAGCCCTTGGTTTTGTGGATGGCAGAGGCATAAAATATCCCTAAATAACGCCAGAGAAATTGAGAAGCCTTTGTTTTGTGGCCTTCTCAAGGGCTACATTTTGTCACATCTACCCTCAGCGCGCACACTCACACACACACACACACACACACTCCTGGCAGTCCTAAAACAAACCCTGCTTCAATCCCACCAGCTCTAGAAAAATGAGAAAACAGGACAAATATTATTTTGAGAGACTACCTCTCACTTCATACACACACACACACACACACACACACACACACCAGGTCAACTAACATCAAGCACCTCCCTCTCACTCACTCCCAGCAGGAAGCCCATGCTTCTTCCATGTTCCAAGCCTTTCCTGACCCCTCTCCCACTGAGACAACTGTGTCCTGAGTTCTTGGCACAAGCCTACTCCCTGAACCCAGCCTGCAAAATTATGAAGTTGGACAACCCAGGCCTGAGTCAGTGATCAAACTTCAGAGCTGAAAGGGACTTCAAGACCCAAGTATTTTATGGAGGGGAAAAAAGGTCAGCCAAGTCATATCCAGAGGGGCCTGATGGTCAGGGCTGGCTGGAAGGACCTAGCTCCCAGAGGAGGCGAGAGAAGGGCCTCCAGGAGAGTAAGAGCGTAGGGACTCAGCCGCTCCCGACTGCAGCACCCTGCAGAGCACTCATGCACCTGCTGGGACTTCATCTCCGTGGCAGCCTGAGCAGAGTGGTTCCCACTTACAGATGGGGAACCAGTCCATGAAGTCAGCTCCTGTGTGTGGCCAAGTCTGCCCTTCATCTGCTTGGCTCAGAAGCCACATTCTTCACTACCATGTCCCAAATGTCAGGACTGGTGTCCCCTCAGTCTGGCTGTGATGGTTTTGCTGGGGCCCGGGATAGAGGAAATGGGAGGAATACACCTATTGCATCGCACTGTACATGGGAGGGCCATTCAATTGCATTGTCAAGATAGATTTGTATATTTAGTGAGATAATTTTCCTGCAGACCAAAGCAGAACATTTGGAAGAATGAGCAGCTCTTTCTCGCTCCCTCCTCAGAGACTCCATTTGGGCTCAGGCGGGGCAAATGGAGCCAATGAAATAAGGTTTCATGGAAGTCAGAGCAGGTACAGTCTATGTCATCTCACCAGCCCTGCTTTAAAGAAAAAGTAACGTAGAAATTAAAGTGAAAAGACCTTTACATGGAGAAGGAATTTGCACGCGTAATATAGGGAGGTGTTCCTTAGGTATGTTACAGGATTACTTTAAACCATTTGACTTACGCTCCAAAGTAACTGCAATGTTGGTAGTATAACAAATTCTGATGAATAGCTTTAATTGTGTGTTTAAAGGTCTCATCATATGTTCACATGCTTAAATCTGGGTATCAGAATTTAAGTAATTCTTGAAATGTATTGTCTCCTTAATATACTAATTACAAAGCAAAGAAAAAAAGAAAGAAAGAAAAGAAAAATCTCAGGCATCTCTGGGGAGTCATTTGCCACCGAGGCATATTTCCAGGGGACAGACCCAGGTCTGCCAGCCTCAGCCCTTACCCTTGCTGTGCCCACTCCCAGGCTTGGGTCGCCCCAGTGGGGCAGGAGAGCTGTGACCCGAGGCAAAGAACAGGGCCAACCCTAATGCCCACAGAGCAGCCCAGGAAGGCTGGGGGACATTCATGGGAAGAGAAAGGGGATTTTTCAGAGCCCAAGGTCTCCTTCCCCACCCACCAGGGTCAGCGGGGGTACCAGTCCTCCGACAGGACGCCTGGCCACAGCACTGGGAACCTGGGCTCCCGGGCGTCAACTTGGAGTTCTTGTTGACTTCCTCAGACTCTGCCTCCTGCCAACCCCATTCATCACCTTCACTTGCCAATCCCTTAGGAATGTGGCAGTCTCTTAAAAGTCAGCCCTGGGTTAAAACAACAAACAAACCCGGAAGCCTCTAAGTCAGCCGCAGAGGCTCAGACAGGTCAGGAATCAGGGGCAGGTTTCTGGCCTCTCTTCTTCTCCCACCCCAACACCTGCAAGCTCAGCACTACCACCTTACCCCACACACAATCCCGAACACAGTGAAGCTGCCTTTAGATTGGGGGGTGAGTTTCCAGAAGCCTGAAAGCTACCTCCCCTTCCCAGGACACCCCCTCCCCACCACCCATCTATGCCTCTAACGCCTACTTAGGACACACAGGCCCATATTTGGAGAGTGGTGTCCAGCCTTCCACTCTCCAATCTGGGGCTCTGCAAACCCCCTCCCAACTTGCCCAGAGGCCCACACCTACCCTTAAGGGAATAGGACATGGGTCTGGCAACATTTCTTCAAGAAAGTAGGGAGGCTGAAGGATGGGCAGCGGGGGTGGGGGCCAGCTGGGAGGCTCTAAGGGTGAGCCCCATTCTGTCCGCCCCACACCGCACTCCTCCATCTCCTCCTTAACCCCCAGTAAAGTCCCACTGGGGCTGGCCTAGGGCAGGTTCAGTCCTGCCTCAGGGACCATCTGCTAAAGGGAAAAGGGACTCACATCTATAAGTGCCTATAAACAAAGGGGAAAATATGCAAACACCCGGCCCATTCACCTGAATAGAAGAATCCACAGCTGGCCAGAGGGGTGCACACAGGTGCTGACCAAACTGCTGGCTTGAGTGAGCTGGGCTGGCCCAAGGAAGTGCTAGCTAAAGGGCTAAATCAGAGGCTGTGGCTCCCATCCAGGGCCCCAGGCCTCCAGGGTTCCTTGAACCACTTAAAATATTTCAGAAAACCAATGGATACTCTACATTTAGCCATGGTGAGATTTCTGGGATTAACAAAAATTCCAATGCTTTGCTTTTGGCTGGAATTACATCAACTCAATGCAGAAACATTGGCTATCTGTACAGATAAATATTTGAGGTTAAGTATACATGGGTCAGATGGAGAAAACAGAAAAAGAACTAATAACTTGGCAACTGCTATTTAACAAAACCTTTTAAAACATAGAATTTGTAGTGAAAGAACTAAGAAAATGAATTTTAGAGACATTTCCTTAATACACAAAGAGCTTCTACAAATCAGTGAGAAAAAGAATAGCTGTCTCAAAAAATCCCTCTACACATGGGATTCACAAAAAAGAAAGAAAAAGAAGTTTAAATAGCCAAGATATATTTTTTTAAATGCTCAGCCTTACTTTTAAAGGCATTTAAATTTTCAAAATTTTTAAATTTTTACCATTTTTCATCTGTCAAATTAGCAAAGATTTAAAAGTTTGATAGTATCAGTGTTGGTGCAAATATAAGGAAATGGGCATTTTCATACACTATTAGTGGGACTATAAATTGTTATAGTGTTTTTGAAAGGCAATCTGGGAACACATGTTCACATTTTAAACACACACATTATTAGTCAGCTGGCAATTAATTTACAAACATAGTTGTTCATCTTAGAACTGTTTGCCTTAGCAAAACCTAAGCAGCATAAATCTCCATTAAAAAAGGAACTGGTCAGTCACATCTTTACAATGAACTTTTTATAGTCACTACAAAAAAAATGAGTAGATCTACAGATATCGACATGAAAAAGAGGTCCAAGATCTGACATTAAGTGAAAAAAGCAAGCTGCAAAATAACACGGTTACATTATTGTTATGATATGATCCCATTTGTATATATTTTTTACAAAGCACATATAGTGACTTGTAGCTATACGTGCTTGTCTATATACATAGAAATATCTTAGGGATAAATAAGAAATTGTTAAGAGTGGTTCCTTGGGGAATAAGATGAGGCAAAGGAAAAGGGTGATGGGTAGAACATTTTTAATTTTTACATATCCTTCTCTGCTATTATGGTATTTACTATAATTTTTATTATTTTAAATTGATTTTTTAAAATGATTGCTGGCAAGAAAAAGGTTAGTGTCCCAATTTAAAAGGACTGGATGATTGCTGAGAAGGAGTCAGCTTTGGTGTAAATGTTTGTGTCCTCCTACCCCCAGAACCCATATGTTAAATTCCCAGTGCCCAAGATGATGGCATTAGGTGGTGGGGCCTTGGTGAGGTGATTAGTGACCATATAAAAGAGACCTCAGAGTGCTGTCTTGCCCTTTGACCATGTGAGAACACACCGAGAAGGTACCATCTATGAACAAGAAAGCATTCCCTCACCAGACACCAAATCTGCCAGTGTCTTAATTGTGGACTTCCTAGCCTCCAGGATTGTGAAATAAATTCTGTGGTTTATGAGCTACCTAGTCTATAGCATTTTGTTATAGCAACCTGAATGGACTAAAACAGAAAATTAGTACCAGGAGTGGGATGCTACTGTAACAAATACCTAAAATGTGGAAGTGGCTTTGGAACTAGATAATGGGTAGAGGCTGAAAGAGTTTGGAAGTGCATCCTAGAAAAAGCCTAACCATTGCCATGAATGGACTGTTAAGAGCAGTTCTGGTGTGGAGAGTTGTAGAGAAAGCCTCAATCTTCTTAGAGGTTACCTAAGTGGTCATGAACAGGCTATTGGTAGAAATATGGATGGTAAAAGCCATTCTGGTAAGGTCTCAGAAATGAGGAATGTTTTACTGAAAACTAGAGGAAAAACAATACTTATTAGAAAGTAGTAAAGAACTTGGCTGCATTAAGTTTGTGTCATGGTGTTTTGTGGAAGGTAGAATTTGTAAATGATGTAATGGGATATTTGAATGAGTAAATTTCTAAGCAGTGTTGAAGGTGCAGCTTGGCTTCTCTTGAGTGCTTATAGTAACATTTGAGAAGAGAGAGATGATCTGAAGATAGAATTGCTAATCAAAAGGGAAGCAGAATTTAAAATTTTGGAAAATTCTCAACCTATCCATTTTGAAAAGAATGTGAAAGTGTGTTCATAGAAAACACCAAGAATGTGGCCCCACAGTGATTTGAGAAAGGGATTGGTACGGATAGGCCATCTCAAGGGAAGCCAGGTGCTATTGATGAAGGCAATGGAAGGCTGTCCCCAAAAATATTTTGGAGATTATCAGAATTGCCCCTCCCACCACAGGCCCAGAGTGCAAGGGCTTGGGGGACAGAAAGATTTCAAGGCTCCACTCCCCGCACTTTAGCAGAGTACTCGTTGGCCACCCCACGTATGGCTCTAGTGGGCCTAGGTACAACACAAGCTAAGGTGGCCACCCCTCTGCAGGGCACAGGTGATAAACCTTGGCAGCTCCATGAAGTGCCATTCCTGTCAATGTGCATGAGCTGTGGGGGCATGGCTACCTTCACCTAGATCCTGAAGAATGGAGCCACTAGGAGCCTCAGTTATGTGACCAGACAGAGAGTTATGGCAAGGGTGGGACCTCTACAGAGAGTCCCCAACAGGGCAATACCTAATAGAGCCATGGGGGTGGGCCAACACCAAGATCCCAGACCATAGACCCACCAGCGTGCAATTCCAGCCTGAGAGAGCCACAGGCACCCAACTACAACCTGTGAGAGATGGAACATAGGCAGTGCCCAGCAAAGCTATGGGGGCAGGGCCACCTGGAGCTCTGAGGGCCCAACCCCTACCCCAGTGTCCAGAGGGCAGAGCATCAGCCAGAGAGTATTCTCCAGCCTTGAGATTTCATGTTGTTTGCCCTGTTGGGTTTTGGATTTGGTTGGGACCTGGTATCCCTTCTTTCCTTCCTATTGCTCCCTTTCGGAATGGGAATGTCTATCCTCCACCCATCTCCCCCATTGTATTTTGAGTGCACATAACTTGCTTGATTTCACAGGTTCATAGCTGGAGACAAATACCTTGAGTCTCACTTATATCTGTTTTATTTGATAGTTACATGAGACTTTGGATTTAAACTTTAAAGTTGATGCTAGAATGAGTAAGACATTTGGGACTATTGAAATGAAATCAATATACTTTTCATGTGAGAAGGACATAAATTTTGGTGGGCCAGGGCAGAAGGCTATGGTCTGAATGTTTGTGTCTCCCCAAAATTCATATGTTAAAACCTTAACCCCCCATCCTGGCTAACACGGTGAAACCCCGTCTCTATTAGCCGGGTGTGGTGGCGGGCACCTGTAGTCCCAGCTACTCGGGAGGCTGAGGCAGGAGAATGGCGGGAACCCGTGAGGCGGAGCTTGCAGTGAGCTGAGATCACACCACTGCACTCCAGCCTGGGAGACACAGCAAGACTCCGTCTCAAAAAAAAAAAAAAAAAACCTTAACCCCAAGGCGATGGTATTAGGGATGGGACCTTTGTGAGGTGAGTAAGTGCTCTGATAAAATGGATTAGTGCCCTTATAAAAGAGATGCCAGAGAGCTGTGTTGCCCTTCTACCATGTGAGGACACAGTGAGAAGGTGCCTTCTATGAATTAGACAGTAAGCCCCCACCAGACTCCAGATCTACAGGTACCTTCATTTTGGACCTCCCAGCCTCCAGAACTGTGAGAAACAAATTTCTGTTGTTTGTATACTTCCCAGTCTATGCTATTTCGCTATAGCAGCCTGAACAGACTAACGCAGGGACCACTGGAAGATGTGGGAATGGCTTTACTGAGACCAGGAAGGGAGGTGGTTCAGAGGAGGGGAGCCCTGGAGGAGCAGGCCTCTCTTCCATCTGGAAGAGGTCCGTTCGTGGCAGGAGGTCTGCCCTCTCAGCTACTCCATCCCACCCAGACAGAGGAGACAAATGGAGACTGGGAAAAGAAGCCAAACTTTGTTTTTATTTATGTATTTGTTTTAGAGACAGGGTCTTTTGCTGTCCCCCAGGCTGGAGTGCAGTGGCATGATCACAGCTCACTGCAGCCTCAAACTCCTGGGCTCAAGCAATCCTCCCACCTCACCCTCCTGAGTAGCTGGGACTACAAGCATGCGCCACCATGTCCGGCTAATTTTTTTTCTTTTTGTAGATACAGGGTCTCACTTTGTTGCCCAGGCTGGTCTCAAACTCTTGACCTCAAACAATCCTCCTGCCTCAGCCTCCCAAAATGCTGGGATTATAGGTGTAAGCCATTGCACCTGGCCGGAAGCCAACCTTTAAATACCAGCACAAGGCTTGCAAGGGCAGGTTGATGCCCCCTGGGGATCTGGCCCAGGCCCTCCTCCTTTCACCCTATTTCAGGGCCCCTCCTTCTCTGTCTGCGACCCAGGCCCAGACAAAATCTATGACCCGCAAGAATGAAATTTGCACAAGAACTGCTTCCTAAAAGGAAAAGGAAAAGTGAAAAGGCAAATAGCTGTTTGAGAAAAGGTTTCTGACCAGAAGATCTTACAGTCTGGCCAGAGATGCTGGGGCCAAGGGTAGCGTCCCCTGGGAGAGAAGGACTTTGCTGGTCTTTGTGGCACCATCAGCCCTTCCCATCCACCCCTGCCATGCACACTCCTTAACTTCCATCTTACGGAGGCAGAGTGGAGTCACAGGGACCGGGACTAGCATTTCAGCTCCTATGCTCCTTACCGGGGCTCTCATGCCATTTCTCTGACCCTCAGATGCTTTATCTGTAAAGAGGGGATCATAGCACCTTAAGGGTTGATTTGAAAATTGGAAATAATATAAATATCATAGCACAATGTTTGTCATATAACAAGTGGTCATGGAAAAGCATATAGAACTGTATCCGTTCATTGATATTGTCTAAACACAGCCCCACTCCTGTGCCTTTGCTCATGCTGGTTCCTGAATGGAGATGCCCCTTCTTCTTCCCCATCTGGTAAAATCCTACCCATGTTTCAAGGCCTAGATCCAGTAGCAGCTTCGTCAAAGCTTCTGCAGTCCTCACTGTGCAGGGGTGTTCTCTCCTCTTCGGGGCGTCCACGGCACTGTGTTCATAGCACCTTCCAGCCATTGCCAGCTGAGTCACGGAGTTGTTTACTCTGCGGGCTGGGGACCCTGAGTGTAATGGTGCCTTGGCCTAATGCACTTCTGTCTTCATGTCCCTGTCCTTAGCACAGAAGCTGCTGAATAATGCTAGTCAAACACCCACATGCATACCTTGTCATCAGCCCGAAAACCTTCCCTCATCCTCTCCAGGGAAGGGACTGAGCAGAGGAAAGAGACTCTCTTTAGCCACATTCCTAGATTTGGTTTGATTCTAAAGGAGCTGGGGAGCCGGGAGGCCCAATTCAGACACCTCATGGGAACGAGGGTTCTTCTACTGGGAAGGAGAAGCTGGGGAAAGCAAAGACAAGGGGGCACAGTTGGAAAGCTGTGCTAGTGCCAGGGAGCCTAGGCCCAGGAAGGGTGGATGCTCACCCCAGGGCTGTCCAGGTCGGGTCACCAGACCACGCAGCTTCAATGGCCACAGACTAGCCAGCCTCCCCGGGTCCCCCATCTATGCACAGCTGGCCTGTTTCCTCTGTGCCTGGTGCTCCTCCCCACTCTCCAAGGGACACCCACCCCAGGTCTCTCCCTGGACACTGAGCCCTGACAGGAAGGCCTGGGCTAAGGGAACGTGAGCTTGTTCTGCCCCCTGCTGGCCATTGCAGGGAATGGCTCCTTAACTGGAAAGGCAGGGAAGAAGCAGCCAAGGGCTACCTGGCTGGCCCCATGGGATCCACCCCAGCCTCACAGTTCATCTTTCTGGTTCAAGTTCAAACTCTTTGGCCTAGCAAATTCCTCCAGGACCTGGTTCCAATGACTCTTTCCAAATTTATTTCCTACCACTCCATCCCAAAGCCTCAGGCCCAGGTAATCCAGCTGTTCTTTGTCCCTGTGTGTCCTGACCTCCAGCCTCTACAAAGGCCATCCCTCTTGCCAGCAATGCCCTTGCCTTTCCACTCTGCTTCAAGACTCAGTCCACCTCCTTGCTGACTGTGCAGCCCCGGCATCCTCACCTTTGTCCCCTGGCACTCATTGCCTAGAGCTCAATCTTGCCACCTGTGGCTTGTGCCCACCCTAGTCTCATCTGAAACTAAGCCAAAGGATGGCATCACATTGGAATGTGCACAAGCTCAGAGTTTCAGCACAGGCCCCAGAACACAGATGGTGCATAATCAGTGCTGGGCGGGAAAGGCGATCGCATTCCAGCACTCATGTTTCCATGCCATCCACCAGCCTTTGGGTAGTCTTCTTGCAGAGGCTGGCAGCGTCCCTTGGGAAGGGAAAAGGATGGTCTCTGTGTGGGTCTCTGACCAGCCTCCAGGCCCCTTGCCTTCCCACTACTGGTGTCCAGGAGTCACTAGTCTGCCAGGGAGAGGCAGGAAAGAGCGGAGAGTCCCCCTAATGTGCAGCCAGGTAGGAGAGAAATTTGTGACCAAGGGATGCTGACCCCTCCTCCAGGAGGTTTCCAGGCCACTGTCTCCATTCCCAGCCACTTCTGCCCTCCTAACTTCTGTTTCCTTTCTACCTTCTTCATTCATTTGTTTACTTGTTCACTGACTCAGCAATCACCTATTAGGTGCCAGGCACTGGCCTGACTGTGGGTATCCCACAAAAAAGACATAAAACCTGCTCAAAGTAACATCACTTAGTGGAAGAGAAAATTAAGGTATTCACCAATGTCTTACATTAAGGTTTTGGACAGAGATATAAGAAGAGGTGTGCTATCTCAGATCACAACCGCCAAACCAGCTGAGGGGTGAGGGGAGTCCAGGGAGCCTTCTAGAGGCAGAGATGTTTGAGGTGAGATGGCAGGGAAGATGAGGCTTTGGCCAAGCAAAGAAAGCAGGGAGGCCGACGCAGCAGCAAGGTGTGGAGAGGCAAAGTGCTGCAGGTGCCTTCAGGGAGCTTTGGGTTGTCTTTGTGTCTGGGTTTGCAGCAGAAGGGTGAGACCTGGTAACCAGCAGAGGCAGAGCTCAAATGCCATGTGCAAAGTCAAGGTGTATGATTTTCTTTTAAAGCATGGGAGCAACTGAAGGATTTATAAGCCAGGGAGTGACATGTGCAGATTGGAATTTTAGAAAACTCTGTTGGGCAGAGCTGGAGAGAGCTCAGAAGGGAGTATCCCCTGGAAAGGAGATGGCAGGAAAGGCTCGGGAGGGTGTGGGGGAATAAGGGGTAAAGGATTGTGGGGGGGGGGGTCTGAATTAAAGCAATAATAACAGAGAAGTAAAACTGTCAGCAGATTCTGGAGATTTAAGGAAGAAAAATAGAGGACTCAATGGCTGCATGTGGGAAGTGGATAGTGGGACCAAAGACTGAGATGGGGACACAGGGGAAGCGCGGTATTGTGGAGACAGCAACACCAGTCTGCAGCATGATGCACTTGAAATGTCTCAGGGACATTGGCCAAAGGTGGGCAAGAGATGGTCACGTGGCTGGATTCAAGATGCAGAGACAGGGTGCTGGAGGCATCAAACACAGGCATCTTCGGCTCCCAGACTGTAGCTGAAGCACTCGCTCAGGGGCAGTAGGCAAGGGAGAGAAGGGAGGTCAAGTGAAAGGTCCCATTCTTTTTAGGAGCTCCATGGCTATTCACTGAGGGTACAGAGACAAGAACAGATGAGAGGCAATGCAGTTAGTGAAAAGGCATTCACGTCAGAGGACATGGGCTCATGACAGCTCTTCTAGATACCTGACCATTTCTTTAAATCTCCAAGCCTCAGTTTCCCCATTCATGAAATGGACCTAATAATACCTACGTTGTAGTATTATTGAAAAGAGGCCGGGAACAGTGACTCATGCCTGTCATGCCAGCAGTTTGGGAGGCCAAGGCAGGAGGATCGTTTGAGGCCAGGAGTTCAAGACTAGCCTAGGCAACATAGCAAGATCCTGTCTCTACAAAAAAGTTTAAAATTAGCTGGGTGTGGTGGTACACCCTTCTAGTCCTAACTACTCAGGAAGCTGAGGTGGAAGGATCACTTGAGCCGTGATCACGTCACTGCACTCCAGCCTGGGTGACAGAGCAAGACGCCATCTCAAAAAAGAAAAGAAAAATAATAACCATAAAGCACATCACATAGCTCCTAGCAGAGAGCTAGTACCATGAACAGCAAGCACGGAGAAGCTACAAGTTTCCAGAATCTTCCAAGTCTGCCAGTGTCCCCACTGGAAGTCCCTTTGGACCTCTCTACCCATCAGTCATATTACCAGCTGGATGAGCAAATGCAGCCTGGACCTAGATGTCTGTGCAGCTCCCTTTCGCTTCCCCGAGTGGCACCGGCTGGGAGACCCCAGCTCTGTGGGCTCTGTCCTTCCCAGGCATGGTGTGGGTGGGTGGATGCCACAGCCCAGCCCTCCTGACGCCCCACCCTCCTGACCTCCTGCCTTGCCCTCAGGACCTTCCCTGGAACTGCAGCTTGCTGGGGGAAGGAAGTGCACAGCTGGAGCCCCTGCCCCTGCCCTGTGCCTGCATCCTGGCGGTGTCCTTCCCAACACTCCACCCAGTAGTCCCAGAGGGATGAGGTGGGCTGGAATGGAAAGTGAGGTTCAGAAGTCAGGGAGCCCATTAGAACCAAACTGCCCAGCTCCTCTCTGCAGCACATGGTTGGGGGGCAGGAGAGAGTGCCCCAATCTGGGACCCACACAGGCAAACTTCAAAGAGGTCATCCAGTGAGGCGGCCACCCTTGGCCTCAGTTTCCTCATCTGTAAAACACCATGTTGGGCCAGGTCATCTCTGAGGTCCCTCCCACCCAGAGTGCAGTTCTACGTTGTCCTCTCCCGTCCTGACTGCGACTCACTATTTCCAGCAGAGGGAGCCGGCACCTCTCCGCAGACAGCCAGGAACCAGTGCCACTCGTCTGGCCAAGGATCTGGAAGCCTTAATAAATGTCTATGTGCTAGGCACGTGGCATGCTTAATGCAATGCCTGGCCAGGGCGTGCGTTCCATAAATAGAGGCCATGGTTGTCTCCATTTCATAGATGAGGAAACTGAGGTTCCAAGAGTTTAATTTGAACCCAGGGGCTCTGGCTCTGATGGTCTCTGGGCAGCTCCAGGAGGGCGTGATACCATCTCTAAATATCTGAAGGGCTTGCCGTCAGAGAGGGGCACATTGCAGGGACGCTCCAGGAATGCAGGTCTGAGCTTGGCCTAAGGAAGAATGTTCTAATGGTCAGAGCTGGCCAGTTGAGACAGGGCCTGCCTTGGCTGGCTGTGAGCACCCTGTCTGAGGGATGGCCTCAGGGAGTCGGGAATTGAGGGATGGTGGGTCTCTCTCGGCCCCGTCCAGTCCAGAGGGCCACATTCTGAGAGGACTGAAGGGCCAGACACAGTGGATGCCTGCCTTGAATCACAGAGGTCACCGTCCTCCCCATGGTCTCCCAGCTGCCCTGGGGCTGGAGAGTCCCGGCATTTTCTCTGAGGGCCTCTGGATCTCAGATCACTGGTGGAGGGGCGGTCCCCTACCCACTGTTCCACAGCTGCCTACATCCACTGGGGACAGTTCTGGAATTCTGGGTAGGCCTCTCAGGGCAAGATCTTTGGTGGCCTATGTTCTTCGCAGGGCGGGACCCCTTCAGCCTGATGGGAAGGTCTGCAGAGCCACAGGCCAAGCTCACCAGCTCCTTCTGGGAGCCCTTTGGTCTGTCTGCATAGGTGTCTATATGGACAAATATTCCTGGCACAGAATCCACTGAGGGGCAGAGTTGGGGAGGCCAGGGCTCCTGGCTCCAGCTGCTGCCCACTTTCAGGGAGAGCACTGTAGAGCAAGAGTCTCTGGAGTGGCACTGCCTGGCTGTGGCACAGCACACCCCCGGGGCACCCAGGAGGCTGGGTGGGGAGAGCAGGGGCAGCTGGAGGGATGACTTCTCAGGTTCAAGCTGGTCGGGTGGCAGCCTGGCACTGGTCACTTCTGGGTGACACTTAAGACAGGACATTGCCAACTGGAAGCGGGTAGAGCACGGGCTCCCATTAGAACCACTGGGAGATTATAAATATTTAGATTCTGGGGCTCCTTCCTGGAACTCCTAAATCAGACTCTCCATGGATAGAGTCTAGAACTTTACATTCTTAACCAGGCTTCCCAGGCAGTCCCATGGAGCCAGGCATTTGAGAAACTACTCTAGAGAGATGAAGATGCAGTGAGCCTGGGCAGCCTGCTATCCAGGGTGGCAGAAGAGCTGGGGAAAGCCTGCCTGGGGAAGAGGTGCCTCAGAGGGATCAGATCTATTCTGGGTGGCACAGGGATGGCTAGCAGCAGAGGAAGTCTTTACAGGGAGGTCGACTTTCAGGAGGCTGTTTATGGAGCCCCTCCCCTGCTCCAGACATGTGACCAAGTTGTCTTATATAAACCATGCAGTCATCATCATCCCTTTTGACAAAGGATGAACTCGAAGTTCAGAGAACTCAGGTTCCAAGGCCACATGGCTAAGAGCCAGAGATAGGATTCACACCCAGTGTTCCTGACGCTGAACCACTTCCTCTGTGCGATGGAGAGCCCCCTCCATGGCCCGCATTGCTGGGGAGGTGATGAGCTTCTGGTCCCTAGCAGGGTTCCTCGGCAGCTGAATCCTGGAGGGGAAGTCTTGCTTTGTGCTGACCTGGGAATATGTGTGGGGTGTGGTACCAAGAAACCAAGGAGGGGCTCCCAGACTCCTCCATGCTGGCTCTGTGCACACACCTACACACATAAATGCACACACACACACCCACACGCATGCACACGCAGACACACACCTCCCCGAAGCTCAGGAAGGCTAGGACCACTCAATGCCAACTGGGATGAGGCCTGGCTCTGGCCTGAGACCTAGGAATTCCTCAGGGACATAGCCTAGAGCCTCTGGGACCACAAAGGGGCCACACATCAGACAGAGGGGAGCTGAGCCCTCCTACTGGCCTTCCCAGTCCCAGGGCCACTGTTCTTACCCTTTGACAACCCCTCGGGAGCAAGACAGAGTCCCAGGGCTGCAGAAGGAGTCCCTTTCTGGGACATTTTTGTCTTGTTTTCTTACTTTAAAAATTACCATTTATTTTGTGTGGGGTGACATGGGAATGGAGATGCACTGATTACAAAAATAACATAACAT
This sequence comes from Homo sapiens, assembly GCF_000001405.40. Taxonomy (NCBI): domain Eukaryota; kingdom Metazoa; phylum Chordata; class Mammalia; order Primates; family Hominidae; genus Homo; species Homo sapiens. Next base: position 109,771,583 of record NC_000001.11, on the reverse strand, counting down.
GTTCTTTGGGGAGGAGTTGGAAAACATAGAAAAGCACAAAGAAAGTAAAACCACAAAGAAGTCCCCTCATCCCAACACAGACACACATCTAAAGATAACTAACATTCTTTCTTCTCGTGTCTCTTCTTCAAGACATTTTTTGTTTAGATTTTCATTACAACTTTTCTTAACAAAATTGAATATTACCAACTTGTAAGAAGCTTTTTTCACCATATACTACATCATGAACGTTTCTATGTTTGGGTATTTACATAATTGCCATGTTTCCTGTTTAGATGTCTATGATTACAGGTTTCGTTTAGACTTTTCTGTTTCAAGTTATATGACTTCTATTTACCTATTTGTTTGTGTGTTTGCTTATTTCACAAAACTAAGATCTACATTTTGTAACTTGTCTTTTTCATCTAAGGCTAATGGGGAGCTTTTCCACATCACTGAATATCCCTTCACCACATGGATCTGAATGGCCGCACTGTGTTGGTCTTGGGCAGTGGTTTAAAGTGGGGGCAGGAGCAGAAGTGTCTGAGGGAGCGGGCAGCATTGGTCAGGCCCTCTCCCCTCCATACCCGTGGCTGCTGGCCAGGCCTGGCCCAGGAAGAAGCCTCAGTGCCGCCAGCTCCTGGAAGGGGGCCCAGGGCATGGTCCTGCATGGTGATGGGACCGCCTCTCCCTGTCTCTCCCCACCTGCCGCATAGACTGAGCTGGACCCAACCAAGCCCCTCCCCTGAGATCCCCTAGGGCTTGCCTTTCCCGGAGGCTGCTCTTTCCTCAGCAGCCACCTCCCAGCCTGGCCCTGGATTCCTCTCCTCCTCTCCAGCCCAGCTCTCCTGAGAAGCCTGTTCTTAAGCCCAGTCCAAGGCTGGCCTCTGGAGAAGGGCTTTCCAGATGTCCCTGAGGTCCCTTCCTCCAGGGCTGTCAGGGCAGTGGGGCCAGGGTAATCCAGGCTCCTGGGACTGCCTACCTGGATGGGATGGGATGCAGAAGAGAGGGAAAGAAGGAGGGGGCATGTGTAGGAGTCACCCAGGGGATCCAGGGCTGGGAAGGTGCAGAACCAAGGCCCAGAATCGGGAACTGAGAAACATCTGGACCGACATCAGCTGCCAGGGCAATGAGGAAAAGGCAGGAGAATTCATAGCCCTGAGCACTGGCTTCAGATTTGGGGTTTAAACAAATGGAGGCACCGAGGAGAGCTAGGAAAATGGGGGCGGGTCTGAGATCCCAACCCCAGTCCATCCCCGGACAGAGCAGCTTCTGGAAGCACGTTAGGCCTGGCCTTCTTTCCTGAAAACTTAAGCCACTGGGCCTCTTGTAATTGTGGGGCTACAAATCACCCCCCTGCCTTCAAATCACGCACTCGCCCTTCGTCTGCCTTTATCGAGGAGGGCAGGCAGGTGGAGGGGTGGGCAGCATGGCAGAGTCTAGCCCAGGTGTGACCAGAGGCTCCAGAGACAAGCCCACCTTCTCCCCTGCCCTCCCACAGAAACCGCCCTCCTGCCATGCGCCCAGGATCTCTGTTGTCTCATCTGTCTCTGCAGTAGTGTGTTCCCACTAGCCATTATGCCAAGTCTTCCACCCTGAACACATCTGAACAAGTTTCTGGTATGTCATCCCTGGCCCACCATCCCATCCCCAGCAAAGCCTCCCATGCCCACTGTCTACACTCGGCGACTCACTCACAGCCCACCTCCTCACCCTCACACTCTTCAGCCGTCCCCAGCTGGCTCCAGCCCCCACTGCAAACCCACAGATGGTAGCCTTTCCTCCACCTCCCAGCAGCACCTGGCCCAGGTGTCCACCCCTCCTTCCTGAAACACTCTCTTCCCAGCTCTCCTTGCTGCTCACTGGCAGCCCCTTAGTCTCCCCTCATCCTTCCCAATCTCTTAATGTTGGAGCGCCTGGGTTGAGTCGTGAGCCCCCTTCTCTTTATCTATACACTTTCCCGCATGTGGTCTCGTGAGTCTTAGGTCTCTGAATGTTATTCGTGTATTTACAGCTGCCAAGTATCTACTGTCTTCTACACTGCAAACGTTCCCCGCATCATTGAATCATCTTTCTCCACATGCTTCTGAATGCCTGCATGTGGTCATCCTGCTCTGCTGAGCTTCTGACTCACACCTGCCCCTGCCTTCCTGCTACTTCCACCCAGAGGCCCAAAACACCTCTCAAACTGAGGCCATCCAGAATGGAACAGTAACTCTTCATATCCCCCTGCCTCCCAATCCCTCTTCTCTTCGGTTTCCCCATCTCACCAGATGTCACCATAACCCTCCCAGTTGTCCAAGCCAAAAACCTGAGTCCTAATAGGTCCTTTTTCCCCTCTCAACCCCCATTCTAATCCATAGCATGTCCCATCCGTTCCACCTGCAGCCTAAGTCTCCATCCTCACTGCCCTGCCATGTCCAGGCCTCACCACCCTCTCTGCAGCAGCTGCTTGTGGTCTCCCTGAGTCCGCCCCCACTCCCCCCACAGCCCATTCTCCCCACCCCAGCCAGAGTTGTGACTAGAACATAAATCCAATCATGCCACTCCTCCATTTAAAACCCCTCCGTGTCTTCCAACTGCCCTTGGAATAAAAACCAGGCTCCTGGCCATGGTCTACGGAGCCCTGTGTGCTCTGGCCCCTGTCCACCCCATTTCGGTCACCTCTCCGCCAGCTCGTTCCTTCTCAGCTGCAAGCCCTTCACATTGCTGGCCCCCTCTCCCAGGCTCCTTCCCATCCCTGGCTTAGCTTGAAGCTCCCCTCCTCAGAGAAGCCTTCTCCGACGTCGTGCTTCCAAACACCCTCCCACCCCCATGCCATCATCCACTTCACTCTATTTCTCTCTTGTCACTTGTCAGGACCTTGATTATCTTCAGATACATTTGTTTCTTCTACCTTGGCAGGTTAGTTGCGAGGGAGGGACATCATCTCTCTTGTTTATGTCTCCACCTGGCTCGTAGAAGCCACTTACCCCTGTGCCAGGGCTGGGGAAAGCAGGGGCAGGGATGGGAGCTGTCTCTGTGATTCCCCAGCAGCCCCAGGGCCAGGTGTCAGCCCCTGGACAGGACCACCATGACTCAGGGAATGCAAGGGCTGGCCCTTAAAGGACACACAGGAGTTCAGCCAAGGGGTGAAGTGGGCAGGGAATTGCAGGCAGAGGGATTGCAGTCCTACTGGATGAAGCGGCCTGGGAAGAAGAGTTGTCAATCAGCCCCTGATTGACATTGAGGCTGCCTCATCCATGCAGTCCACCAGCAAGAGGTGCTGGCTGGACCCTGCTCTGGGGTCTGGTTCTAAAGGTGAGGCGGCACCCATTCACCTCTGAATGCCAGGGCCCTGCCCTACCCCCTGCATGGTCATCCATGAACACAGAGCTCTTTTCCTCAGAGCCCTCCAGAGTTTCCCAGCTCTGACCAGGGCCTGCTCTGGAGCTTCCAAGGAACCCACCCTGCTTCTTGGCCCAGGCCAGGGTGGTGGGAGGGGCTCCTTGGCCCCTTAGCCTAAAGCCTGTGCACCTGGGTCTCTTTATATGCTGAGAACCAGCAAGCGGCAGCGTCTTCCACAAGACAGAAGACCCAGTAGCCTTCTTGTTGCATCTCCATGCAAAACCATTCAATGGCTCTACTCACCACCAGGTGATGACGGCACACATATGCTGTCATCTGCCACCACCTCCCCGCCACATACACATACACATGCACACACACGCGTGCACACACACAGTTCACGCCATACCCATCTTCTCCCCAGGCCGCTTCATCCAGTAGGACTGCAATCCCTCTGCCTGCAATTCCCTGCCCACTTCACCTCTTGGCTGAACTCCTGTGTGTCATTGAAGGGCCAGCCCTTGCATTTCCTCATCTGAGAAGTCCTCCCTGACACCCCCAAGCCGAGTAAGGTTCTTTATGCCTGCATACTACAGTGCTTTTGTTTACAAGCCCTTCTCTCCTCTAGACAGTGGCAGAAAACAATCTGGGTCCTCAGGGACCTGAAGGGGGCCTGCCCCTCCACACCTGTGGGTATTTCTCGTCAGGTAGGACGAGAGACTGAGAAAAGAAGACACAGAGACAAAGTATAGAGAAAGAACAGTGGGCCCAGGGGACCAGCACACTCAGTATGCGAAGACCTGCACCGGTGCTGGTCTCTGAGTTTCCTCAGTATGTATTGATTACTATTTTCATTATCTCGGCAAAGGGAGTGTGGCAGGAGAACAGGGTGAACAGGATGATGATGGGGAGAAGGTCAGCAGGAAAACATGTGAGTAAAAGAATCTGTTCATAAATAAGTTCAAGGGAGGGTACTGTGCCCGGATGTGCACGTAGGCTAGATTTATGTTTCTCTTTGCCCAAATATCTCAGCGTAGCAAAGAGTAACAGAGCAGTATTGCTGCCAGCATATCTCGCCTCCAGCCACAGGGCGGTTTTCTCCTATCTCAGAATAGAACGAACAGTCGGCTTTACACCGAGACATTCTGTTCCCAGGGACATGCGGGAAACAGAGGCCTTCCTCATCTCAACTGCAAAGAGGCCTTCCTCTTTTACTAATCCTCCTCAGCACAGACCCTTTACGGGCGTCGGGCTGAGGGATGGTCAGGTCTTTCCCTTCCCATGAGGCCATATCTCAGGCTGTCTCAGTGGGGGGAAGCCTTGGACTATACCCACGCTCTCTTGGGCAGAGGTCCCTGCGGCTTTCCACAGAGCATCGTGTCCCTGGTTAACAGAGAATGGAGAATGGCGATGACTTTTACCAAGCATACTGTCTGCAAACATATTGTTAACAAGGCACATCCTGCACAGCCCTAGATCCCTTAAACCTTGATTCAATATAGCACATGTTTCTGTGAGCACAGGGTTGGGGGCTAAAGTTACAGATTAACAGCATCTCAAAGCAGAACAATTTTTCTTTGTACAGATCAAAATGGAGTTTCTTTTGTCTTCCTTTTCTGCATAGACACAGTAACAGTCTGATCTCTCTTTCTTTTCCCCACAGGGACCCCAGTCATGGGGGTATCCCCCTCAATGTGATACATGCAGTAACAGAGGGACACATGTACAACGTGTCTGGAAGCCACGGGCCAGAGCCCCACCAGCCCTGGGCAGTGGGAAGGCTTCTGAAGGAGGGCTACTGGAGACATAAAGCCATAGCGTGTCCACAGGGCATGCCAGACAGAGAACAGCAGCCAGCCTGGTACCAGGGTGTGACCCTTCAAGGAATTACAAGCCATGCCCCAAGCCGAGTATAAAGTACAAGGGGCAGGGAGTTGGGGGGAAGATAAGGCCAGACTCAGAAGCAGGAGACTTGAGTTCATCAAGGACTTCAACTGCCCTGAGAAGGAGTTTAGGTTTTGTCCCGTGAGCAGCGGGAAGTCACTGAGGGGTTTTAGGCAGAGGAGTGGACAATCAAATCTCCAGCTAAGAAAGCTTCCCTACCAGCAACCAGTAAGGATCAATGAGAACAAGAGTGAAGCGAGGGCGTGGGTGAGGAGACGGCCGCAGGGTCGAAGACAGGAGGTGTAATGGGGTCTGAGGAAGACAGTCGCAGTGGGGTGGAGAGGAAGGGGGCCACTTAGGACTTGCCACAGAGCTGGGACTGCAGGAAGGGTAGTCCATTGGGTGTGAGGATTGAGGGAGGACTCCCCTCCCTGCTGGAACACACGATTGGGAGCTGATGCCTTCCCTGAGATGGGAGCATGAGAGGGGAGATGGTTTGCTGAGAAATAATGAACTCAGCTTGAATTCCAAGGTGTCTGTAAGCCCTCCAGAGGGATCCTAGCACCTCTCACAGTGCCTAGCAGGCAGGAAGCCCTCAATTCTACAGGAAGTTGTGGAATGAATGAACGAATGTGGTCCCACAGCCTTTTAACCCCACAATTTCAAGGACATGCCCTTCGAGTCCTGCTTCCTTCCCCTCCAACCTAAGTCCCAGCTCCTGGTGCCTCAGCCGAACTCCCTTGCAGAAGAGCTGCTGTGGCACCCGGAGCTTTGTGCAGAAGCTTCAGTTATGGCCCCAAGTCCCCAGGTATGGGAAGCTTGGCCTCTCCCTCTTTCCTGATTTCCCTCTTCCCTCAGGGGGCTCCACAGAAGCAGATGTCCCCAATACCTGGCCCCAAGCCCCAGACCCACCAAGGCCACAAAGGCTTTATGTCTGAGGAGACACACACTGCTCCCAGGGGCACCCCTAAAGGGCACTGCAGAGGGCAAGGTGCTGGGAATGCCACTCATTGTTTCTCTGCCCCTGCCCACCTTGCCCCAGAGCCCCCCCAGGAGTCCCTGCTGTGCTCACACTGACTTGGGGAGGGTCCTATGGGAAGGACGGGCCTGGCCTGAGCTGGGCAGAAATGAGGTGTTGCCTGAGCCCCAAGCCAGGGCTGGGGTGAAATATGACTGTGGCCTTCACGGAGTTGGGGGAGGCAACGAGGGGACAGGCTGTGCTATCCCAAAAGAAGCTGAAGGGCCACAAGATGGGGACCCAGGGGAAAGAACCCCAGGACTGCTTCCCATGGGGCTGTGGCTGGGTGCTGGCCTCACAGGCACCTGATCCCTGGGCCCCAGCAGCTGGCTGTCCACTGGACTCTCCCAGGGACACACACAGCCCAGACAGGGAAGGCACCTCCCTAGGATCTGACGCATGGACTCCAGGCCATCCAGGGCAGCGTTGGTTGGGTGGTGATGGGAGAGAAGGCTGAGATATCCTGGGATAGTTCCAGGGAAGCTAAAGATGGGAGTGCTCCAGCCCTCAGACTCCACAGGACACTCCATCACAGGGCCCAGCACCGGGACCCTGCATTCTGCCCACGAGGGTCCGAGGCTCACTGGCACTCCCCCGCCCCCGCCTCCCCTCCTGCCCTGCTCCCTGGTTTCTGTTTATACCTGGCCTTGTTGGTTAGACTGTGAGTTCCCAGAGGGCAGGGGAGCCTGGCCCACTCTGAGTGCCAAGAAAGATTTTTCGATACCATGGAGTGCAGGAAGTGGGTAGGTTTATGACTAGAGATAGATGCAGGCCTCCGTTTTCCATCTTTGCTGAAGCTGGCCAGGCGTCCACCAGGGGTCTGGGCACAAGATGGGGTACAGAAGGAAAGAGAGTGGAAGAGCGAGAAAGGGCTGGTAAGGGGGCTCCTGCTGGAAGGGACAACAGTAGGGACAGAATGAGGGCCCTGCCAGAGGGAATCTCAGCGCTCCATGTAATGCCCCAGGGGCCTCAGTCCCCATCTTCTGTGACAAGATCCATGTCCTGCTCACAGGCACCACCCAGGTACACAGGATCACACACCTATGGGTGCCACCCACGCACAGGCATGGCACACACGCCAGCCCACAGCTTCCCCCAAGCCTGGAGTCCACCTCCAGCCGACCTGTGCCCTCACCACAGAACCCAGACTCTGGGCCATGTGTGCTCTCTTCTTCTGGTCCCAGCCCCGTGCCTGATGCTGACCTGTTCCCCAGAGTAGGCACCTAAAAGGCAGAGGGAAGAGGGGGCCACACCCCAAGGCTAGCAGTGGGGGAAACAGGGAAGCAGGGGCCTCTAGCTAAGCTGGGGACGCCAGTCAGCACAGACACTGCCGCAGGTCCAGGTTGATGTTGAGCGGTTAGTGACCAGGAAGCCTCCCCACCCACCAGAGTCCAAAGAGCACAGGCGTGGCTGCCTCTGTAACCTCATCAAAGGCAGGCTCTGCCTGTGGCCACTAGCAGAGAAGCTGCTGTCCTTCCACCACCAGCACCGGACCACCTGCTCCAAGACCAGCCTCCTGGGGGGACCAGGCACCCGGCCTTCACTGGCACCCAGGTAAGGGCCTGGCCCCCAGGGAAGATCGGGGCCCAGCCCAGTCACAGGGGATCTCAGGGCAGGTGGGGGCAACTCAGTGGCTTCCCAGGCCAGGTCTCCAGCCTGTTCCCAGCTGCAGCCCAGGGGATCAAGCCCAAGGAGGGGCTTGGGACTCAGCAGCTGGCTGGTGGGCTGGAAAGCAGAGCGAGGTCCAGGCTCCGGAAGGGCCTCTGGGATGCTTGCCCCAGGGTCTATGAGGTGATGGCCTTCCCTGCTCCAAACCCCTACATCTAGGGCTTAAAGGGGGGAAATGGGCTGTCACAGCTCCCCTACCCCTAAGGGGCAAGGCAGGCCAAGCCAGCTCCCTCTTCCCTCCCTGGGGTAGGGAATCTTTGGCTGCAGCTGTTTCCCCACCTTGACCTACCTACCTAGAGGGCCCCACAGGGCCCACCCTGGTGTTGAGGGAGTGGGGAGTGGGGCTGACCAGGGGCAGACCTCACTTCCTCTTCTGCATGGAGAGCATGGAGAAGCAGGAAGTGTTACAATGGGGGTTGGGGGAGGCTGGGGAAGGGGAACAGGCTTCTAGCCCCGCCTTACCCCTGGAGAGAAAAGGGGTCCTCCCAAACAAGGAAACCAGAGATCCAGCCGTCCCTTCCACATTCCCTTAATTGTTCACTGGCAGTTTATTTCCTTCCACACTGAGTCATCTTATCAGATCCTACGTCATTTTCACAACAGTCCTAATAAACAAGGGTATGGGTTGCTCTCTCACATGTTACCCGGGGTAGTCCAGTATTTCTGCACAACTGAGGTGTACCATGTAGACATGTGGATACCCACAAACCTCATTTGGATAACACATACCCTTGACCCGCACAGACTAACACCACCCCCACCCGGGACACACACACCACATTTAATTCCACTCCATTTCAACATGTATGTTCTCTAGACTCCCTCTGTGACTGCGCACAGCCCAGCGGCAGAGGCATGTTTATAAACCATTAAAACACGAAGCTTGCAATCGGACAGATCTGGGTTGCTCTCTATTAAACGTTCATTTGTGACCTCAGGCCTGTTACCGTCTTTGAGCCTCAGAGTCCTCATATGGTAAATGGGGACAATACCAGTACCTGCCTTGTGAGGTTGTTTTGAGGATTAGAGTGACTGAAGGTAACGCCGTTAGAACAGTGCTAGGCACGTGGCGCCAAGTAAGTACAAGTGGACGGCAGTGAGGAGAAACTGATAGGATGTTGGTAAGGGGCTCAGCACCAGGCTCACAGCACCGTGGTGGCTATTGTGACTATTGTTGCTGGAGATAAATGTACAAGGTCCAGTGCAGCATTAGGAGGGTACCCTGGGCAGGGTGGGGTTGGATGGTCCAGGAGGGCTTCACCAAGAGGGTGATCTTTGAGCTAGAATTTAAAGGGTTGGGGTCAGGAGGGGACCTGGGCAGAGGATACAGAGTACAAAAAGCAAAGAGCCAGGAGGCCTAGGGAGACACTTGGGGGAGGTCAGCTCACTGGCGAGTCCTGCAGTGCCACCATAAGTACACACACACATGCATGCAGTCTTCCCAGAGGGTCTACAGCTGAAGAGCCAGCATCAGCGTCCTCTCAGTTTGCAGAACTGAAACAGGGTCGAACAAGAGGGCCTCCTCTGGCGGGGTCGGCTACAGAACCCTCTGCTCATCCAGCATCTTTCATACCCAGGCCCAAGATAGGATCTGAACGCAGGTCCCTGTCCATCCAGGTTTCCTGGGCTCCTTGGCATGAGCTTTATCAGCCAAACCATGGGAGGCCTGGAGCCTTCCCTGAGGCCCAGCCATGCTGTGGCCTCCCTGACCCTCCCTTCCCTCAGCCCGGGGCCTCCAGGCCCAGCCAGGATGGAGGGCTCCTCAGTGGAGGACGCTGGCTGCAGATGGCTCCGGAAAGGGCCCCTGGAGCCAGGGGCTTTGGGTCTGGTCCCAGAGGCCCCCAGTCAGAGCAATAGCAACTGTCCTGCCCTGCTGTGCCTGGTACACCTTTCCCCAGCTCTGATGGCTGCCTCTGGTTCACTTTGGGTTCTAGGGAGCCGTCCTCAGCAGCGTCAACATGTCAAGGCCCAGCAGCAGAGCCATTTACTGTAAGCTCCTGGCAGGCCCCTCTCCCGTGCCCTCCCACTGAGCCCCCAGAATGTCCCATCCTCCACTCCCCCTTCCTCACACCAACTGCCCCCAGCAGTTGCCTGAGTCTCACCTCGTTCTTCTGCCCACCTCCCGCCCCTTGCTCTGTGCCCTTGTAGTGCACCGGAAGGAGTACTCCCAGAACCTCACCTCAGAGCCCACCCTCCTGCAGCACAGGGTGGAGGTGAGTACCTCTGCAGCCCCCGGGCAGTGTCCAACTAAACCCAAGTGTTCCCATGTGCCCACCGCCCTGCCAGAACATGGACACTTCACACAAGTCCCTGCCCCAGAAGCCAACAGCCTGTCCCAACCATGTCGCATGGACTCAGATCCAACAAGCCTGCCAGAGCATCTGCTCAGTGTCAGGGACGGGGAGGGGTGGTCAGATTGAACAGAGCAGGCCTGGCTGGAGGTTGAGCGGGTGAGTGTCCTGTCCCCAGACAGGAAGAAGTAGCAGCAGGATGGGATAAGAAGCACCTACAACCACCCACCCACCTACCCTCCCCTGTCTCCCAACCCCCTGCTGCCCGAGTCCCCAGGGCACTGCTCCATTGCCCAAGACCTTGCATGGCTGGAGGCAGGAGTGTGTGGGATCTTTGGGATCTTTGGGCCCTGTGGGGGATTGAGAGGGCCACTGTTGGAGAGGGGAGGCACCTGGGCCCAAGCCTCCAGGGTGACTGTGAGCAGCTCCGAGGCTGCTCCAAGGCTAGAATGGAGTCTCTGGCTCTACCAGGGAGGATGATGCAGGCACTGCAAGATTTAGGTGCCTGAAGGGCTGTCGACACCAAGGTGAAGGCGAAGCACAGGCTACAAGGGCGTGGTGGGGAGAGCAGGCAGAGGGTCAGGCTGGAGCTCTGGGGTAGAAGCCATCCTGTCCTGGCCACCACTTGTTAGTGGCTCCAATGGAGAACAAGCAGGGAGGGAGCTGGGGCGATGGTCTGCAGGTCCCACAGGGCAGCAGGTCCCACAGGGCAGCAGAGGCAGAGCTCCCCTAGCCAGCCGAGGAGAGGCCAGGAGGACTCAGCTTCTCTGTAGGGTGGAGGCTGGGAAGAGGCTTCTTTTAGGCCCAGCAGGCAGAGCAAGAGGAGGATGGAGTTTGCTCATGATGCCAGAGTCCCCTGAATATGCTGGCAGTGCGAACACAGGGAGAAGAGCTGGGCCCTGGGCAGGGGGGTGGGGTCAAAGGGCAGGAGGCAGGCTGCATCTCCCTACCACAAGAAGCCTGGGTGGAAGGGGCCTTGTGAAGGTAATGTTTGGCTGGGAGAAGGGAGGGGGCTCCTAAAGGAGAGTGGATAACAGCAAAAAACTCCTGGATGGTCAGCCTAGCAGTAGGCAAGGACTTGAGCGGAGACTGAGATCACGATGGATATCTCCAGGCATGAACCAGGGAGAAGGAGACAGGAATGCTGGGTGAGTGAGGAGGAAGACTGGGCTGGGACTGAGTTCCCAAAAGGAACAAAGGAAGCCAGGGACAGAATCTGAGGGTCCTGTATCACCTCCAGAGGAGTTATTTGTTGGGTGGCTGGAGCCCACATCCTCCACCACCCAGCTGCCTCACCTGGCCTGGACTAGTAAAGGCCATGCCTGTCCTTCCTCCAGAGTCCTCAAACCCCTCCTGCAGCCCCTCAGACTCAGACTTGGAGGCCCTATCCCTGGCCCCAGTGCTTCGACACCGTCCCTCACATTGGCCCTGGAAAGTTGCTTTATCTGAAGCCTGGAACCTCCTACCTCAAGGGGGCCGAGGACACGTCTTCTTCCTCTTCTGCTTTTCTCTACCCAGCACGCCTGTGGTCCACCTCTCTGAGCTTTCTCCCAGTCCTAGGACTCCCCCTCTCCCTGCAGCACTTGATGACATGCAAGCAGGGGAGTCAGAGAGTCCAGGGGCCCGAGGATGCCTTGCAGAAGCTGTTCGAGATGGATGCACAGGGCCGGGTGTGGAGCCAAGACTTGATCCTGCAGGTCAGGGACGGCTGGCTGCAGCTGCTGGACATTGAGACCAAGGTCAGCCTTCCCAGCAAACCCAGTGATAGCCAGCCTGGGCTGTGGGGAAGCAAGCACTAGCTCTTGAACTCCACCCTCCATGCCCCAAAGGGCAGCCACTCTCCCCACATACAACACACACCCAAGCCTAGGAAGAGACAGGGGACAGAGGCTGGGGACAGAGGCACAAGAGTCAGGTAGATGACACCTCAGCCCTAGGCCACCAAAGGGCTAGGATGAGCTGGTCAGGAGCTCCCAGAAGCCACACCTAGCTCTGGTGGCCTCACAGTTGACCTCTCCACCTGGCCCAGGAGGAGCTGGACTCTTACCGCCTAGACAGCATCCAGGCCATGAATGTGGCGCTCAACACATGTTCCTACAACTCCATCCTGTCCATCACCGTGCAGGAGCCGGGCCTGCCAGGCACTAGCACTCTGCTCTTCCAGTGCCAGGAAGTGGGGGTGAGTGGTCGGGGGTGATTGGTCAGGGGTGGGGTTCATCGACCATCACCCCACCACACACACACACACACACACACACACACACACACACACTTAGCCTGCCTGACTGCTGCTTCCCAGGCAGAGCGACTGAAGACCAGCCTGCAGAAGGCTCTGGAGGAAGAGCTGGAGCAAAGGTAGGCAGCCTCTGCCCAGCCCACCTATGGGGCCTCCCAGCTCAGCCTCGGGGGCCAGACCCTGACCCCATATCTTGGGGCACCCAGGAGGTTGTGGCCCAACCAACCTGGGCCTGGACTGAGGAGGAGCCAGGACAGAGGTGGGCATAGGCAAGGGGCTGGGCCCAGAGGGCACTAGAGACTGTCCTCAGAGACTGAGATGGGACCCAAGAGGGCCCAGAGGGTAGGCAGATGAGGCAGGGTGGAGTCAGGGGTGGGTCCAGAAGGAGACCAGGGAGCAGGGGGTGGGACTCCTGGAGAGAGGTGGTGGTGCCCCTGGGTCCTGGAGCAGAATTGTGGGGAGGGCCTCTCTCCAAAGAACCTTGTCAAAGATGTGGCCCCTACCATGTCCTCAGCAGACCTCGACTTGGAGGCCTTCAGCCAGGCCAGGACAGATGGAGGGGGCCTGCTATGGAAAGGCCGCTCCCTATGGAGCAGGCACGCTATCTGGAGCCGGGGATCCCTCCAGAACAGCCCCACCAGAGGACCCTAGAGCACAGTAAGTTTGGGGCATGGGGGCAGGTGAAGGAGAGGGTTTCGATGAAAAGTCAAAGATCTAAGATCTAGGTCCATGGTCCCCTTACACTGCAGGCCTCCCACCATCCCCAAGGCCCCTGCCACGCCACACCAGTGCCCGAGAACCAAGTGCCTTTACTCTGCCTCCTCCAAGGCGGTCCTCTTCCCCCGAGGACCCAGAGAGGGACGAGGTAACTGCGGATGGTCTTGAGTTTGCTGAGGCTTTCTGGGCCTGGGAAAAGGAAGGACACCAACCCTCCCTCTTTTTCTAGGAGGCCAGGGTCCCAGGATGGCCAGGGCCTGGGCCAGGAGGCCAGAGAGGCTTGTTTATACTCCAGGCTGGGCCTGAGGCTGGGGCTTGTGGTGGGGAGGGGTGCGGGGGGCAGTGTGGGGAGTTCCAGGGTGGGCCCAACTGCCCGTTCAAGGCCATGGGTTGTTTGGGGCCCAGGAAGTGCTGAACCATGTCCTAAGGGACATTGAGCTGTTCATGGGAAAGCTGGAGAAGGCCCAGGCAAAGACCAGCAGGAAGAAGAAATTTGGGAAAAAAAACAAGGACCAGGGAGGTGAGTACTGAGGGCCAGGGAAGAGGAGTAGGGGTGTCTCAGGGTGATCTCTGGCCCACCGTCTTGGCCCCTTCTCCCAGGTCTCACCCAGGCACAGTACATTGACTGCTTCCAGAAGATCAAGCACAGCTTCAACCTCCTGGTAGGTGGCTCCCCACAAGTTCACCAGGCCTCTCCTCTTCCCCTTCCTCCCCAGTAATCCTCTGCTGTCTGGACTCAACCATCCCAAGCCTTTTTCTTCTTCATCTACTCCCCCTAGAACCTCCCCTCCCCTCTTGGGACTTTTGGGAAGTGCCAGCCTTCCAGCCAAGGCATAAAACAATTATGGTGACCTGGTGAAGATGGGGTGGGGTGAAGGGTGGTGACAGGCATTGCTCTGTGTCCCCAGGGAAGGCTGGCCACCTGGCTGAAGGAGACAAGTGCCCCTGAGCTCGTACACATCCTCTTCAAGTCCCTGAACTTCGTGAGTCAAGGGACGACAGGGTGGTGAAGACGGACAGGCTGAAGTCAAGAAGGAGTAGAGAGAGGAAAGGAGCTGGTGGAGGGGGATGGGGGAGCAGGGGCCAGGGTGGAACCAGATGAGCTGGGGTCAGAGCCAAGGACGCCAAGGCTCTAAGGGAGACAGGAAGGAGCAGCAGGCCCAAGGCAGATGGGGCCCCTTGCAGGAGGTAACATCCTACCATTGCAAAAGTGGGAAGCCAGGGACTCTGGGCCTTTCCCACCCTCACTGGGCCCTGTGGGAGCCTAGGCTTCCTGACACCTTCCATCTCTCCCCTAGATCCTGGCCAGGTGCCCTGAGGCTGGCCTAGCAGCCCAAGTGATCTCACCCCTCCTCACCCCTAAAGCTATCAACCTGCTACAGTCCTGTCTAAGCCCACCTGAGAGTAACCTTTGGATGGGGTTGGGCCCAGCCTGGACCACTAGCCGGTGAGTGAAGACAAAGCCTGAACTGAATCGGGGGTGAGGGGCATGGAGGCATCAGGCAGGACATCAGAGGTGGCCAGGCTCTATGTTGTCACAAACCAGAAATATTTCAGAGCTACTTGGGGGACTCTACAGAGAGTTCCCAACTTTTTATTTGTCTAAGTGCCAACAGTTTATTAACAAAAGAAAAGTGCACACTTGCCATCACCCACTACTGAAACATGTTATCTCAGAAAAAAGAACAGTTTTTCCCAAGAAAAGGGAGATGGCAACCTTCTACTAAAATATTTTCTCATTTTTGTCAAGGACAAAGTGAAAACTTTGTCTCAATCCAGCCCCAGATTTAAGAATTACTGACGTAAGAGATGCTGCAAATGTAATATCAGTAAGACTTGGCAACCAATGAGCCTGAGGTTAAGAGAGACAGAGATACTCCCTGCAGGGGTAACTGTGAGATGGGCAGCTGGACAAAAAAACCTAACAGGGCCAGTGCGGTGGCTCATGCCTGTAATCCCAGCACTCTGGGAGGCCAGGTGGGCGGATCACCTGAGGTCAGGAGTTCGAGACCATCCTGGCCAACATGGTGAAAACCCGTCTCTTCTAAATATACAAAATTAGCTGGGTGTAGTGGTGCATGCCTGTAAACCCAGCTACTTGGGAGGCTGAGGCAGGAGAATCACTTGAACCTGGGAGGCGGAGGTTGTAGTGAGCTGAGATCGCCCCACTGCACTCCAGTGTGTGCAACAGGAGCAAAACTCCATCTCAAAAAACAAAACAAAACAAAAAACCAAACGGATGAGAGCCAGGGGAGTGGGAGGAACCAGCTTGGGCACGCTGAGCTGAGGCATCCTTGGAACATTCCACAGAGGCCTGGTGGCCAGGCAGCTGAGAGGGGATGCCCAGATGTGATGGCTAGAGGCACAGCTACTGGGGAGCACTCCAGAGGGAGCCCCTGAACGTACCTTGACAAGCATAGTTTGCTCTATTCCATGAAAGAAGAGGCAAGGGCCT
Organism: Homo sapiens; assembly: GCF_000001405.40. Lineage (NCBI taxonomy): Eukaryota > Metazoa > Chordata > Mammalia > Primates > Hominidae > Homo > Homo sapiens. The sequence goes on along the minus strand of NC_000001.11, from coordinate 109,756,008 downwards.
TGGCAAACTTCTACATGGCAAGTGCAAAAAGGGTTAAGAAGACAGAGAATAATTCCAGAGAGTTAAGGAGAACCTGAAGAGCAGAGGGATGAAAACCAAGAGAGAAGGCTTTAGAAAAGCAGAAAAGCCAACAGGGAAATGAGTCTTTTCTTGGAGTTATTTGCCTAATAACCACTTCTGTTTTGTTTGAGACAAGGTCTCGCTCTGTCACTCAGTCTGGAGTGCAGTGGCATGATGATCTCACCTCACTGCAGCCTCCACCTCCTGGCTCCAGCGATCCTCCTACCTCACCTTCTCGAATAGCTGGGACCACAGGTGTGCCACCTGTGTGCCACCACCATGTCTGGCTATTTTTTGTATTTTTTTTGTAGAGATGGGGTTTCACCATGTTGCTCAGGCTGGTCTTGAACTCCTGAGCTCAAGGGATCCGCCCACCTCGGCTTCCCAAAGTGCTGAGATTACAGCCGTGAGCTGCCGCACCCCGCCATGACCAGTTCTTTTCAATTCAGCCCCATTTACAAAATTTTGTGTCCAGTTTGTCTGAAGACATGAATTATAGTTCAAAACTATCTATTTTTTATTATGGTATAATATACATAGCATGAAATTAACCACTTTTATCATTTTAACCGTTTTAAGTGTATAATTCAGTGGCAATACGTTCATTAACAATGTGTGCCACCAACACCATTATCTACAGTATTTCAAGAACTTTTTCATCATCCCAAACAGAAATTCTGTACCCATTAAACAATAATTCCCCATTACCCACTCCTCAACCCTTGGAAACCTCTATTCTACTTTCTGTCTCTATGAGAATATGTTGCCTGTTCTAGGAACCTCATATAAGTGAAATCATACAATATTTGTCCTGTCGTATGTGGCTTGTTCACTTAAAATAATGTCTTCACGATTCATTCATCTATCAGAACTGCCTTCCTTTTTATAGCTGGATAATATCCCATTGTTATGGGTATGACACATTTTATTTATGTATTCATCTGTTGATGGACAGATGGGTTGTTTCCACCCATAACAATCTATTTTTATGCACTGTCTGTGCAGTCACTAAAATGAAATTACTTATCAGTTCTGGACCTCCCATCTCATACCAGAGTTCCCTTGTCCAAAACCCTGGGACTAAGAGTACCTGAATAAGCCAGTCTCACAGTTCCTAGGGCTGTGCTGGGCTCCCACTGTCTGTGGGAATAGCTCTGGTATCTGTCTAGCACTAGCAGGAGAGGAAAACAGAGGTTCTACAATAGACTCAAACAAGAGGGCCTCAAGTTCTTTCATTCAGCCACTTTAACATTGAATAACCAGGTCGAATACACCATTTTGTGTTTCAAAACCCAGCCTTACTTCTACAATTTGAGTCCTTAGAAAAACAGATTAGCACATATTATTTTTTAAATACCCACGAAGATGCAAAACAACTTCAGTATTCATAAAATGATGTACAATTGATAAATACTTTTAAATGTAATATTGTCAGATGTGCCCTTAGATGTTTTTTAGTTTCTTAACATAACCAGAAATAAATGAAAGACAGAAACATAGAAAATAGAATACCTAAAGAAATGTAAAAACCCTCAAAAGAGTTGAATTTCAAGCAAATTATATTTAGATAACTTGATTTTTGGCAAATTGACCCAAAGCTATAAGTAACACTAAATGTTGTGGTCATCCAGAAGGACAGAGACCATACAAGGCCATTGGATTTGGCAATCAGGATTTTAAATGGACTAGCTTCAATAAAGTAATGGCAGAGGTAGAAACCAGGTTGCAGAAATAATGAAAGAAACAGAGACAAGAATATATAGGCAGAGGATATAGGCACATTCTCAAGAAATTTGGTAAGAAGAAAGTAATAGGATGACAGCTTATACGGAGTAGTATTAGGGTCAAGACCCAAGCATGTTTCTAAGGCACAGAAGGAAACAATTAAGAAAATTGAGAAGAGGGAATCATTCCTTTGTTCCCATTGAATAAACACTTAATAGCTCCCTCCTATGTATCAGCCACTGTACTAGGGGTACAGCCCCCAAGGAAATCTATATATAGTAAGAAACAAAGAGCTAAGAATCATGAGCAATGCAGTGTGAGAAGAGCAATACCTAGGGATGTACCAAGTTCAGCAGAATATTTACTTCTGCCCCAGTGAAGCAAGGAGGGGAACGTCTTCAAGGAAATGAATGGGCATTCCCTGGGCAGACAAGTGGAAAATATTCCAAGCAGGGCAAGCCTGAAGGCCACAAACAGCATGGTCCTCCTGGGCCCTGTGTAATGGGCGAGGGGGAGGCTGAGAGGCAAGGACCAGCCCATCCCAGAGTCAGTCAACAGGAGCAGCTCGGCTGCTGTCTACTTCACTGGGTGGAAATCCACAGACAATTTAGCTAGAAAGAAAAGGATCTGCTGCTGGGAAACTAAAAACAGCCTAGAAAAATACTGCACAAGACCCCTGGGGTGTTGGCCAGCCCAAAAGCTCTTGTAGTTCTACTACTTTAATCCAAATGCCCAATCAGGGCAATGAAGTGTCCATCATGTTCTTACGGAGGTGGTGTATCTTTACCTCATGGGCAGAGGTGAGGTTGACCCCCAGACACCTGCACCGTGGGATGTGTCCAGGCTTAACTGCTTGCTCCTTTGTGGGTGTCCTGGGGCCTTTCATCTGTGCACATGGACCATGTCACCTATTAGCCAAAAGATTCCTGAGGCTAGGCCCTGTCGTCCCCTCCCTGTCCGCGTCCCACAGCCTGGCATCAGAGTTCACAGAGTGGATGTGAACTCAGCTTTGTTTCCCTCTTCAGGGCCGACTGGACAGGCGATGAGCCCCTGCCCTACCAACCCACATTCTCAGATGACTGGCAACTTCCAGAGCCCTCCAGCCAAGTAAGGGGAGCTTGGCATAGAGCCCTACCCACAGCCCTAGTCCCTGGCTAGTTTCTGCCCTCCCCATCCAAACCATGGTCACACAACTAGTGTGACCTAACACTGGCAAGCCAGCAAATTCCATGGAAACCCAAAAGTCACCACCAGACTGCAAACAGGAGATATTCTGGGGGACTCTCAGGGCTGGGACATAGGCTCAATTTCTGAGGCCCCATCTCCAAGTAGTGGGTGGGTGGGTGCATGTGGGTACCTGTATCTGTAAACTGGGGGAGGCAGGAAAGGGGATAGGAGGCAGCTGTGTGTGAGCTGCTTATGCCTGTGGTCGGATACCCCAGCTCCCTCCCACCATGCTGGCTGCCTCCTGCTCTTACTCACTCTCTGTTCTGTCCCTTACAGGCACCCTTAGGATACCAGGACCCTGTTTCCCTTCGGTATGCTCTGAGCTTAATAGGGACTGCGTGGTCCTGGGGAGGGAGGGACAGGGCTGTTCCTTTGGATCTCTGGCTCTCTACATCTTAAGAGAGCCAAGAGGGTCTCTTTTAGCCAGAAAAACATGTACAAGGACATCCCTCTCCTACCTTGGGTGAAAAACAGTGTTCTACCCTCCTAGGCTCCCATTGCTTCTTCTCATGATACTACCCACACATGCTTCTGATTTCCCATACTCAAGTATAAAGTGCTTAGGGCAGAACTCAGATGTAGAAAATTCCACTCCCGGAAATGTCTTCAGAAATCAATGACATTTCAGACCCCTCCTGCCTGCAGAAAGCCCCACCTAACACTGACCTGCCAGCAAACTCTAAAGAAACCCAAAAGTCACCATCAGACTGCAGGCCGGAGATACCTGAGGGGAATCTCAGGGCTGGGACATAGGCTTAATTTCTGAGGCCCCATTCTCCAGCCATCCTGACTCTGTTTCTTAGGCGGGGAAGTCATAGGTTAGGGAGCACCTCACACTTTCCTCAGGAGAAGACACACAACCATGACCCTCAGCCTGGGGACCCCAACTCCAGGCCCTCCAGCCCCAAACCTGCCCAGCCAGCCCTGAAAATGCAAGTCTTGTACGAGTTTGAAGCTAGGAACCCACGGGAACTGACTGTGGTCCAGGGAGAGAAGCTGGAGGTGAGGCTTGGGCCATAGGCTAGAAAAGGAGGTGGTGGTTGGTGGGAGCTACAGGCAGCCAAGGGTGGATGGTCCAGGGATGGAGCTGCCAAGGTGGGTGGCCTAGAGAGGGAGAAGGAGGGTAGGAAAGAGCTGGAGGGAGAAAGCCTTGTGTGGGGAGGGAAGGCTGGCTGGAAAGAGGCTCAGGGGACTGAGGTGGTGACTCTTGGCAGGTTCTGGACCACAGCAAGCGGTGGTGGCTGGTGAAGAATGAGGCGGGACGGAGCGGCTACATTCCAAGCAACATCCTGGAGCCCCTACAGCCGGGGACCCCTGGGACCCAGGGCCAGTCACCCTCTCGGGTACTACCCAGCCTGGACTATCCAGAGCCCTAAGTCTTGAGTTGGAGGTCGGGGTGGGGAGGATTCAGTGGCAAGCAGAGGAGATAGTCTTGGTTTGATTCGGACCGTATTATTGCATGCTTAGTGTGCCAACTTTATCATGGGGCCAGAGCAGAGAACAAGACCAGCTCCCTGCCAGACCAGAAAGCCACAGAGTAAGAGAAGTGATTTGATGGGAACCTGGAGAAGGGACCCAGATGTTAGGGGCTGTGGTTGGCTGTGAGATGAGATGGACTCTGATCCCTGGTTCCCCCTGATTCTAGGTTCCAATGCTTCGACTTAGCTCGAGGCCTGAAGAGGTCACAGACTGGCTGCAGGCAGAGAACTTCTCCACTGCGTGAGTGCCTGGCCCTACAGGATATGGAGGGAGAAACTTTGTAAAGGGCTAACCAAGGAAACCCAGAGACCCAGAACATACAACCTGGCCTACATTGTACATGACCCCGATCCAGCACCGTCTCTGCTGAGTTAGAGGACAGAGCAGAGGCGTGTCCAAGCCTAGATTAGAGATTAAGTGGGGAGCTCTGCTGTGGCAAAGGCAGCAAGGATCAGGGGAGTGGACTCGGGAAGAACCCCAGCTGCCAGCTTAGCCGCCCCTCCCCAGCCAGAAGATTCTCTCCCAGAGCACTTCTTTCAAATCTGGAAGTTCTGAAATTGGCTGAAGCCAAATGCTGACTTTACTCCTTCAATCTCAGATAGCCTACTCCATGAATTTTTCTGTAACCCCAACCTCCGAGCCCAAAGAGCCCTGTCTCTGCCCAAACGCTCAGGCCCAGGGTCCTTCCAGCCCACCACGGATGGCTTTTGCTGTTTTGTTCACAGCACGGTGAGGACACTTGGGTCCCTGACGGGGAGCCAGCTACTTCGCATAAGACCTGGGGAGCTACAGATGCTATGTCCACAGGAGGCCCCACGAATCCTGTCCCGGCTGGAGGCTGTCAGAAGGATGCTGGGGGTGAGGACACCCTGGGGTCCTGACAACCATTGGGAGTGTCTGGTGCTCCTGGGTGAGAGAGAGGGCCAGTTGGAAAAGCCTGCAGGCCCAGCCCTGGGGCAGAACTGAGTGTGGCGGGTGCTGGGCACAGGATATTCCCCCAGGGGCTTAGCTTCATGCATTCAGGCTTACCTTGAGGCTCCAAGCTTATTGGTGGCATAAGCTCTGCAGATCCCTCACCTGCCATCAGCCTCATCTGAATCTTTGTCTTTCCTCAGATAAGCCCTTAGGCACCAGCTTAGACACCTCCAAGAACCAGGCCCCGCTGATGCAAGATGGCAGATCTGATACCCATTAGAGCCCCGAGAATTCCTCTTCTGGATCCCAGTTTGCAGCAAACCCCACACCCCAGCTCACACAGCAAAAACAATGGACAGGCCCAGAGGCTGAAGCAAACAGTGTCCCTTCTGGCTGTGTTGGAGCCTCCCCAGTAACCACCTATTTATTTTACCTCTTTCCCAAACCTGGAGCATTTATGCCTAGGCTTGTCAAGAATCTGTTCAGTCCCTCTCCTTCTCAATAAAAGCATCTTCAAGCTTGTCATGTGCCTCCCTCGCAGCTTCTTCTGGGCCTGAGGGAGACCAAAGGCAGGGAGGCAGGAAGGGCTGGGACATTTGGCATGAAAACAGCAGCAAGCCTATATCCATCACTGAGCCAGATTGTTTGAATGTGAGTGGACATTCACACAGCAACCTGGAGCTGGGAATCAGAATTTGAGAATTAAGGTCCAAGCTCTCCTGACTCTCTTTCTAAACAAACTGCAAAATAAAGCTATGCTCACCATCTTTTTTGCACACACATGTCTCTCAGTACATTCCAAGGCACCCAGCACAGCTGCAGGCACACCACTTCACAGTAGCAAAGTGCACTAGGACCGACAGCTGTAGGCTTTGGTCAGTTGCACCAGTTGGCTGGGTGAACTCCAGCAAGTCATTCCACTCTTTGGGTCCCTGTTTTCTCAAGGGTTAAGCAAAGAGTTTGGACTGTCCATAGCTTCTTACATTTTTCAGTAAAAGTAGCTTTCTTTAATCTCAGTGGAGTCCCCTCTCTACATACCAGTAGCTATACTTTTATTGATTTAGTCAACAGATAAGGCCCAATGTACTTATGGATTTGAGGGTTCTTAAGATGTTCCCTTAAATCTCTCTTACCTGAATGTGTCCATGACCCTAACATTGTCTGGGCCCCAGACTGCCCTATTTTTAGACAGCCTATGTCATTCCCTTAAGTTCCTGGCCTCAGAAAATCATCTCTCATAGCTGTTAACAGAATAGGAAAGCAACAATTTTCCCTCACAAAAGAGAGAAAAGGTGAGACCCTTTTTGGGTGTGACTTGTCAAGGGCAAAAGTTACCCAGAAAAGTTAATTTCTTGGGATGGGGGAGGAGGTATTAACCCATCACCCTCTGTTGCCTCCCAGAGCTAAAGGAGCCTAGAAACAGAGAAACCGTCCAGGATCCGAAAAAAGTGTTTTCACCTGGTGTTCCCCAGACTTCCCAAGAAGACTGCCATGTGGCAAGAGGCTGTTCAGATGGCCAAGTGCAGGAAAACCAGCACCAACTGCATTATTAGACAGATCTAGGTTTGAATCCCAGACCATCTGTGGGACCTGAAGCTTAGAGGAGCAACTCCCCTAACTGCTCCAGGCCTGTTTCTTCTTCTAGAAAATGGGCATAACACAGGAGCCAAGATGGCCGAATAGGAAGAGCTCTGGTCTACAGCTCCCATCGTGAGCAACGCAGAAGACGGGTGATTTCTGCATTTCCATCTGAGGTACCAGGTTCATCTCACTAGGGAGTGCCAGACAGTGGGTGCAGGACAGTGGGTGCAGCGCACCGTGCGCAAGCCAAAGCAGGGCGAGGCACTGCCTCACTCGGGAAGCACAAGGGGTCGGGGAGTTCCCTTTCCTAGTCAAAGAAAGGGGTGACAGATGGCACCTGGAAAATCGGGTCACTCCCACCCTAATACTGCGCTTTTCCAACGGGCTTAAAAAACGGCACACCAGGAGATTATATCCCACACCTGGCTCAGAGGGTTCTACGCCCACAGAGTCTCACTGATTGCTAGCACAGCGGTCTGACATCAAACTGCAAGGCGGCAGCCAGGCTTGGGGAGGGGCGCCTGCCATTGCCCAGGCTTGATTAGGTAAACAAAGCAGGCGGGAAGCTCGAACTGGGTAGAGCCCACCACAGCTCAAGGAGGCCTGCCTGCCTCTGTAGGCTCCACCTCTGGGGGCAGGGCACAGACAAACAAAAAGACAGCAGTAACCTCTGCAGACTTAAATGTCCCTGTCTGACAGCTTTGAGGAGAGTAGTGGTTCTCCCAGCACGCAGCTGGAGATCTGAGAACGGGCAGACTGCCTCCTCAAGTGGGTCCCTGACCCCTGAGCAGCCTAACTGGGAGGCACCCCCCAGTAGGGACAGACTGACACCTCACACGGCCGGGTACTCCTCTGAAACAGAACTTCCAGAGGAACGATCAGGCAGCAGCATTTGTGGGTGGCCAAAATCCGCTGTTCTACAGCTACCGCTCTTCTGCAGCCACTGCTGCTGACACCCAGGCAAAGAGGGTCTGGAGTGGACCTCTAGCAAACTCCAACAGACCTGCAGCTGAGGGTCCTGTCTGTTAGAAGGAAAACTAACAAACAGAAAGGACATCCACACCAAAAACCCATCTGTACGTCACCACCATCAAAGACCAAAAGTAGATAAAACCACAAAGATAGGGAAAAAACAGAGCTGAAAAACTGGAAACTCTAAAAAGCAGAGCACCACTCCTCCTCCAAAGGAACGCAGCTCCTCACCAGCAACGGAACAAAGCTGGACGGACAATGACTTTGACGAGTTGAGAGAAGAAGGCTTCAGACGATCAAACTACTCCGAGCTACAGGAGGAAATTCAAACCAATGGCAAAGAAGTTAGAAACTTTGAAAAAAAATTAGATGAATGGATAACTAGAATAACCAATGCAGAGAAGTCCTAAAAGGGGCTGATGGAGCTGAAAGCTAAGGCTCGAGAACTACGTGAAGAATGCAGAAGCCTCAGGAGCCGATGCGATCAACTGGAAGAAAGGGTATCAGCGATGGAAGATGAAATGAATGAAATGAAGCGAGAAGGAAAGTTTAGAGAAAAAAGAATAAAAAGAAACGAACAAAGCCTCCAAGAAATATGGGACTATGTGAAAAGACCAAATCTACGTCTGATTAGTGTACCTGAAAGTGAGGGGGAGAATGGAACCAAGTTGGAAAACACTCTGCAGGATGTTATCCAGGAGAACTTCCCCAATCTAGCAAGGCAGGCCAACATTCAGATTCAGGAAATACAGAGAATGCCACAAAGATACTCCTCGAGAAGAGCAACTCCAAGACACATAATTGTCAGATTCACCAAAGTTGAAATGAAGGAAAAAATGTTAAGGGCAGCCAGAGAGAAAGGTCGGGTTACCCACAAAGGGAAGCCCATCAGACTAACAGCGGATCTCTCCGCAGAAACTCTACAAGCCAGAAGAGAGTGGGGGCCAACATTCAACATTCTTAAAGAAAAGAATTTTCAACCCAGAATTTCATATCCAGCCAAACTAAGCTTCATAAGTGAAGGAGAAATAAAATACTTTACAGACAAGCAAATGCTGAGAGATTTTGTCACCACCAGGCCTGCCCTAAAAGAGCTCCTGAAGGAAGCGCTAAACATGGAAAGGAACAACCGGTTCCAGCCACTGCAAAAACATGCCAAAATGTAAAGACCATCAAGTCTAGGAGGAAACTGCATCAACTAACGAGCAAAATAACCAGCTAACATCATAATGACAGGACCAAATTCACACATAACAATATCAACTTTAAATGTAAATGGGCTAAATGCTCCAATTAAAAGACACAGACTGGCAAATTGGATAAAGAGTCAAGACCCATCAGTGTGCTGTATTCAGGAAACCCATCTTACATGCAGAGACACACATAGGCTCAAAACAAAGGGATGGAGGAAGATCTACCAAGCAAATGGAAAACAAAAAAAGGCAGGGGTTGCAATCCTAGTCTCTGATAAAACAGACTTTAAACCAACAAAGATCAAAAGAGACAAAGAAGGCCATTACATAATGGTAAAGGGATCAATTCAACAAGAAGAGCTAACTATCCTAAATATAAATGCACCCAATACAGGAGCACCCAGATCATAAAGCAAGTCTTGAGTGACCTACAAAGAGACTTAGACTCCCACACAATAATAATGGGAGACTTTAACACCCCACTGTCAACATTAGACAGATCAACGAGACAGAAAGTTAACAAGGATACCCAGGAATTGAACTCAGCTCTGCACCAAGTGGACCTAATAGACATCTACAGAACTCTCCACCCCAAATCAACAGAATATACATTTTTTTCAGCACCACACCACACCTATTCCAAAATTGACCACATAGTTGGAAGTAAAGCACTCCTCAGCAAATGTAAAAGAACAGAAATTATAACAAACTGTCTCTCAGACCACAGTGCAACCAAACTAGAACTCAGGATTAAGAAACTCACTCAAAACCGCTCAACTACATGGAAACTGAACAACCTGCTCCTGAATGACTACTGGGTACATAATGAAATGAAGGCAGAAATAAAGATGTTCTTTGAAACCAACGAGAACAAAGACACGACATACCAGAATCTCTGGGACACATTCAAAGCAGTGTGTAGAGGGAAATTTATAGCACTAAATGCCCACAAGAGAAAGCAGGAAAGATCCAAAATTGACACCCTAACATCACAATTAAAAGAACTAGAAAAGCAAGAGCAAACACATTCAAAAGCTAGCAGAAGGCAAGAAATAACTAAAATCAGAGCAGAACTGAAGGAAATAGAGACACAAAAAACCCTTCAAAAAATTAATGAATCCAGGAGCTGGTTTTTTTTAAAAGATCAACAAAATTGATAGACCGCTAGCAAGACTAATAAAGAAGAAAAGAGAGAAGAATCAAATAGACGCAATAAAAAATGATAAAGGGGATATCACCACTGATCCCACAGAAATACAAACTACCATCAGAGAATACTACAAACACCTCTACGCAAATAAACTAGAAAATCTAGAAGAAATGGATAAATTCCTCGACACATACACCCTCCCAAGACTAAACCAGGAAGAAGTTGAATCTCTGAATAGACCAATGACAGGCTCTGAAATTGTGGCAACGATCAATAGCTTACCAGTCAAAAAAAGTCCAGGACCAGATGCATTCACAGCCGAATTCTACCAGAGGTACAAGGAGGAGCTGGCACCATTCCTTCTGAAACTATTCCAATCAATAGAAAAAGAGGGAATCCTCCCTAACTCATTTTATGAGGCCAGCATCATCCTGATACCAAAGCCGGGCAGAGACACAACCAAAAAAGAGAATTTTAGACCAATATCCTTGATGAACATTGATGCAAAAATCCTCAATAAAATACTGGCAAACAGAATCCAGCAGCACATCAAAAAGCTTATCCACCATGATCAAGTGGGCTTCATCCCTGGGATGCAAGGTTGGTTCAACATTCGCAAATCAATAAATGTAACCCAGCATATAAACAGAACCAAAGACAAAAACCAAATGATTATCTCAATAGATGCAGAAACAGCCTCTAACAAAATTCAACAACACTTCATGCTAAAAACTCTCAATAAATTAGGTATTCATGGGACGTATCTCAAAATAATAAGAGCTATCTATGACAAACCCACAGCCAATATCATACTGAATGGGCAAAAACTGGAAGCATTCCCTTTGAAAACTGGCACAAGACAGGGATGCCCTCTCTCACCGCTCCTATTCAACATAGTGTTGGAAGTTCTGGCCAGGGCAATTAGGCAGGAGAAGGAAATGAAGGGTATTCAATTAGGAAAAGAGGAAGTCAAATTGTCCCTGTTTGCAGATGACATGATTGTATATCTAGAAAACCCCATTGTCTCAGCCCAAAATCTCCTTAAGCTGATAAGCAACTTCAGCAAAGTCTCAGGATACAACATCAATGTACAAAAATCACAAGCATTCTTATACACCAATAACAGACAAACAGAGAGCCAAATCATGAGTGAACTCCCATTCACAATTGCTTCAAAGAGAATAAAATACCTAGGAATCCAACTTACAAGGGATGTGAAGGACCTCTTCAAGGAGAACTACAAACCACTGCTCAAGGAAATAAAAGAGGATACAAACAAATGGAAGAACATTCCATGCTCATGGGTAGGAAGAATCAATATCATGAAAATGGCCATACTGCCCAAGGTAATTTACAGATTCAATGCCATCCCCATCAAGCTACCAATGACTTTCTTCACAGAATTGGAAAAAACTACTTTAAAGTTCATATGGAACCAAAAAAGAGCCCGCATTGCCAAGTCAATCCTAAGCCAAAAGAACAACGCCAGAGGCATCATGCTACCTGACTTCAAACTATACTACAAGGCTACAGTAACCAAAGCAGCATGGTACTGGTACCAAAACAGAGATATAGATCAATGGAACAGAACAGAGCCCTCAGAAATAATGCCACATATGTACAACCATCTGATCTTTGACAAACCTGACAAAAACAAGCAATGGGGAAAGGATTCCCTATTTAATAAATGGTACTGGGAAAACTGGCTAGCCATATGTAGAAAGCTGAAACTGGATCCCTTCCTTACACCTTATACAAAAATTAATTCAAGATGGATTAAAGACTTACATGTTAGACCTAAAACCATAAAAACCCTAGAAGAAAACCTAGGCAATACCATTCTGGACATAGGCATGGGCAAAGACTTCATGTCTAAAACACCAAAAGCAATGGCAACAAAAGCCAAAATTGACAAATGGGATCTAATTAAACTAAAGAGCTTCTCCACAGCAAAAGAAACTACCATCAGAGTGAACACGCAACCTACAAAATGGGAGAAAATTTTCACAACCTACTCATCTGACAAAGGGCTAATATCCAGAATCTACAATGAACTCAAACAAATTTACAAGAAAAAAACAAACAACCCCATCAAAAAGTGGGCAAAGGATATGAACAGACACTTCTCAAAAGAAGACATTTATGCAGCCAAAAAACACATGAAAAAATGCTCACCATCACTGGCCATCAGAGAAATGCAAATCAAAACCACAATGAGTTACCATCTCACACCAGTTAGAATGGCAATCATTAAAAAGTCAGGAAACGAGGTGCTGGAGAGGATGTGGAGAAATAGGAACACTTTTACACTTTTGGTGGGACTGTAAACTAGTTCAACATTGTGGAAGTCAGTGTGGCGATTCCTCAGGGATCTAGAACTAGAAATACCATTTGACCCAGCCATCCCATTACTGGGTATATACCCAAAGGATTATAAATCATGCTGCTATAAAGACACATGCACACGTATGTTTATTGCGGCACTATTCACAATAGCAAAGACTTGGAACCAACCCAAATGTCCAACAACGATAGACTGGATTAAGAAAACATGGCACATATACACCATGGAATACTATCCAGCCATAAAAAATGATGAGTTCATGTCCTTTGTAGGGACATGGATGAAACTGGAAACCATCATTCTCAGCAAACTATCGCAAGGACAAAAAACCAAACACCGCATGTTCTCACTCATAGGTGGGAACTGAACAATGAGAACACATGGACACAGGAAGGGGAACATCACACTCCAGGGACTGTTGTGGGGTGGGGGGAGGGGGGAGGGATAGCATTAGGAGATATACCTAGTGTTAAATGAGGAGTTAATGGGTGCAGCACACCAACATGGCACATGTATACATATGTAACAAACCTGCACATTGTGCACATATACCCTGAAACTTAAAGTGTAATAATAATAAAATTTAAAAAAAAGAAAGTAATGCAAAAACTGCAAAAAAAAAAAAAGAAAAAGAAAAGAAAATGGGCATAACACCTACTTCCTAAAGTTGTTGTGAAGCTTAAATTGGAATAAATTAGCTAACATACGTAAACACTTAGATATTGCCTGGCATATGATAGGTGCTCAATAAATGTTAATCTTATACCTCAGGTGAATTTGTGACTGGCCTTTTGCTTTCTTGGGAGGAGAGACACAGGCATTATAAATTTCACCTGTCCATGTGGTTTGTACTCTTCCTTTCTTCTGTTTAGCAAAATGCCCTTTTAAAAAGTCCCAACCTTGCTTCAGTTGAACTGATGGGCAAATGTGATTTCCCACACCTGAGCTAGGGGATCTAGGCTCTCAGACTGCCCTGAGAGCTGTGCTGCAGAGGCCTGGCCAGAACCCTCAGAGCAGCTCCGGACTCCTTCCTCTGTCACTCCTCCACATTCAACTAGAATCCTATGTCTCCCGAGTTGACCCTGTTGCAAATCTGTGCCCCTTTTCATTTGCATGGGCCCTGCCGAAATTCAGAAGCTTAGTTCTTCCCATGACTATAGGGGCCTCGGGCAGGTCTCTTGCTCTGTCAAGGTCAAAACCCCTACTTTCCTAAATTCAACCATTGATTCTCCATCTTCATCTTACTTGATCAGCCACACTTGACATAGTTGATCACTTCTCCCTTTAAACATCTTCACATGGCTTCTGGGACCTTTTGTTTTCCTCCTACCTCCCTGGCCACTCCTTTTCAGACTCCTTTGCTGGTTTGCTCTCATTTTTCCCTAACCTTTACATGTTGATATGCCAGAGCACCTCAAACCCTTAGACCTCATCTCTGCTACTCGTGCTCCCATGGTGATCTCATCTAGTCTCTGGTTTCAAACACAGAGTGATCACTCCTGTACTTGCTGTTTCCCTTTTCCTGGAGTTCTCTCTGCCTCCTGCAGGTAGGAAGTGATTCGAGATAAGAGAGGGAGAGAACTCTTCTGGCCAGGATAGAGGGTGATTCTGAGAAGGCTTCAAGGAAGAAGTGAGCATTTGAGCACGGCTACTTGAGGAAGGCTAGGCCATGGACATTAGGGTGCAGGCAGGAGCAGAGCAAACATGCTTGTAAAAGGAACAGCAATTATTCTGTTTTATATTTATATCAGCCCATGGTGGCCCCCACAGCAGAGTGGCTTGATCTCTCACCTCCTTCAGGTCTTTGTTTAAAGATTAACTTCTCCATGAGGCCTTCTATGAACATAACCTTTAAAAACATAAATCCCCTTCCTACTGGGACTCCCCCAGTTCCCACCCTGAGACCCCCTATCTCTCTTCTCGATTTTATTTCTCTCCATAGGATGTGTATCACCACCTGACTTACTAGCTATTTACTATATATTAGTTTATTTCTTCCCCATTAGAATGTAAACTTCCTGAGGGCAGGGATTTTGTCTGTTGAGTTCAGTTCTGTATCCCCAGCACCTAAAACAGTGCCTGTCCATAACAGGCATGTTAAACATTGTTGGACAGATGAATGAGTGAATGAAAAATGGTAGTACCTTTCCTCCTCCAGTCCATCCTACACAAAGAGGCAAGATTAATTTCCCTAAATGCGTGAGCATTAGGAAGTGGGAGGGATTGGAGGAGGAAATTATAATAAGGAATCCATAAATTACTTAAGCCCATAAAACAAAGGTAGGAAACATTCAAGATAAGAGACCTCTTCTGGCCAGGATAGAGGTTGGTTCTGAGAAGGCTTCAAGGAATAGGCAGACATTTCAGCAAGGCTGCTGAGGAAGGATAGGCTGTGGAAATTAGGATGCAGGTAGGAGGATCACAGAGCAAACACTCCAAGGTGGGAAATGCAAGTGTGTGTAGAAGGAACAGCAAGTATTGTTGGGTTGGGCTGGCTTATGAAGTTGTGACGGGCTGAGGGAGAGACAGGACTGGAAAAGCACGTTGGGGTCAGGTTGCAGAGGTCCTTGACTGACAGAGAGGGGAGCTTGGTCTGTGGGGAATCTTCTGCTCTGTGTGGTCAGAGGCTGGTCTGACTCTCCGGCCTTGCCCCAGTCTTCCTATCCTTCATCCAGCCCCGGCTGGCTCGGTAAAAACGGCGCGAATCTCGCTCTCCCTGGGTAACTAGGGTCCCCACTGCCTGGCTAGTGGTGCTTTTCGCGTCTTCACTGGCACCATTAATGAATGAAGTCTGGCTCCCACCCGCGGGGAAGGGAGGAGCCTCAACCTCGGGTCCTTTGCTCTCCTGCAGCACTCCTGCCCGGGTCCCGCCTCGGGGTCGCCAGGCCCTGAACCCCAACGCCGGCATTAGTCGCGCCTGCGCACGGCCCTGTGGAGCCGCGGAGGCAAGGGACGGAGAACGGGGCGGAGGCGGAGTCAGGGCGCCCGCGCGTGGGCCCCGCCCCCTTATGTCGGGTATAAAGCCCCTCCCGCTCACAGTTTCCCTAGTCCTCGAAGGCTCGGAAGCCCGTCACCATGTCGTGCGAGTCGTCTATGGTTCTCGGGTACTGGGATATTCGTGGGGTGAGTGCCGTCTCAACGGTAGAGCCGCTCGGTCAAAGAGACTGACGCGGAGAGGGCGGGTCTCTGGGTCCGCGATCTCCAGCAGGAGCAGCTCTACGCGGGAGCCTTTTCGAGCTGCCGAGCCACGGATGTCGACCCCTGCCCAGCCTCTGGGATCGCGGGCCCTGTGGGGAGGGGCGGAGGAGACCACGCCGGAGCCGGGCCTAGGGGCCGCTTAACCACCGCCCCGGCAGGACGCAGGGACTCGGCAGCCCCGGGCCGGGGAACGTTAGCGGGCGGGGGTTGGGAATGGGTGGGAGCTGCGCAGTCGCTGAACCGCTGTCTTCCCCAGCTGGCGCACGCCATCCGCCTGCTCCTGGAGTTCACGGATACCTCTTATGAGGAGAAACGGTACACGTGCGGGGAAGGTAATGCCGCTCCGCGTGCCCGTGCAGCCAAGCTGGCCCTCCACCTGCCCTGGTCTTCTTACGCCCAGAGGGTGGTGGCGTCGCGCCAAGGCCGGGTGGGACGTTTGCCCCAATCTGGGTGAATAGAGACACATCCTTTATCTGGAACTGGGGGTTCTCTTTTTAACATAGCCCAAACCCGTCTTAATGCTTAACCAAATAGGGCTCAGAGGCTCAATGGTTATGCTTTTGGGGCCTGGGAATTTGAGGTATTGGGACCAAGTCATTTCTTTAGATCTTTTGCTCTTGTCAGGTGGGGTATTAAGGAGGTTGGGTCCCACTTAATTCCGTCTCTTACAGCTCCTGACTATGATCGAAGCCAATGGCTGGATGTGAAATTCAAGCTAGACCTGGACTTTCCTAATGTAAGTGGCTTTAGTAGAGGTGGCGGGCAGAAGGGAAAGCCTTCAAGTATATCCATCCTTGCCTCTCTCCTGCCTGGTACAGAAGGATGCAAAATAGGGGATCTTAACCCGGATAGAATAAATAGAATTCAGGGGTCCTTGAACTGGATGGATATGTATTTTCATTCCCATTAACCACTAGCAAAAGTTATTTCCTTTTATTGTGAAGAGAGACAATAAGTGACATTGGTTATTAGCCATGTCTGTCACTTTGTCACTAGTAGAAATCAGGTATTTTCTTTTTTGTGTGTTTCTTGTTCTTTTGTTTTGAGACAGTGTCTCACTCTGTCGCTCAGGCTGGAGTGCAGTGGCGCAATCACAGCTCACTGCAGCCTCAACCTCCCAGGCTCAAGCAGTCCTCCCACCTCAGCCTCCCAAGGAGCTGGGACTACAGGCACACACCACTATGCCCAGCTAATTTTTGTATTTTTGTAAGAGACGGGGTTTTGCCATGTTACCCAGGCTGATCCTGAACTTCTGGGCTCAAACAGTCCTCCCACCTCGGCCTTCCAAAGTGTTGGGATTACAGGCATGAGCCACTGTGCCCAGCCTGAAATCAGGTAGTTTCATATTCTATAACATGCGTTGCAGATATTTTAAGTGATATTTATATACATGTAAGTAAATATATACATATAATGTTATTTACTTTGAGATTATGTTAGTCATTACATCTGCTTGCTATTTAATGCACTAATAGGCACATGTTACTCTTATTTGAATTTTTAAAAATATTTTTTGATTGTGTAAATTATCTATTTTGCTTCATGCATTTAACAACTTTATTCTGAGAAAAGGTCCATGGCATGCACATACACTCACACATACACACACCAATTTAAGAACCCCTGTCTAGAATCTTGTGGACCCAGTTGCTACCTTCTACTTATTTTCTTTTTTCTCCTAACACAGCATCTTCTCACTCTTGTTCACTGCCCTGCAAGTGTTCTTTTCCCCTGGAGAGAGAGGTAGGGAATCAAGAGAGAGGCAGGTTGTTCATTTGTCCTGTCCTTTTCCTTTCAGCTGCCCTACCTCCTGGATGGGAAGAACAAGATCACCCAGAGCAATGCCATCTTGCGCTACATCGCTCGCAAGCACAACATGTGTGAGTGGGGTAGGGCTGGTGAGGGACCCCAGGCTGGTAGTTTGTCTGAGAGTGGATGATGCCAAGGGTGATTTGTTGTCATTTGGCCTACAGGTGGTGAGACTGAAGAAGAAAAGATTCGAGTGGACATCATAGAGAACCAAGTAATGGATTTCCGCACACAACTGATAAGGCTCTGTTACAGCTCTGACCACGTGAGTTTCCTTAGCACACATCTGCTGAATGGAGTATCAGAAAAAGGGGTATTTAGGAACCCAAGGGTTATCTCTGTTCCATTCTGCTGCTGCTACCTTCCCACCAATCCAGATTGTTAGAATAAGAAACAGAACTTATATTTTTTGGTTTGTTTTGTCATGTAATTCTGGTGCTGGTGCCTCTTCTTTCTAAACTCCTCTTTCCCCACCCTGCCATCCTCAAGTGAAGGCAATGAGAACCCACCTAGAGAAGGGGCTACTAAGTGTCCATCACTGGCCTGTGCCCTGATTAACTACAAAGATGATCACCACTATTCTCATTCTGTTTTTTCCTCTCAGGAAAAACTGAAGCCTCAGTACTTGGAAGAGCTACCTGGACAACTGAAACAATTCTCCATGTTTCTGGGGAAATTCTCATGGTTTGCCGGGGAAAAGGTAGGAAGAAGGGAAAAGAAGAGGATACTTCTCTATCTCTGCAGGCTACTACTCCTCAGACCTAAGCATCTTATTGCTTTTCTTCTAGCTCACCTTTGTGGATTTTCTCACCTATGATATCTTGGATCAGAACCGTATATTTGACCCCAAGTGCCTGGATGAGTTCCCAAACCTGAAGGCTTTCATGTGCCGTTTTGAGGTGACGTTTCCTGCACCTTTCTCTTATAAAAACACTCACAGGCTCCCCTGGGACCTGCAGGATCCCATAGTGGAGGATTCTTCCCCGGCTTTTGCCTAATGGGATCAATGGTTGGACACCTCTAGACCTTTAAGTCTTGGGAAGAGCCTAACTTCTATACCTTGGAGGCACTGTCTACAAAAAAATGGAGGAGGTAGACGCAGGCAACACGTGAATGTTGCTGTTCTGGTATGCATCTGTTGGACTGGGTTGGGGTCGTTATAAGATTTGGTGTATTTTCCTTTCAGGCTTTGGAGAAAATCGCTGCCTACTTACAGTCTGATCAGTTCTGCAAGATGCCCATCAACAACAAGATGGCCCAGTGGGGCAACAAGCCTGTATGCTGAGCAGGAGGCAGACTTGCAGAGCTTGTTTTGTTTCATCCTGTCCGTAAGGGGTCAGCGCTCTTGCTTTGCTCTTTTCAATGAATAGCACTTATGTTACTGGTGTCCAGCTGAGTTTCTCTTGGGTATAAAGGCTAAAAGGGAAAAAGGATATGTGGAGAATCATCAAGATATGAATTGAATCGCTGCGATACTGGCATTTCCCTACTCCCCAACTGAGTTCAAGGGCTGTAGGTTCATGCCCAAGCCCTGAGAGTGGGTACTAGAAAAAACGAGATTGCACAGTTGGAGAGAGCAGGTGTGTTAAATGGGACTGGAGTCCCTGTGAAGACTGGGTGAGGATAACACAAGTAAAACTGTGGTACTGATGGACTTAACCGGAGTTCGGAAACCGTCCTGTGTACACATGGGAGTTTAGTGTGATAAAGGCAGTATTTCAGACTGGTGGGCTAGCCAATAGAGTTGGGACAATTGCTTACTCATTAAAAATAATAGAGCCCCACTTGACACTATTCACTAAAATTAATCTGGAATTTAAGGCCCAACATTAAACACAAAGCTGTTGAAATATTGATGAAAATGTAAGAATTTTTGTGACCACGGGGTAGGAGAAGTTTCTTTAAAGACGTAAAAAGAAAAAAACCATAGGCTGCTCTGCCTGTGGAGTAGCCATTCTTTATTCTTTTACTTTTTAAAATAATAACAATCACAAAGGAAAGATTTGCCAATTGAATAGGATCAAATTCTACAACTTTTCCTAAGGCACCCACAAATAAATGACAAGTGAGACAAAAAGCACTAGTATAAAGATTATATAAAGACCTATAAATCATTAAGACAACTGAGTTTTTAAAAATGGACAAAATCCATGAACAATTTATAAAATAGAAATATAGCCAAAAATGTCTAAAAGATGTTTATGATGTAAGGAATTATCAATTACAACAGTGAGAAACCATATTTCCTTCTATCCGATGAGTAAAAAGTTTCTAAAGTGTTGGCAAGGCTTAGGAAAGTGATATGCATTTCCTGCTGGTCAAGTTGTAAATTAGTATAGCTACTTTGGAGGACAATTGTAAAATTTAAATCATATCCTATGACCCAGCAATTCCATGCTATAAAAACTCATCCATGGCCGGGCTTGGTGGCTCACGCCTGTAATCCCAGCACTTTGGGAGGCTGAGGTGGGCAGATCACGAGGTCAAGAGATCGAGACCATCCTGGCCAACATGATGAAACCCCGTTTCTACTAAAAATACAAAAATTAGCTGGGCATGGTGGCATGTGCCTATAGTCCCAGCTACTCAGGAGGCTGAGGCAGGAGAATTGCTTGAACCTGGGAGGCAGAGGTTGCAGTGAGCCGAGATCACGCCACTGCACTCCAGCCTGGCTACAGGGCGAGACTCTGTCTCAAAAAAAAAAAAAAAAAAAAAAAAAAAACATTCAAAGAGACATATACTAAGATGTTCACTGTGGCATTGTCTGTAATGACAAATAAGTGGAAACCGTGTAAATACCTGTCAATACTATGGAGTACCATGTGGCAACGGAAGAATGAGACTGAACTGTGTGAACTAACATGCAAAGATCCCCAAAACAGGCCAGGTGTGGTTGCTCACAGCTGTAATAACAACACCTTCAGAGGCTGAGGTGAGAGGATCAGTTGAGGCCAGGAGTTTAAGACCAGCCTGGGCAACATAGTGAGACCCCTGTCTCCCAAAAATTTTTTTTAATTAGCTGTGCGCAATTGCTCATGCATAGTCCCAGCTACCCAGGAGGCTGAGGTGGGAGGATCACTTGAGCCCAGGAATTTGAAGCTGCAGTGAGCTGTGTTCTTGCCACTGCACTCCAATCTGGGTGACTGAGCAAGACCCTGTCTCTTAAAAAAATAAAAAAGATCTCCAAGCATAGAGAAGAGTCTGGAGGGAAACACCAAACTCATAACAGTCTTACTGCAGGCAAGTGGGATAAAGGCCCAGACTCCATGGTGGAAGTTAAAGGGCATTTCCAAGTTAAGGCTAAGACTTGCTTTTCTAACTAAGAGAATGTGCTCATGCATTGCTTGTGTAGTAGAAACTAGTTTTTAGAAAAGAAAGCAAACTTAAGAAACACTGACTCCTGTGGAGATGACTTGGCACCACTCTCCTTTCACAGAGCAGAGTCTGAATAGTCTTCAGAGATAGGCCTGTGGGCCAGATTGCCATCCCCTATGGACCAGAAGCCAAGGATCTCTCTAGTGATGGTCAGAGGGCCCAAATGGCAGGGATACCCAGTGATGTCAGGAGGAATAGTACAGACAGAAGGTGCTAAGCAGACAATTCAACTGCCATGTTTTGCCACCCCCTGTGAGCAGGGATTAGGTGTTCAGGCCAGTATCTTGGGCATGGGGGAGCCTTTGGCCAGAAGAGGTATAAAGCTCAGAAGTTTTTCAGTCTGATAACTATTGATATAATTTCCATAGTGTGAGGGAGCGGTATGCTCTACCCTTGTGTATTTAAGGCAGGACAGAGAAATTGAGGATGCCCCTGGGGCTAGATCGATGATATGACCAGAAATCAAAAAGGGAATGCATTATTTATTGCTGTGTAACACTGTTAAGAGAGGAGGTAGTTAAGGGATGGATAGGCACATAGAGAGGGAAGGTCTCAGGAGAAGGGATAGAAAGGAACTATGTTCACAAGAACAACGGCAAGACAGTGCCTATACTGCCTCTACAGTTAATAGGAAAAACGGAAGAAGTTACCCTTAAGCTAGGATGTTGCTCAGAAGTGACCATCCCAACTTTGGTGCGGGCACAATAAATCAGCCTAAATGTCCCTAATTTAACCCAGCTCATTATAATGTCATTAAACATGACATTAGCATTGTGGTTTTAGCACCCCCATGGGTTTTGCTTAGGCACTCATGGGTAATAACCAAGATGGAGTCCCTTTGGCAAAACTTAGGCATGCACAGCTGTAGTACCCCAAGAAGAAAATGTTACTTCTCTCATCTGGGCAAAACCCACAGAAGACTTCCCAGCTTCTGCCACATAAAAGACACAGAACACAGACGCCTTACTGGCAACCTGCTTTCAAGACCCCTGTCTTTGCTGAGAGCTTTCCTTTTTCCCAATAAATTCTACTCTGCCCTACTCACTCTCCATGTCCATGTGCCTAATTTTTCGTGGTCATGGGACAATAGCCTGAACCTTGCCATACTCCAGGGGCAAAAGAAGACTTCTACACTATTCCCACAAATTTAGCAGCTAAAACAATACATGTTTATGGTCTCAAAGTTTTGTGGATTAGGAGTCTGGGCACAGCTGAACTGGGTCCTCTGCTCAGGGTTTCATCTGAAAACTGCCATCAGTGTGTCATCCAGAGCTCTGATCTCATCCCCAGGCTCAGTGGGAGAAGGATCTGCCTCCAAGTCTGTGTAATTGTTGATAGCGTCAGTTCTTTGTTCCCTGTGGGACAGAGGCCCTCCATTTCTCATTGGCTGTCGGCTAGAGCCACCTTCAGTTCCTTGCAAAAGGGATCTCCTCAACACGGCCACCCATTTCACCAAAGCTAGTAAAGGAGTCTGCTGGAAGAAGGAACACTACAGTCCTATGTAATCTGATCACAGCAGTGACATCCCATCACCTGTTCTTATTCTATTAGAAGCAAGTCACCGGCCCCACCCACACTCAAGGGCATGAGTACCAGGAGGTAGGATCATGGGGGCCATCTTAGAGTCTGTTCACCACAAGAGAAGAAGGAAGGAAACAGGAGATTGGTCCTGCAGTCCTATGAGAAAAAAATCCTGGGAAAGACAGATGACAGGAGAAAGCAGCAAGGTAGGGAATGAGCAATTTGCAAGGGAGAAGTTTAAAAAGCCCAGGTCTGCAGGTGAAATGTATTTCACATGAATTCCAGATGGACAGATCACATAGGCAAATCACGTTTCAATTTTTTTTAATTATTATGTTTGTTAGTGAAAATCCACTCAACAGTTATGCAAAACCTGGACCTTACTGGCCCAGAAAGCAGGGAAGGCCACTGAGAGGAACAGATCCTTTCCACAAGAGAGGTGGATCCCCAGTTCTCAATCAGCTCCCAGCTCTAACTCTAATATAGGCCAAGAAAAGAATGCCGTAACAACGGCTGCCTTCAGGCAAGTGGCAGATGCAGGGGGGTGGCTGGGGACACATCCAAGGCACAGAGGCACAATAGTGATGGCTTTATACAAGTACCATCAGTAAGGGCTTAAAAGAAAACTTGAAACAGGTGCATTAGATTTGGTGGAGCAGTTCCCCAAAAGTATCAGGGAAATTCATTTGTATTCATTGTTGAAGGTTGAGCAACTGGGCGTTTCTAGTTCAGAAAGAAATAGCTTATGTGATTAAATGAAAGTTTGTTATAGAGTTGTTTCACTGTTACCAGGGAAAGGAGAGAGGGACAGGGATAGGCATGGACACAGATCTGCCTTTAAAGCCAGTTTAAGAAGCACTTATGAAAACACCTGGACTGTGTATAGAGATTGCACATTCCTTATCCTTCAGCTGCAGGACAGGTGGAGCAAATGAACCACGCAGAAAAAGAGGACTTAGGGAGTTCAGATGGATGGTGGGGGAAGGGAATGAAATAAAATTCAGTGGGTAATCTTTCTAATGTGTAAATTTGTTCATGTCACTCCCCTGCTTAAAGGCGTTTAGTGGCTTCTAAAACCTCAGGAAAAAAAACTGTCTTCTCAGGCTTACCTTCACAGCCTCACCTCTGCTCCCTTTCCAGTGACATCCTTGGCATGTGCCCTCCTCCTGCTGCCCTGGAGCACGGGGTCCAGCCTTTCTGAATTTCCAAGGGAGCAGCACTGTGTGGTGCTCAGGAGCATGGACTCCGGAGCCGGGCCGTCTGGGTTCAGATCCTGGCTTTGCCCCTGGTAAATGGTGGCCTCCTGTGCTCAGTGTCTTCTTTGATAAATGAACCCTCCCTCACAAGGTTGTTATGAGAAGGGAGGAGACCACCCCTCATATTGTCTTATGCCCAATTTCTGCCTCAAAGAAAAAGTAGGAGTTAAAGAAAAGACAGAAATGAAATCAGTAGTTAGCCTGGCACTGCATTCCAGGCCTGGTAGTTAAAGATCAACCCCTGACCTAACTGGTTCTGTTATCTATAGATTCCAGACATTGTATGGAAAAGCACTGTGAAAATCCCTGTCCTGTTTTGTTCCATTCTGATTACCAGTGCATGCAGCCCCCAGTCACATATCCCCTGCTTGCTCAATCGATCATGACCCTCTCACACGGACCCCCTTAGAATCATAAACCCTTAAAAGGGATAGGAATTGCTCACTCAGGGAGCTCGGTTTTTGGAGATGTGAGTCCGCCGATGCTCCCAGCTGAATAAAGCCCTTTCCTTCCACAACTCGGTGCCTGAGGGGTTCTTGTCTGTGGCTCGTCCTGCTACAATGAGAATGAAGTCAATATTTCTAGAGCACTTGGGCCAGGCGTGGTAGCTCACACCTGTAATCCCAGCACTTTGGGAGGTGGAGGCAGGTGGATCACTTGAGGTCAGGGGTTCAAGTCCAGCCTGGTCAACATGGCAAAACCCCATCTCTACTAAAAATACAAAAATTAGCTAGGCATGGTGATGCATGCCTGTAATCCCAGCTACTCGGGAGGTTGAGACAAGGGAATCACTTGAATCTGGGAGGCAGAGATTGCTGTGAGCTGAGATCACACCACTGCACTCCAGCCTAGGTGACACCGTGAGACTCTGTCCCAAAAAAAAAAAATTTTAGAGCACTTGAAACAGATCAGTGTTACATAAATTTATAAATACTAATTGCCAAAAAGCACCACATTCACTTTTATATTTTCACACTTTAATACATGCTGTCCCCTCTGCCTCTTGCTTTTCCCCCAACTCCCTTAGCCTTCAAATCAGATTTGAAGTCACATCTGATAATCCCTGTGGTGATGGTCACCAAAGATTTCTGATTGTTTTCCCATTGGGAAAACTTCATGACACTCTTTAACTTAAATGTGGTCTCCTGAGTTGTTTGGCCAATTAAACACAAGTAGAAATTACACACATTTTCCAGGCAGAAGTTTTAAAAGCCAGTGAGTAAGTCACTGTATCTGACCACCACAGTTGTCTAGACTCAGAGCAGGTGCCAAGTTAAAGCCTCCGTCGGCCTAGGTCTCTAAAAGACTACGAATAGCAGGGCCCCTGTTGATCACATCCGACATGAAGGGTAAGTAAGAAATAAGCGTGTATTAAGCCACTAGGATTTGGTTTATCCTGACTGACATTTCTCTACCTCCCACAGGCTAATTTAAATGCACATATTTTAAATTTTTGTTCCCACAGGGTACAATGCTTTCCTCGATCAGGACTTAACACACAACTCCAGTTGTTCATTTAGATGTTAGTCTTTGCTGCTAAATTATAAGTTGCCTGAGAGCAGAGACTATGTCTTATGCAAAATTTTATATTTAGTGCTTGCACAGAGCCTGACACAAAGTAGGCACTCACAACTGTGCACTGATTCCTGTCATTTACTGAGAATTGGAAGAAAAAAAGAAGAGTTTGCTTGATAGGTAAATGCCTAATGCCCTCAAGGAACTTTAAAAAATTCCTCTTTGTTTTGACTGAGAGACAGAACCCAGAAAAACAGAATGCCCTGTCTTAAAACAGAGAGAGTTCAGGTAGAAGTACCTGGAGTCAGAACTGAAGTTCGTATTCAGGGAGGTCTCAGAGGATCAGCAAGGCACTGAGGCTGGAGAGTAGGTTATATGAGTTTGTGAAAGGAAAATATCTTGAGCCCCCAAAATCAGTAAGCTAAAAAGAAAATTCAAACTGGAAACTGCTCAGGACAAACCTACCTCCCATTCTATTCAAAGCCATCCCTCTGCTCATTGAAATAGATGCATATTCTGATTGCCTCCTTTGGAAAGGCCTATCAGAAATTCAAAAGAAGGAAACCATCTGTCTCTCACTTACCTGTGACCTGGAAGCCCAACCCCCTCCCCCCTGCTTTGAGTTGTCCCCACCTTTCTGGATGGAACCAATGTACCACTTACATGTATTGATTGACGTCTCGTGTCTCCCTAAAATGTATAAAACTAAGCCGTGCCCCAACCACCTGGGGCACATGTCATCAGGGCTTCCTGAGGCTATGTCACAGACACACGCCCTCAACCTTGGCAAAATAGACTTTCTAAATTAACTGAGACCTGTCTCAGATTTTCTGGGTTTACATTTTGGTAACCATGAAGGGATTCTGGGTGAAGATGCCCCTGACCTTTGACAAATGTCCTATTGGTGCTTGGTACCAGCATGAGCTAACTTTACGGCTCAAACCAACAGGACAATTTGCTGAGGTCTGAGAGCACCCCCTGCAGAGAATCCCTGATTTCCAAAAATTTGGTTGAGATCTAAAATTTATTTTCCTGTACAACTCCTCTTTTCTTTGGAATTTTACTTGCTTCCAACAAGGAAGGCAAGTTTTCCTGCTTCCATGATGATGGAAGGCAGGAAACTCCTTAATGGAGTTTGAGCTAGCTTCTAACAGGGAAGATGAGTCTTTTTTTTCCTGCTTCTAGAATTGTAGAGAGCAGTCTACAGCCTGAGACACACCACTAGGTAAGAAACTGGTCTGGGATTCTGTCTGGCAAATTATTTTTAAATGACTAAAGTTAGCATTAACAACCAGCTGGTGTTAATTTCTGCTTACACTTAGAGCATTCAGAAATCATTTAATTTGTGTGATCATTGTTAGTTTTGCTTAAGTATTTTGTTGTTTGTTTCTGTCTTGTTGGGTTTTGTGTGTGTGTGTGTTTCGGTCCTTTCCTTACCAGATTTGACCAACTCCAAACCCTATACCTCATGAGTGTGGAATCTTCCACTCTGAAGAAATAAGAGCACCTTGCTCCCCTGAGCCTTTAGGGGCATTCTCAGGTGACTGAGAATCACGTGAGGGTGTCTGGGAGGAACGCTCCCTAGACCTGCAGCGGCTTTAAATAGGTTTTCCCCTCAGGAGAACATTCTTAGGGCCTAATCTCAGCCAGCAGGTGCAATATAAGGAGCTGGCTCCGCCCGCACCTTGAGCCCCTGGCACACTGTGCCAGGTAGCTGCAACACAGGTGGACCAAACTGGTTCAGGGTGTAACGGCCCTGAAAAGCTAGGTCTGCAAGCAGCACATTTTGGGTCCAACACACATCCTGACTTGGTCAAATCCGAAGGGGAACTCTAAATTATGGGTAACAAGCCACTGAAGTGGCTAAAATACCCACACACAAAAAAAAAGGTGGTATGGGCCAGGCGTGATGGCTCACACCTGTAATCTCAGCACTTTGGGAAGCCAAGGCAGGCAGATCACGAGGTCAAGAGATCAAGACCATCCTGGCCAACATGGTAAGACCCCGTCTCTTCTAAAAATACAAAAATTACCTGGGTATGGTGGCACACGCCTGTAGTCCTAGCTACTCAGGAGCCTGAGGCAGGAGAATTGCTTGAATCTGGGAGGCAGAGGTCGCAGTAAGCCGTGATCATGCCACTGCACTCCAGTCTGGTGACAGAGCAAGACTCCATCTCAAAAAGAAAAAAAAAAAGGTGGTATGGTGGGGGGAGAAAAATGGCCAGCAAAAGGAAACAAAAAAAGAGGAAAGAGAAAAGGAAACAAAAAAAGAGGAAAGATTTTTTATTTTGACTATTAAAGGGACTTTATAATGTAACAAGGCCACCTTTTTGCCAGCCAGACCAAATTGAAAGCATTGGCTGGCCCCCCACACTGCAGTTCAATAGCTAAGGTTCTGCCTTATTTTTTTCTACTATGACACGTTTGGTTCCTAAATCAAGCCCTTGCTGGTTTGATACTTGGTACTTCTGAAATAGCAGCAATTTGTCTTAGCTGAAATATAGTAATGAGATTTAAAAATATTTTTTTAAAAAGGAGCTCAATGGTTAAATGTCAGCTTAATTAAAAGCTATCATCCAAGATATGTGTGTGTGCATAAGTGCATATTCGTATTTAAAAGGCCTTTTTGTTTTTGTTTTTCTCTTCTAGAACCTTGTATTTTTTTGAGCAAAAGTTTTTTTTCTTCTGAGTTGACTGAATTCTGTTTTCAGCTGATTTTTTAACTAAAATATTTATTGCAACAGAGGCTACTCTTGAGTTAAGGAAGAATGTAGTTTAGACACTTAGACATGTCTTTGTTTAAAAAAAAATTTTAAGTGCACTGTAAAAGCATCATATGTTCTAGCCTCATAATAATTCTCCATTTTTGGAGACCCAGGATTCATTGTGGGTTCTACCCAGAACTCAGAGATCCAGTTAAAAAAATAGGTAGTTCCTATCTAAATAAAATTGGTCTCCTTAGACAATCCAATGATAAATTTCTATAATTTTATGTTCAATTGGCAAATAAATCCATTTTTAATTTCCCTCTAGCTCACCAGACATTCTATTTGTACCTTATGATATACATTTAGTTATCTAAACTGTCAGGCCTCTGAGCCCAAGCCTGCACATATACATCCAGAGGGCCTGAGGCAACTGAAGAACCATAAAAGAAGTGAAAATGGCTGGTTCCTGCCTCAACTGATGACATTACCTTGTGAAATTCCTTTTCCTGTCTCAGAAGCTCCCCCACTGAGCACCTTGTGACTCCCGCCCCTGCCTACAGGCGAACAACCCCCTTTGACTGTAATTTTCCACTACCTACCCAAATCCTATAAAACTGCCCCCCCCAAAACTCCCTTTGCTGACTCTCTTTTCAGACTCAGCCCACCTGCACCCAGGCGATTAAAAAGCTTTATTGCTCACACAAAGCCTGTTTAGTGGTCTCCTCACATGGATGCGCATGACATTAGGTGCCGTGACTTGGATCGGGGGACCTCCCTTGGGAGATCAATCCCCTGTCCTCCTGTTCTGACACTGCACTGCCTCTTGCAGCCACGCGATAAATTGTGCATAAGGCTCCCGTGATCCCTGCATAACATGTGGAAAAGTCTGCACTGGAACTCTCTCTTCAGGAATTGTGCTCCAGACACATTTGGTGGCTAAGGCAGACTGGTGGTAAGTGGCCTCTGGGAGTGTTAATTGTTATACCAGATCTGAAAAGGGGCCACTACATGTTAGCATTTCCTCTGTAATGTGTCCTTGACCAGCGGTGCAATTCTGCCTAGCCTGGTCTGCTCACATTTCTTGCCAATTTAAACTCCATGTCAGATACGCACTGGCGGATAAGCGAGTGTGAGCCAAATGTTTTATATCAAAGGGTGGAAGGCACATGGCTCCAAACACTGATTCTAACAGCCCTATAGTAAATGGGCTTTGCCCTCTATTATTAACCACGCTAGCTTTTAATTCTTTTATAATTTAAACTCTACAAGAGTGTGTTCATGTAAAAGATGTTGTAGGTCATTCAGATCAGGCCTTACAGTAATAGGAAAAGCGCAAGGTCCTAAAGGTTCACCAGCCATAGCAGCAGCACGCAACATTTTTTATATGGGGGTTTCTGCTTCTGTTATTGGAGGGGGTGGCGGAGGCCAGTTCTCCTCTCCTTTTTCCTGCGTAGCAAGTGGCCAAATCTCCTCCCCTTTCTCCTGCTCATTATTTTCAATAGGCGCTGTCAGAGGAATAAATAATCTTTTTAATTCTTGAGACTCAGAACCTGACTCCTGTTGTCCGACAGAATTAGAAGGAGACAGCAGCAGTAGGATTGTGCAAACCAAACCCCAGGCAGAAAAAACAGAAGGGTCTACTTTAAGACCTTTTTGATGAGCCCGTTTCAATCCTTCTCCTATTCTGTCCCAATTTTCCACATCAAGATTGCCTGCCTGCAGAAACCATGGGTTATGCATAATAACCTCCTGCAGAAGCTTAGTTAATGTTTGCTAATTAACTTGAGCCCCAGGCTATTTCAACAGAACTTTAAGCAACTGCACATAATGTTTTTCTTCAAGAGACAAATTCTGCCCCATGTTACCCTGATTCAGAAAATTCCCATTCCCAGTACTTCTTTAGAGCACTGACCTTATATCCACTGCCAGCAGATTCATCCCAGGGTCCCTGTTCATCTGGTCAATTTCACTTCCTCTGCTCCAGCAGACCTTCTTTGTTCATGTCCTCAAGACCCTGTTTTCGGGCAGCACTTTGCTGTGGACCTTGCTGGACTGAACAAAGGAGGACCAAGGCGGGAATAAAGACAAAGACTGAAGAGTATGTTTTGAAGAAGGGGGTCAGGGGACTCCTTGCTTCTAGTGAACAAGGGCCCTGAGCTTTTAGAGTCCTTCATATTTATTGAGTAAAGGAGATAGGGAGAAGGGGATGGTTGTGGTCAGCTGCTTGACTTAGTGCAGGTCTGCATGACTGCATTATTTGAACAGTAGGCTCCAGATGTCCCAGTAGATAACCTCAAGGAGCACGGCACCAGGGAGTGATTACTCTCAGCATACCTTCTGGCGGCAGGCACAGATGCAAGTTTGCTCACATTCTGTATTCATGATAAACAGTTTGCTGTTTGATCATATAGCCTTCAGTGGAATGCTGAGTGGGTCACAACCCTCAGGCTTTCGGTTCCCAACACAATAATAATCTGTTTTCATTTGTAACAGGACACAGTTGGAGAAACTGGTTATTTTACCAAAGCTTTAACTTGAATGGTATGCTTTCCTTTAAGGAATCAAACTTGATTTATGGAGCCAATAAAGCCACTTGGGAAACTGGACTCATAGTTTTGTCCACCTGTGGTAGGTAAAGAATGTCACTTTCTGACAGGCCCAGGAGCCCCAAGTTTACTTTGGAACCTCAAGGGGAGAGGATCACCCAACTCATAGGTATTTAATGGCACAAATCCATGGCTGAGCTCAGCTTTAAAACAGTCTTATCTGAGATTCCTCCTGTGAACCCAGAAAATGTGAGACAAGTTCCAGAAAATCCGAGACAGGTCTGTCTTTCTTTCTTTCTTTCTTCCTTTCTTTCCCCTTCCCTTCCCTTCCCTTCCCTTCCCCTCCCTTCCCTTCCCTTCCCTTCCCTTCCTTTCTTTCATTTTTAGAGGGAGTTTTGCTCTGTCGCCCAGACTGGAGTGCAATGGCACAATCTCCGCTCACTGTAATCTCCACCTCCCAGGTTCAAGCGATTCTCCTGCCTCGGCCTACCAAGCAAGTAGCTGGGATTACAGGCATCTGCCACCATGCCCAGCTAAGTTTTGTATTTTTAGTAGAGACGAGGTTTCGCCATGTTGGCCAGGCTAGTCTTGGACTCCTCATCTCGGGTGATCCGCCTGCCTCAGCCTTTCAAAGTGCTGGGATTACAGGCGTGAGCCACCGTGCCCAGCCAGGTCTCAGTTAATTTAGAAAGTTTGTTTTGCCAAGGTTGAGGATGAATACCGGTGGCACAGCCTCAGGATGTCCTGACAACATGTGCCGCAGGTGTTCAGGGCACAGCTTGATTTTATACATTTTAGACAGACATGAAACATCAATTAATATGTATAAAGAACTACATTGGTTTGGTCTGGAAAGGTGGGACAACTTGAAGCACCCACCTGCTTCGAGTTGTCCAGCCTTTCTGGATGGAACCAATGTGCTTTTTACATATATTGATAAGCCATAGCTTTTATATATATTTACAAACCAAGCTGTGCCCCGACCATCTTGGGGACATGTTGTCAAGGACTTTCTGAGACCGTGTCATGGCCACATCCTCCACCTTGGCAAAATAAACTTTCTGATTTAACTTGGACCTCTCCCAGATTTTCTGGGTTTACAAGTTCATGGTCTGGCTTATTTCTTCCTTGCTTAGGCCAAATTGAAATGAAACATTTCTGAAAACTAACAGGGATTGGCTCTTAATGTTCTTATGGGGTTTACAATGGAAATAATTACAGATAACTGACACGTGAGACTTAAATCTGGAAGAAAAGATTAAATGGGTGTGGGTATATTTGAATTTTAAATGAATAGGTGCTTCTGTGTGGCCTGACTTGGAGACAGCGGGCCAACCTAGTGTTCGCAGGAGATGTTTTCCATGATGCAAAATAATAGGAATAGAACACACCAGCTAATAATGTTCATGTTGTATTGGAAGTTTGAAGGAAAATTAGAATTATTAAATAGGCCTGTACTTTATCTTCTGTAGTACAACACTTTCAATTATATTAACAGATACTCTTTTTGAACTGTGACCAAGACCCTATCTGCTTCTTTCCAAAATTATGTTTCAGGCCGCACGCAGTGGCTTATGCATGTAATCCCAGCATTTTGGGAGGTGGAGGGAGGCAGAGGCAGGCAAATCACTTGAGCCCAGGAGTTCAAGACCAGCCTGGGCAACATGGCAAAACCCCATCTCTACAAAATACAGGAAAAAAAATTAGCCAGGCATGGTGGCATGTGCCTGTAGTCCCAGCAACCCAGGAGGCTGACGTGGAAGGATCACCTGAGCCCAAGGAAGTCAAGGCTGCAGTGAGCCATGATTGCACTACTGCACTCCAGCTTGGGCGACAGAGCAAGACCTTGTCTAAAAAAAAAAAAAAAAATTATGTTTCAACTGGAAGAGAACTAAAGGTATGCAGGGAATGTAGGGTGTCTGTTGGGCCTTTTGGACAGAATATGCTTTGAGAGGATTTGTTGGGGCTATTCCAAAAGGCGGAGTCCTCTGTGGAAAACCAGATCTGTTTACAAGGAGTATGACAATTAACATTTGCAGAGAGAGTTGGTCCGGAACCCATCAGAATGGACCACTCTCGCTCACTGCTTCCAAGTCTCAGGTTACCATGTGGTAGTGGCCAGTCTGTCTCTGTGTCTCTGTCATCAGTAAGAGTTTCCCTCACCATTCCACACAAGCCACATGAGCCTAAAAAATGTAGGGTAACAAAGTGGGATGACAGTAAACCTGAGTGGGGTCACAGAGGGATGGAGACAAGAGCCAATCCAAGGAGTGACTTTGGGTTGTTCATATCAATGCTTAGTATATAAGTCTTATTACGCAATATCTCTTCAGAGTCCCTTCACCAAAGAAGTGCATTCTATAAGCATTGTAAATAAATGCAAAACAGCTTATTTGCAAATCTGAGTGCAGCCTGTTTTCTACTGTATCATATAGGCTTACCTAATTTTTCCCTTTTTTCCACTTCCCATTTCATTTGTTATTTTATAGAGGGTGAATTGGGGTTTGTTTTTACTCTTTCTTTCGTCCTTTATTATTATTTTTTTTTTTCAGAGATGAGGTCTCACTATGTTGCCCAGGCTAGAGTGCACTGATTATACACAGGTGCAATCATAGCTCACTGCAAACTTCTGTCCTCAAGCGATCCTCCCACCTTAACCTCTAGGATAGTTAGGACTGCAGGCCTGTACCACCACACCCTGCCCAAATTGGGGGTTATTAACTTTACACTTTAGTCTCTCGTTTTCAAAATATCAATATGAACATTACCCACAGATTCCAAACTTGGAAGTGGATGCAGGAAATGACACTTTGCTTAATTTCTGTTTTAGGAGAAAGAGGGTGAATGTGTTTTCATTTGTACAAGGCATGGTTGCATATGTTAAGCAGGAGCATTTTATAGTAGTGACTGTTACGGTAATAAATGGAAATGTACATATAGAAAAATAATGCTTTTGTCAGGTATCTCTCATCTGCGTCTTTTTAACACTCTTCCTATAGGTGGGGAATTTCTCACATTAGAAGTCTCACCTTCCTGAGGTAGAAGACTGCTTTCCCAATATCCATTCTCCCTATCTTCTTTTGTCATAGAATCTTCATTTCTCCCGGGCACATTACTTCCCAGACAAAAGATGTCATTTCCAATGTGACTAAGTTCTAACCAATGATGATAAGCACAAATGATGTATGTTATTTCTAGGAAGTTTCTTTAAAAGGGAAGGAGCAACTCCCATTCCTCTTTTTCCCTCCTGTTGTTTGGAATGCAGCTGTGATGGTTGGACTCTAGCAACCACTTTGGACAAAGAGGTGACATGGAGAAGGGAAACCACATGCTGAAGATAAAGTTAACAAGCTAAGTCACTAAGGCCATTGTGAAGCTGACATTACCAGCACTTAACTGTCTGCCTCAAAAAACCTTTTTACATGAGAAATAGAAGTCTGTCCTACTTAAGCCACTGCTATTATTTGGCTATATATAGCAGAACTTAATGTGAACTAATCCACTTGATCTTCCAGCCTCCCTTGTGGCTGAGGCGAAGTCCTCTGCCCCAGACTCTGTTAATTGCACACAGTTGTGGAAGACTTCAGTTTTAAAGAAGCAAGCCCTGCTTCTTTGTTTTCTTATGAGAAGGGCAGAGGTGGAGGGATCAGGATTTTGGAGACAGCAGTGGTGAGACTGGTATCCAGTGCCACATGTCATGGGTAGGGGTTCTGGTGTTGGTGCCCAGCAATGGCTGTGTTGCCTTCTCTAGAATAATCCCACATATGATTAGGCATATTTCCTGGCTACCCAGGTTCCAAGGCCAACTCCCTGGCCCTCCCGGGGATTCAGTGAACTACCTGATATAGCTAATAAATTCTTTTGCTGTTTTAGCAACAAGGAACTCTAAGTGATATGCCACCCACCTCAGGTCTAGCAGAAGATAAAGATCTTATCTTTAATACCTTAGCCTCTATCCTACCTGCTTTGAAACACTGTCTCAAACCCAAGGTTTCTCCTAAACTTGGGTTTAATTAACCTTTATCTCTACTTTTCTGGATGTGGGAGAGATGTAACTGGCTACCAAAATCCATTGTTCCATTATAATATGCATCTATCCTTGCAACTAGATATAGCCACACAACTGAATCTCACCAATGGAATGTGAATGGTTGTGATGTGGGCAACTTCGGCCTCACTTGCATAATAGGAAGTCGCTTCCTTGGCTTGGGCAATACAGCTCTAACCAAGGAGATAAGGAAGCACCCTAAGGAATGACAGAGGCACGAGATGGAAGGAGCTCGAGTCCCTGAGTAACTTCATGGAGCAGGACGGCTTCCCAACAACCTAGAGTCTTCCCTGTAGAACTGTTACACAAAAGGAGAATAAACTGTTTTCTATAAGCTGCTGTCTTGGGGTCTCTTTCAGCTTCATCTTTTTCTGCTAATACAAGGGTAATGGGTACATATAAGGCATAGAAGTTGTAATTAACAACAGATGATTACAGATGAATGCAGAAGCCGCCAACACAGGCTGCTGTGTTTTCTGAGCACATCTCATTTTCTGATTCTATTCTGTTAATAGAAGGGGGAGACGCACTGAACACCGTATGAGCACTGCCACGAGGCACCGAACAATCTCACGGTCCAGGACTTCTGCTAGGTACTAGCCACCATTACATTATCCTTTTTGGTGGCTCAGTGTGAGGTATATAGGTTATACTACTTCTGTCTCTGACTTTAGAATGTATGTATGTTTTTATCTTTTATAATTTTGACCACAATGTTTAGAAAATCATTTTCATTTGCAATTCTCTTTGTTTACCACATCTTCCCCCTTTTTAAAGGATTGAGTTAATGTTTTTGATAATCACATTTCAAATCTTAAATGTAATATTTTACCTTTAATATAACTATGCACTTTTAATTTGAGCTTCTAAATCAGGAATCAGAAAACTACCACCACCTGCTGTTTTTTGTTCTGTTTTGGTTGTATTATTTTATATTGTGGTAATATACACATAACACAAAATTACCATCTTAACCGTGTTAACAATTCACTGACATTAAATGCATTCATAGTGTTATGCAACTATCCCCGCTATCTAGCTCCATAACTCCTTTCATCTTATAAAACTGGAATTCTATACACCTAAAATAATATTTTCCTATTCTCTCAGCCACTGACAATCAGCTTCCTACTTTCTCTTTAGATGTTTTTTGACTATGTAACATAAGTGAGATCATAAAGTTTTTGTCCTTTTGTGACTGGATTCTTTCACCTTGCATTATGTCCTCAAGGCTCACCCGTGTTGTAGCATATGTCAGAATTTCCTTTCTTTGTGAAGGCTGAATAATGCTCCTTTGTATGTATACATGATATTTCATTTATTCATTCATCTGTTGATGCACACTTGGATTGCTTCCACATTTTAGCTGTGTAATACTATTGTGAACATGGGTGTACAAGTATCTCTCTAAGAGCTTGCTTTCAGTTCTTTTGGGTGTATACTCAGAAATTGAATTGCTGCATCATATAGTAATTTTATGTTTAATTTTTTGAGGAACTGCCATACTGTTTTCCACTGTGGCTGTACCATTTTGCATTCTTACCGACAGTGCACAACAGTGCACCAGTATCTCCATACTCTCACCAGCACTTGTGATTTTCTGCTTTTCAATACCATCCTAACCGGTGTGAGGTGGCATCTCGTTATAGTTTGGATTTGCATTTCTCTAATGATGAGTCATAGTGAGCATTTTTTCATGTGCTTAGTGGACATTTTTATATCTTCTCTGGAGAAATGTCTATTCAAATCCTTTGCCCACTTTTGAATCAGGTTGTTCGGTTTTTGTTTTGTTGCAGTCATCTGTGTTTGTAAATAAAGTTCCATTGGAATGCAGTGTCCCACCATTCATTTATGTATTGTCTATGACTGCTTTTACACTATGATAATAACGCTGAGTCATTATGACAGAGCCCATTGGCCTGCAAAGCCTAAAATGTTCACTACCAGCCCTTTGCAAAAAGTGTTTGCTGACATCTGTTCTAGATCTATGTCTATTTTACTCGTCTAATATTTTCATACTGTCTACTTATCTTTTATCATAGTATTAACTCCTAACTTCTATTACTTTTTCCTTTTTATTTTTATCCCTTCTGTATTGAAGTTAAGCATTCATAAATATTTGGCTCAACTAATTTTTCTTACCAGTTTCATAAGATTCTAACTTTGCTCAAATTTTTTTTTTTTTTTTTTTTTTGAGACAAGGGCTCACTGTCGCCCAGGCTGGAGTGCAGTGGTGCGATCTTGGCTCACTGCAGCCTTGACTTCCCGGGGTCAAGCGATCCTCCTACCTCAGCCTCCTAACTGGGTGAGCACCACCATGCCCAGCTAATTTTTGTATTTTTTGTAGAGATAGGGTTTCGCCATGTGGCCTGGGCTGGTCTTGAACTCCTAGACTAAAGCGATCCACCAGCATGGGCCTCCCAAAGTGCTGGGATTGATTACAGGAGTGAGCCATTGTGCCCAGCAAATTAGTCATTTACTTCTTAATGTCCTTAACATTACACCTATTGCTCCCTTTTCAAGTGCAGCTGCAGGCAGTGATCATCTGGACAATGGCCCCACAAGACTCTCCTCAAAATCTCCCTGTTCTGGGCTACATCTCAAGGCTGGGCCTTACCAAGGCCCAACTCCACTATCCAGCCACTGTTGGAGGAACCTGCTCATCAGATGGTTATCCAATGAGTCCTGCTCCTTTGCAGATGACTTCATATAAAATACTGACACCTGCTGACCACACAGATTGCTACTGTGTGACCCAACAAACCAGGCTGCCCCATCTCAGGTTAAGCTATTCAAAGGACAGCTAGCAGCTATTAAAGCTGAAGTTACAGAGAGCTGCTGGCTCATTCTCTAAGACACGTACATGTAAAATCTTCTGAACGTTATCCTATATCTTCTCTGGTTAATACAACTATATCCAGAGCTCTAAATCCCAATAATGACTGTACAGGTTGGCAGAATCTTCCCTTGAGGGAATTCTTTCAAATTTTCACATGTGTTAAACATTTACTGTATTTCAGGAACTGTGAATGATACTCGAGGTAAAAAGTTCAGTAAGACATGGCTTTTCTCTTCAATAAATTTATGATTGAGTTTGGGTGAAAAACAAGTACCATGATTACAATACGGTGGGATACGTTTTATTGAGAAGTGTCATGACGAAGGATATCTAGATCAGGGAAGTCTATCAGGACAGGGTGAAAGAAGGCAGTCTGCCTGGGAGCTGCTCAGCCCCCTTCCCCATCAGCCTAGCCCCTCTTTGAACCATGCCAGTTCTAGACGGCCTACAGGAGCGCGAATGAGTGAGGAACTTGGCACAGAGCACCTTTCTGTAGTAATCCCCACAGTGAGGAACAGAGGGATGTGGCTAGAGGGCAGAAATGACCAAGGAAATTTATGAACCTGCCTGATCACCACCCCCAACACACACACACACACACCCATCCACTAAGCTCTGGCTGTGGACAACAGAAGACAAAAAACCACCCACAATTCGAGCACAGTCCTGAGTCAAGGGAGCCTCAGGGAATAAGACAAGACATGGCAGGCATGGTTCAGGCTTTACTGGGCATCACACGGAGCTGGGGTAGGGACCCAGCAAAGGGAGCAGGGCATACAGATGGTCTTTGAGGACAGTGCTAGGGAGCTCAGAGATCAGTCTGGCTTCTCAAAGAAGAGAAAAGCACTGACAGGAAAAGCAGTCAGGTTGGCGTTAGTGCAGGGAAAGGAAGACGTTAGGAGGGGGACTTTGATGGAGGACAGTGGGGAGCTGAAGCTTTAAAGAGCCTCGATGCGGGGAGGGATGATGTTAGAAGAAAGGAAGCCAATGAGGCCTTGGGGAAGAGAAGAGAGTAGAAAGAAGGAAAAAGGAAGAAGGCAGGTCCAGGGAGTCAGGCTGTCCTCCAGGGTCGCAGGCAGCAAGGTTGGCTCCTCCCTCCCATCTTCTGGCATCACTGGGCCCTATTTGCTGTTCCATGTAGCTGACTTTCCAAACAAAAGACCTCGGAGGAATTGGCTGGACTTCATGTAGGCAGAGATCTTCTTCAAACCCTGAGGGCGGGAAGAAGGGGCCAGAGCCAGGTCTGCTGTCTAGAAGGGCTCAAGTAGCTTTGCTGCAGGCACAGCAGGTCAGGGCCCTGGCCACAGCCTTTCCATGTGGGCTCAAGTGCTGGAGCATCACACGGTCTCTTAGGTCCCCAGCTCTTCTAAGTTAACTCTTCCAACTTCCTTTAAGTAATGTTATACCATAATAACAGCTACCATTTACGAAAGATCTACACTGTGCTGGGTGCTTTATATCCAACAGAAATTACAACACAGGCTTAGAAAATCCACTCGACTACCCTCCATGGTCAGTTCTATTATCACCGTTTCTCATATAGAAGAACAGAAGTTCAGCAACTTCCTCACACTCAAATAGCTAGTAAGTGGGACAGGGCTGGAATATAGCCTGGTTCTGTCTTCAGTTCTAGCATGTTTTTGCCAAATTCTCCTCCTCTTCCACCCAGCCACACCCCATGCCAGATCCTGTCACTCCTTGTCGGCACAAACATTCTCCTTTTTCACAGGGAGGTTCTTGGCTTGCCTAGGATTGCACACACAGAAAGGACCTCCAGCAGAACAAAGGGGCTCAGAACACACCTGTGCAGCCAAGAAGAGAGCACAGATCTCACCCAATGACTTAGCAAAACCTGGATGAAACTGAATAGGGTAAGGGTGAACCACCAAAGGAAGGCCAGACCAGGCTCTAATCATTCCCATTAAAGCATAAAGTCCAAACTTCTCCACCTGGTACCTGAGCTAAATCTCCCTATGTCCCTGTGCCCCCATCACATCTCCAGCCCTACTACTGCTAGCCAGGCCACATGACACTCAGGTGTGCTGCACACAATCTTACCAGGATTCAATGACCATGTAACTTCTAAAGAATTCAAAGAGATCCAGGGCTCCCTCTCCCCAAAGGGCCAGGGCCAGGCCCAGGCAGGCTCCATGCCCCAGCCCTCGGCTGTTCCCCACCGCTCCCCTCCCACCACCTCTTACATAACCCCAAGGCTGCTCAGGCTGGACCAGAACCAGAGCTGATGGGAACTAGCTGAGCAAGCAGATTTCTTGATGGGGAGTGGGAAAGGGAAACAGATTCTAGGCTCAGAAGCCTGTTGGACTAATGCCTCAAATCCCCAAATCTGTACTAAAGTAGGATTTGCTGCTCTCAAACAACTTCAACACAGGTGAGGGATGGTTCCCCGTGAGTGAGGGGCAGGCCCCAGGCCCGGTACCCAGGTGGTGCCACACACACCTCACAGGCTGCTCTGCCTGCAGGCCTCTCACTGCACTCATTTCCAGGATGGGGCAGTCATCTATGCAACTCCCACTGTGCCTCACACCCTGCCTCATGCAGAGGAGAAGGTCGGTGAATAGGAGTAAAATCAGTGTGCTACTCATCTCACAGGGGGAAGACGTGGAACATTGGAGGGAAAAAAAGAGAGGAAGAAAGATAAAGAAGGAGAGTGCCCCAGCACAGAGCACTTCAACACACACTGCTTCAACAGGGGCACCCACATATGTACCCTAATCCAGCTCCAGCCACAGCTCCGGATCTCAGGATTTTCCACATGGGGGTCCGATCATGCAAAGCTTCTGGGGGTGGCTATGAATACTGCCTGCAGGTTTAGTACTCAACATCAATGCCACTGTGTGTCAGTCCTACTATTGCCAGCTGCATCCGTGGTCCTGAAGTGCTCTGCCTCTTTCAAAGTGTTCTGGGCTGTGAAACCCAGGCTGGATGAGGCCTGAGGCTTCTCCTTTTGTCACAAATGGGAGAGCCCTGACTGCCACCCATAGATCCAGAGGCTCACAGGGAGCCCAGCACAGCCTCCACTGGCTCTGGGACCCTGAGCAAAGGACTGACCCTCTCATTCTCAGTTTTCTTATCTCTAAAATGGGCAAGATAATTCTGTCACCCTGTAGGAATGTTGGAAATTTCAAATTCTACACGATAGGTATAATGTGCTGGGCATGATTCCTGGCATGAAGCCCGTACTCAATACATACGAGTTATTCTTTGTGTAGCTCCAGGACTGGGAAAGCATCTGAAAGGAGAGAAAGGAACAAGGGGCATCAAAGAGAAAGGAGGATGGGGGCATCACCTCAAAGCGGGAGATGAAGTCCTTCAAGTTTAGGAAGGCGTCCAAGCACTTGGGCTCAAATATACGCTTCATGTCAAGGACATCATAGGCAAGGAAATCCACAAAGGTGATCTGAAGAAGGCCAAGAATGTGTGGGCTGAAAACCCCGAAACACATGAAGTAAAACAGATCTCATTCCCCATATCACTCCTCCTTTACCTTGTCTCCTGCAAACCATGGCCGCTTCCCCAGAAACTCTGAGTAGAGCTTTAGCTTTTCAGGGAGTTCCTCCAAGTATTTTGGCTTCAGTTTCTCCTGAGGCAGAAAACAGCTGTCACCACCCTCAGACAAAAGCTCCCTGCACAGACGTGGCCTCCCCAGGGCTGTAGATGGCCCAGGCTGGCCACAGGCAAGCAGCCATCTTCCCCACAACTAAAACCGGGGCAGTGCCCAGGCTTCAATTGGATACATCAGCATTTATTAGACTCTGACTGGGTGCCAGACCCTATCTGAAGTGATCAGAATGAGATGCTCTTCCTGAATCTGTCCTCACTGGCCTCCCAATAGCCTCTGGGTCAGCCGCATGAGCGCCCGAGCACCTGGCAGCCTCTGGATCCAGACAGGGGCAGAATCAAGGATGCAAAGAACTAAAGGAGCTCAGGGAAAGAAGTAGAAAGTTCCTTCTAATGGGGTGACAGAAGAAAACAATGAACATTGACTAGTTTCCAGGGAGATGAGAAGTTCAAGTTGAAAGGAAGGAGGGAGAGGAATAAAGGCCCTCTGGCTGCCTCTGAGCTGTCTGTTATGAAAATGCGCAGATCCCGGTGCATGTCAATGACAGCACTTGGAAAACTTTGAGGAGAAGATGCAATTTGAGGGTGCCATTACATTCCTTGGTCTTGTACTTGAGTCTGTATATTCTAGGAGCAGGTAGGTGATATAAATCAACTGACAGAAATGACCCATGACAGAGGCCAGAGGCCAGAGGAGATGAAGGAGATTCTGAACACAAATTTTACCATCTAGGAATTGAATTTCCACCGTGGGATGCCTGGATCGTGTCCTAAGATTGGTGGGAATTGCCTCTGCTTTTGTTGACATGACATTGGAGTCGTGAGAATAACTGCTGATAGTATGGGAAAGCACTTGGAGGATGAGTGGTACCAAGGACTTAAGAAAAGACCAGTGCGTGCAGGAATGCAAGAGTCCTGGCCCCAAATCCAAACTCTGCCAGGTGCAGCTCACTGGGGAGACTCACAAACTCTGGGTGGTAGCAGATCATGACCAGTTGCATCCAGTTGTCCGTGGTCTGGTTCTCCAAAATGTCCACAAGAATCTTCAGAAGAGGAGAAGATTCGTGTGGACATTTTGGAGAACCAGGTTATAGACGTCTCCAGTCAGCTGGCCGGAGTCTGCTACAGACCTGACTTTGGAAGTCCCTCCCTGGTCTGGGCCAAAAGGCAGGGAAATGGGTGACTGGGAGTGGGGTGTGGGACTCACAAAATCTGGGTCATAGCACAGTCTGACCAGCTCCATGTGGTTATCCATAACCTGGTTCTCCAAAATGTCCACACGAATCTTCTCCTCTTCTGTCTCCCCACCTGCCACCCACAAAACACAGACTCAATCTCAGCATCACAGCCCAGCCAAGGAGGAGGTCACCTTCCCCCCGCACATTGCAGCCACCCACACTCACACAGGTTGTGCTTGCGGGCAATGTAGCGCAGGATGGCATTGCTCTGGGTGATCTTGTGAGCCCCATCAATCAAGTAGGGCAGCTGGATAGATGGGAAACCGGGGAAGCTCAGTTGGGCCACCAGGCTCCCCAGCATCCCCTTCCCATATGCAAGGGCAGAGAGGAGACCAGGGCCTGCTCATGGCAGGCCTGAGATAGAAATACTGTCACACTAATAAATGAGCTGGGACACAGAACATCATGCAAGGGCTGTGTAGACAGCCAAGAGTGAGAGGAATTGGGCAGAAGACTCCTGATCTTAACACCTCTAAGGTGGGGAGAGGAGATGCAGTCAGAGACACGTCGCACTTTCCCCCAAAACCGCCCCTTCCCCTGCACCTACATTGGGAAAGTCCAGGCCCAGCTTGAATTTTTCATTCAGCCACTGGCTTCTGTCATAGTCAGGAGCTGTGGTGGGGAAGAAGTGAAAACAAACCTCCCCAGAGCCCAGCCCTCCTTCCCGGGGACCCTCCCAAGGAGCCAGTGGCAAGATCCCTGAGACAGGTGGATCTAGAATCTGACCACTCAGTCCCACATCCCAGGGTTCAGGGAGAAAGAATCCCACTGAGGGCTCTGGACCCCACAACGGCTAAGGCTTCCAGGGTTTAGGGAAGCTCTGAGGGACACCCAACCCAATTAGACAGGGTGTCCAGCATCCCGCCCCAGCATTCTGCCTTGCAAGGCCAGAGGGCTCACTCACGGGAGCTCAGGGAAGGGACAGCCTGCAGCTCCAGCAGGGGAGGCCTGCAGAGGCAGCCACAGGTGGCCACCATGGGTTGCTTGGTGCCAACTCAGCGTGAGTGGGCAGGGCCCGGACACGAGGGTGCCATTACCGTCCCCCAGCGTGTACTTCTTTTCCACATAGCTTGAGTCTGTGTATTCCAGGAGCAAGCGGATGGCGTGGGCCAGCTGGGAGAGATGGCCCGCGGCTCGGGTCAGAGATGGAGGGTCCCTGACTTGGTGACTTTCTCTGCACCAGGCCAGCCCCTAGTCTATACTGCACGTACCCGTCGCCTCCTCTACCCGCCCCCACCCCCAAACACACACACAGCGTCATGCACAGGCCCTTCTGAGGCGGGCAGCCCTGAAGAGGAACGGTCCCTAGAGCCAGTCCTGCAGCTACTCCACACATCCCCGCCTCCGCCCCCTGTCCCACCCACCAGAGGACCCTCGCTTACCCCACGGATGTCCCAGTACCCCAGAGTCATGGGCATGGTGCTGGTTGGTGCGGATTCTGCAGACAGGCATCAGCGGAGCGGGGCTCAGACTTTGAGAGGCCCAGGAGGGGACAGGCGGGGCCTT
Source organism: Homo sapiens (assembly GCF_000001405.40). Classification (NCBI taxonomy): domain Eukaryota; kingdom Metazoa; phylum Chordata; class Mammalia; order Primates; family Hominidae; genus Homo; species Homo sapiens. The sequence goes on along the minus strand of NC_000001.11, from coordinate 109,712,224 downwards.
GCTGCGACCCCGCCCCTCGGCCCGCCACAACCCCGAAACACGCCATTCTGTAGGCCCCCGAGCGAGCGCCCGGGGCTGGAATCAATAAGCCCCCTCCCGCCTCCCAGTCCCCAGGGTTCCGGGAGCGAGGTCAGGGCGCCCAGAAGCCCAAAGCGGGGCTCGGCCTCGCCAGCTTCCCCAACCCGCCCTGAGGCTCCATGAGTCCATCCAGCCCTTGCTAGGTCCACAGCGACTTGGCTGTGCGCTTGAGACACCAGCCAGATCCTAACGGAGCAAAGCTCTTCTCCCTTCTCCTCCCTGCCCGCAGAATCCCTCAGCCTTCTCTCCGCTGCCGAGTTCCCAAGGGCTCTGGGAGACTCCGGCTGCAGGGGTCAGACTAAAAAGTGGTGGTCCCAACCTGGGAATTTAATTCAGCCCCTGTCACTGTAAGAGCAGGACTTCCTCTGATCCGAAAGCTACTCCGAGGGCTTAGTCTCCCCTCTAGCCCCGCCTACACAGGAACAGTGTCAGTGGTATAGGAAGGACCCCCAGGAAAAGGGCCAGAGTAAAGGAAATGTGGTCTGTGTTTTCTGTTAGGGGCCTTTGGATACTGAGTCCTTCGGTCATCTGGCTAAGTACTATGTAAATTAGCCACTTCGTATTTTGGCACAATTTATGAATCGAAATCCAAGGATCAGATCCAGCAAGTTGGTGAGGTATCTGAGGTGCCCCCTAGAAATGTCCAGCCAGTCCACTAGGTGAACCTCACAGAGACCGGAACAGCAACAGCAACAGTGAGTGCAGTGGCCACAGAGAGCAGGCGAGGGAGGATGGAAGAACTTCCCGGACCAAACTGAGGGTCCGGCTGCTATTTCTCTAGGCCCAATAACGAGATGCAGATCAAATGGGGAGGAAGAGAGGTTTTATTTCTGCAACCAGTTACAGGGAGAAGGCCTGGAAATTACTACCAGACCAACTCAAAATTAAAGTTTTCCAGAGCATATATACCTTCTAAGGTATATGTCTACAAGTAAGTGTGCATTCATCTAAAGACATAAGTGATTAACTTCTTTAATCTGTAACTGAGGTCTGGGTCCTGAGGACCTTACTCTGGAGCCTCAGTCTATTTACTTAATCTAAATGGGTCCAGGTGCGGGGGATGATTGCCCTTATCTTGTCTCCTGCTAAATCATGGAGGTTTGGGGAGTTCCTTCAGATGCCCAGTAAACTTGTTTGTGGAGGCCTGGGGAGTTTCTTCAGACTCACAATAAAACTTGTTTAATTCTAAATAGGTCCTGTTAAGAATTCCTTCGTTGTTTTGTCATGCTTTAAGGCCCAGGAAAGGCCTAAGCAAAACTCTTGGTGGGCTTTTGTTACATCCAGCCTCTGTATAAAGGTACTGGCTTTTTTCAGCTTTTAATATTTAATTTCATCACTCAGTCAGTACTGAAACAGTTGTTATGGAGGCCTGTGTTAGTGACACCTGGTCTGCCACAGAACCTGTCCCTCAGAGAAGCCAGAACCCTGTCCTGCTGAGGAGGGAGGTCAGAGGATGGTGGCCAGAGAGGAGCCTGAGGGCTCCCCACAGGATCACAGGCAGGGACTCTCCCCTCTCCAGATCCACCATGCCGGACCTGGACCTGGCTCCTGACCCATGTGTGTTCTTCAGTATGAGACGGTGGCTCCAGTGGCCTTTGAAGTCACACCGTGATATGTGACCCATGGTACAACCTCCGCAAGAACAATGTCCAACCTGCCAACTTTCTTCTTTCAAGGTAGAAGGAAGACTTTCAAAAGAGTTGTGCAATGGATTAGCCTGGGGTTGACTGCTTTTTTTAAAGGATATTACAAATAATAATGGATATATGGAAATAGATGATAGACCTTTAATGAGAAATCATTTTGCAATGTAAACCAGGCTGTTGTGCTGCAAAAAAAGTAGTTTTTTGTTTTTTGTTTTTGTTTTTGTTTTTTTGTAAATTAGCTAAAACATTGTTAGGACTCCAGAGGATGAACCCAGTATATCAAAAAAGTTTCAAACCACCTGGATAATGTGTGGTTTGGGGTTGAGTAAACAGGTAGACTTCATCACATCCCTATTAGGCCACAGAAATCAGGTGGTCAGCAGGTGGCTGCTAAGTTGGGGCACTTGGACACTGTGTCACTGAGGCTGGCAAGGCACAGTCCTTGTTGCAAACACTCCCCACCCATCCAGACCTGGGCAGTACTCCCAGCTCAGATACCTGGCAGGTATCCATGTTTAGGAAGCAGTTTTGGCCTCACAGTGAATTCTCACATAGATTTTCCTGCATTGAGGCAATAGCACCAGCACAGACACAAGTGCCTGGCCCTAGGAATCATTATATTTCTCATTATGCATTAAGAGTTTATGATTTTGAGTTAATGGGTCTTGAGCTGTGAAAGATAAGATGTCTAGATCCAATTGATAAAAACGATTTTTTAAGAAAGCTAACACTCATGAGAATAATAATTTTGAAACACATAGAACCAGTACTGTTACATTAGTATTGTTTGAAATACTTGTTCCTTGGTTCCATAAAGAAATAGCACTTGAACATAAATTTAATTTCCTCAGCAAGGCTATCGGGGAAACTGCCCCCAGTATTTCAACATAGGTTCTATTTTCCATAAGTGTCAGCTGGCTGAGAAATAAAGAGAAAGAGTACAAAGAGAGGAATTTTACAGCTGGGCCGCCAGGGGTGACATCACATATCAGTAGGACCGTGATGCCGGCCCGAGCCTCAAAACCAGCAAGCTTTTATTAAGGATTGCAAAAGGGGAGGGGGTGTACGAACGGGGGGTAGGTACAAAGATCACATGCTTTAAGGGGCAAAAAACAGAACAGAGATCACATGCTTCTGAGGAAACAGGACAAGGGCAAAAGTAGAACTCCTGATAAGGGTCTATGTTCAGCAGTGCACGTATTGTCTTGATAAACATCTTAAACAACAGAACACAGGGTTCAAGAGCAGAGAACCAGTCTGACCACAGATTTGCCAGGGCCAGGTTTTTCCCCACCCTAGTAAGCCTGAGGGTACTGCAGGAGACCAGGGTGTACTTCAGTCCTTGTCTCAACTGCATAGGACAGACATTCCCAGAGCGGCCGTTTATAGACCTCCCCCCAGGAATGCATTCCTTTCCCAGAGTATTAATAGTAATATTCCTTGCTAGGAAAAGAATTTAGCAATATCTTCCCTACTTCCATGTCCATTTATAGGCTCCCTGCAAGAAGAAAAATATGGCTCTATTTTGCCTGACCCTGCACGCAGTCAGACCTTATGGTTGTCTTCTCTTGTTGCCTAAAAATCACTGTTATTCTGTTCTTCTTCAAGGTGCACTGATTTCATATTGTGCAAACACACATGTTTTACAATCAATTTGTACAGTTAACACAATTATCACAGTGGTCCTGAGGTGACATATATCCTCAGCTTATGAAGATAACAGGATTAAGAGATTAAAGTAAGACAGGCGTAAGAAATGTAAAAAGTAATAATTTGGGAACTGATAAATGTCCATATTAAAATGAAATATTTGCAATTTATGTTCCTCTGCCGCGGCTCCAGTCAGTCCCTCCATTCGGGGTCCCTGACTTCCCGCAACATCTCTCCCTTTCTTTTTATATAAATGTGCCATGGTGATGAAGGCTTATTCGTTCTCTCGGTTTTGACACAGGATTCTTTGGCTGGTCCGGCACACAGTATCCAGATTCCTTCTCGAGCTCCAACCAACATTACACTTTTCCTGGAGTCAAAACGGGAGTCAACACAAGTGTATAAATGACAATGCATTGGACAGTTTGATTGTTTGTCCAAATTTTGATATTTGCCACTAACAGCATGTAAGGAAGCTTAACACAACTCTGTATAGGAATAGTCAGGTTGGAGGTAAACAAAGCAGAATGCTTGAATCTATGTTGATACTGAGGGAGAGGAGCGGCGGTGGCAATGCCCGATGTTCTCCACCATAAAGAAGCAAACCGAGGTGCCTGGGGATGCTGAAGAAGTAGAGGGGCATACCTGGGTCGATAAGAATTATCGTAATGCCAATTGGAGTCCCGTAAAGGAGGATCGGCATCAAAAAGAGGAAAAAGGTTCAAAGGGGATTTATCATGGGGTTCAGAATCACAGATACTGGCAGTCCAGACATGACAATAGCCAATTTCGAAAGTTCTGGGTGTTCTGGGCTCAGAATGGGGAATATCATACAAGGCCTTGGGGGTGGAGGGTAATGTCCTTATCTTCCCATTTTAAGGTAAAGAATGAGCCGAACCACCTATGCAAAGTAGGATGATGATCCTCGTCCTCCCAATAAGAAATAAAATAAGTAGCCTCCAGGAATTCCCCTCCCCCAGAGGAGCAAGTGTTTTTTAAATAGCCCTTTGGTGCCCAGTCTATTACTAAAGCATATGAGTCATTTTTTAATACTACTGCATGTGAGTTAACACAATCTCCCCAAATTAAAGTTTTAGATGGGCCCTCAAAATTTTTAGGACATAGTTTTCCTACAGGTTTATATTGAAAGTATGGGGTATCTCCTATTACTCCCCTTTTCATTTGTCTTAAAGGACAAAGGGAGAGGCCGGAGACCAAATGTCCCCATTTTCCTGTAGCTAATCTCTCCAGAAGATAAGCAGCCCAGACTTGAGTTTCTAGATGGATACAACGAGTTGCATGTCCGAGGCACAGAGGAGGGTATTTATAACCCATAGTAACATTAAATGCAGTGCCTTCTTCTCCTGGTTGAGCAGGGCAATGGTCATCTATAGCTCCAGGCATCTACACACTATCGTTAGTGTAGATTTCCGCAGGAGCATTCATCCAGGTGAGAGGTCGAATAAGTGGAGGAAAAGGCACATAAGCCCAATAAGAATAATTTTGTGTAGCAGGCAAATCAGTGTGAGGGGAAACTGGTGAGACAGAAAGTATAAGGAGTAGAATTATTAAATAAAACCTATTGTAAGCGAGATCCAGTGCTGAAGGAGGAAGAGAAGAACAGAGGGATGTTATTTTCAGGCTAATAGAAATGGTGAGATTTTCAGGTTTGTAAGGAGAAAAAGAAAGGTAATTAGGAGAAGTGGGATTAGTTAGAGGGGTCTCTGTTGCCATTAGGGAGGATTGAATGAGATCCATTTTGATTTGGTGTGCCAGTTTTTGAGGAGTTGGCACAGATCTCACCAGGTATGAGGGCAGTCTCTGACGTGGACATCTCTTCCCTGTGTTTTTCATTGTCAGTATTCACACGAAGTTAAAGTCTTCTAGTGGGCACCCAGACAGGGGATTGATGATCTCCTGGTGAAACACAAGCATACCCTCTTCCCCACATTATAATTGTTCCAGGTTCCCAGGTATTTGTCTGGGAGTTTTTCCATAACACTGGCTTGCTTTCATTTAGGGAGAATTTTTTGCCTGTATAATGGTGTTCGGCTGCAGTCAGAGTATTGTCTTTAGGAACATTTAGAAAGTTTAAAGTAAACAATGCTAAATGGAATTGGGAGTGGGGAGTGGTTAAATTATGCTTTTAAACCATAAAGGAATTTAGTAATTCCTTCATGTTTTGGACCGAGACTGAGTCCAGGAACAGTCCCCACGTTTTCCATTATATGTTGACTGGGAGCACGAGAAGAGTTATGTGGAATATTAATTTCAGCCCCCCATTGTTCCAGCAAATATCTACCCCAAAGATTAATGGGGATTGGCATGATATAAGGCTGAATTGTTCCCTTTTGACCATCAGGCCCAGTGCAAGGCAAGATAAATGTGCTTTGGTGAACTTCATCAGCTTTTCCAACCCTTACTAGTCCCATGTTAGTGGGATGTTTAAGCCAGGAAGAAGGCCATAAATTAGAGGAAATAATAGAAACATCAGCCCCAGTATCTACTAGGCCCTCAAACTTTTTTCCTTTAATATGTATGGTGCAGGTGGGCTGTTGTTTAGAAATTACTTTAATCCAATAAGCGGCTTTTTCACCGCCAGAGCCCATCCCAGGGCCCCCTGTCTTATCTCCTTTGTTTAAAACAATATTAGGTAGTAAAAGTAGTTGAGCAATTGACTCACTGGCCGGAATGGAAACAGGAACCTTGGCAGACACGATTATTTTAATCTCATCAGAGGAATCAGAATTAATGAGACCAGTATGAACTATGATACCTTTAGCAGAGGTGGATGCCCTACCTAACACCAGGCCCACCAAACCTTGAGGTAAAGGGCCAGTGGCCCCCGTGGGGACAATTAAAGGCAAAGAATTCGGTAGTAAATTTAGAGGAGTGGTACTACAGAGATTGACCGCCCTGCCCCCTACTGTGGAGGTAGACAAGCATTGTACTGAGACAGAAGAAGCGACTGGGACCCATCTGGGTTGGCTGTAGGTAAATTTGCTTGTGCTGGGGGCTGTATTGGGACCGCTTGAAGCAGAAACACAATATTGGTCTGAGTCTGAGGTGTCCCATTTGATACTGGGGCCTGGGACTGGCCCTGCTTCCCATTTCCCTGGTTCTGTGGCAAGGGATTGCCATCTATATCAGACTTAGAGTGGCAAGTACTTGCCCAGTGTTTACCTTTACGACAATGAGGGCAAACAGTAGCAGGAGCATTTGGCCATGTTTGTTGAGCTGGCTTGGCCGCTTTTAACAGTGCAATTTTTTTGGGTATGATGAAGTTGACCACAATTATAGCAGGCTCCAAGAAAAGAATTCAGTCAAGCCAGTTTGATTGCCATCCTTCATGGCCCGTGCCCACAGAATAGCTTTGTGGGTCTCTGATCCAATGCTTTCACAAGCTTTAATATATGCAGGCACACCTCGTGATCAGGTAAATTTTGTCATTAGACAGAACGCATGACCACTTTACACTCATGGTTCGCATTCTCAAAAGCTAACATATGAAGGAGAATACCTTGAGCGTAATCATCAGAGACAGATTTTGAACAGCATCTTGTAATTTAGCCAAAAAATCAGGATGTAATTCACTGCGACCCTGTTTAACAGTAGTAAAAGAAACAGGAGCTTGGCCTGGGGCACCTAGTTTATCCCAAACTCTCATACACAACTTTGTTACTTGTTCCGTGGTGAGAGCGTCAAAGTCTAATTGGGCGGTAGTGTCAGAGTGATTATCAGAGCCTGTGAGCTGAGCCTGAGTAATTAGAATGCCATCAACCCAATTTAGCTGAGCCTGCAGACGGGCCTCCTCTGACCACCAGGTACAGAATTGTAAATGCTGAGATGGAGTTAGAACAGCTTTCGCCAAAAGGTCCCATTCTGAAGGAAGCAAAATGACCTCAGTACAAAGAGTCTGTAATGCCATTTTAACATATGGAGAAGCAGGACCATACTGAGCACAAGCATCCTTGAATTCTTTTGAAAAGGTAAGATTGAGCAGTGCATATCAACGCATTTGTACCCCTTGAGCATTGGGAGGTTCCAGCGTGACCGGATAAGCCCACACCTCTAATCCACTTGTTTCTTTGTTCTGGCGTAATAAGCATTGCATGGAAGTTTCAAGAGCAGGCACATGAGATGGAGTTGGCATAGAAGTGACAGTAAAAGTATGTGTAGATAAGGGAAACTGAGGTTCAGGAGGTCAGACCAGTATGAGAGTGTGAGAAAGGGGCATTGGGGGAGCAGAAGAGACAGAAGCATACTGGTGATTATTGGGAAATCCTGTGCAACCAGAGTGGCAGGGGCGTCCATGTGTGAAGAAGGGTACAGAGAAGCAGGTTGAGTGAATGGCAAAGTGACTGGTTGAGGGACCGAAATGACAGGAGGGTGAGGGGCTGCGGTGGGGGAGGGCCTGCAGAATTACAGGTAAATTGTAGTTTGGTCTGGAGCCATTAGATGGCTCTGGAGGCAAAGCCTGCAAAGATTTGAAAAGGGAAGAGTTAGCATAGATATGGTGCAGAGCTGTCCGAGTCAGGGCCATGGGAGCTACAAGTATCAGGTCTTCATGAAAAGAAATAAGACCATCGGGGGTGACATTAAGCCAAAGTCACCGGAGTTAGATATTGAATCCTCAATATCGTTAGGTGGGGGAGGAGTAGGCGAAGGGAGAGGCTGAGCAGATAATGAAGCCCGAGTGGGAGAGGAAAGCTGTGGAAGAGGTAGAAGGTCGCCAGATTCAGAAAACTGTGGTAACTGCAGGGGGTCACGGGATTGGTATGTCGTTAGGATGGCACATACCAAGGCCCAATCACCCCAAACAGTGAAGGGAACATAATTTCCTGATGGGATCAGTTCCTGGAATTTTGCACCAACGCGATCCCATAGTTCCACATCTAATTTTCCCTTTTCAGGAAACCAAGGACAGTGTTCTTCCAACACCCTGAATAGGGTGACCATATTTTCCATGGGCACCCAAACTCCACCCTGTTTTAACAGGAGTTTAATATAGCAGAGATAAGCATAATATTTAGACTCCATGTGACCCATAGTTACCCGAGACAATACATAGAAAATTCACCAATCATCAGGGAGCCGAACAAGCGTTTCTGAGGACTGGACTGATGATCGTTTCTCCACACCTACCAAAGGGAATCAGGTTCCCACATGCACTTAGGAAAAAGAAAACCATGTTGGTGCACCAGATATTGGGGGAACCTGCCCCCAGTATTTCAATGTAGGTTCTTTCTACTTTCCATAAGTGTCGGCTGGCTGAGAAATAAAGAGAAAGAGTACAAAGAGAGGAATTTTACAGCTGGGCTGCTGGAGGTGACATCACATATCAGTGGGACCGTAATGCCCGCCCGAGCCTCAAAACCAGCAAGTTTTTATTAAGGATTGCAAAAGGGGAGGGGGTGTACGAACAGGGGGTAGGTACGAAGATCACATGCTTTAAAGGGCAAAAAGCAGAACAAAGATCACATGCTTCTGAGGAAACAGGACAAGGGCAAAATAGAACTCCTGATAAGGGTCTATGTTCAGCGGTGCATGTATTGTCTTGATAAACATCTTAAACAACAGAACACAGGGTTCAAGAGCAGAGAACCAGTCTGACCACAAATTTGCCAGGGCCAGGTTTTTCCCCACCCTAGTAAGCCTGAGGGTACTGCAGGAGACCAGGGTGTATTTCAGTCCTTATCTCAACTGCATAGGACAGACATTCATTCCCAAAGCGACCATTTATAGACCTCCCCCCAGGAATGCTTTCCTTTCCCAGAGTATTAATATTAATATTCCTTGCTAGGAAAAGAATTTAGCAATATCTTCCCTACTTGCATGTCCATTTATAGGCTCTCTGCAAGAAGAAAAATATGGCTCTATTTTGCCTGACCCTGCGGACAGTCAGACCTTATGGTTGTCTTCTCTTGTTCCCTAAATATCGCTGTTATTCTGTTCTTTTTCAAGGTGCACTGATTTCATATTGTTCAAACACACATGTTTTACAATCAATTTGTACAGTTAACACAATTATCACAGTGGTCCTGAGGTGACCTATATCCTCAGCTTAAGAAGATAACAGGATTAAGAGATTAAAGTAAGGCAGGCATAAGAAATTATAAAAGTATTAATTTGGGAACCGATAAATGTCCATATTAAAATGAAATATTTGCAATTTATGTTCCTCTGCTGCAGCTCCAGCCGGTCCCTCCATTCGGGGTCCCTGACTTCCTGCAACAAAGGCCATTTTTACTTTCTGCAGAAAGGGTACACTCGCCAGCAGTTTTACCACGAGAGTACACTGAACAAAGGAGAAAGGGTCATTTATAACTTGATGTGTCCACCCTACTGCTGTGTCCAGTTTCCACTGGCTGGAACGGGACCTCACATTCTGTATTTGTCCTGATTGGCTAGCAACTTAGAACTTTTTAAAAGAGGCAGAGGCAGAGGAGAACAAAGGAAGGGGGAACTCACTTGTGGAACGCTGAGAAAGGTAAAAACACCTTCAAATAAGGAAGAGGAACAGGCTATGACCTCATGCTTGTTTGGATCAGTATAAGCATGCCAGGGCAAGTATTTAGGCTAAATTGTGGGAGTTAAGAACATAAAGTACATTAATTTCTTTATTACAGCTAGCAGATATTTCAGAATATCAGCACCGGTCTTTGAATAAATTTTGCTTCTAAGAGAAGTTACGACTTATTCTTAATTAGATGGGGAGAAAAGTCTCTTTGAAGAGGAACCTCTACTTTACTTTTTACAGTATTAATATATTTGGTCATTCCTTTATTGAAACAACAATTGTCGAGATCCTACTACATTCCAGGCACTATGAATAAAATGATGCTTCAAGGACGCTGTATTTGCCCATCTCCAACTACATATCAGGTGGGAACTTCAGGGGAGAGATTTTGAAAATCAGGACACATCTTCGTGTTTTGGCACACTGAGAGGCAGTGGAGTGGGAGAGGGGTTGAGTGCAGGAGAGAGAAGTAGTGCCTGCTGTTGCAAGGACTCTGAGGAGCCAGGAAGAAGGCCAGGCCCCAGGTGGCTTCTTCAGAAGCAGGAGTAGAGCTCTGCGGAAGGCGGGAAGGACTGGACTAGCGGCTCTCCAAAGTAGCTGCCATAGTGGCCACAAGGATCACACCAGCGGGGAAAGTGGGTCTGTGGACGGGGATCAGGAGCAGCAGGGATGAGGGAAGCTGCAAGTGTTCAGAAGGAAGGGGTTGTAGCCAGTTGTCACCACACAGAAACTCAGTCCCGACAGGGCCTGGACTTCTGCATTTGTATGTGCTGTCTGAACTGCAAAATGTGGAAAAGTTCTAATTTTTAAAACAATGCTGTGCCAGACAGTCAAAATGCACTGGGTCCCACTTTACCAAGGGCCTGTAATGGGACCTCTGGACTGGATTTCATAATTCCTTCTGTCTCTTCTGACAACATTCTTACATTCTCAAGGCAAATTAACAGAAAATCTACCTAACATGTTGTCAGAATTTTAAAAACTAATCTATTAGAAACAAATACTGACAGACAAAATAAAATGTATCCTAATTCATGGAAATGTATTAAAGTCTCTTAAATATTGTTTGGGTAAACTTAGGAAATCTGAAATATAAAGAATCTTTTCTTCAATCTGAAAAGAAGAAAATAAAAATCACCATTTGAAGATGCTACCAAATTTGAATTGAGAAAACATTTTTCCAACATGCCTGTGATACCAAGAATAAGGCAAACAAACTAGAATTTCAAGAAAGTAGAACAGGCACAAAGTTAGAGATGGAAACAGAAGTGGAAGCAATAAGTTACCTTAAGAGAAATATTGAAACTTTAACCAATTTGCTTGTTATATGTAATAGTTTATTCTGTTAAAAGTTAGGTAACTACACGCCTGTAATCCCCACACTTTGGGAGGCCAAGGCGGGCGGATCACGAGGTCAGGAGATCAAGACCATCCTGGCTAACATGGTGAAACCCTGTCTCCACTGACAATACAAAAAATTAGCTGGGCGTGGTGGCAGACACCTGTAGTCCCAGCTACTTGGGAGGCTGAGGCCGGAGAATGGCATGAACCAGGGAGGTGGAGCTTGCAGTGAGCCGAGATAGTGCCACTGGACTCCAGCCTGGGCGAAAGAGCGAGACTCCGTCTCAAAAACAAAAACAAAACAAAACAAAAAAAACTTAGGTAATTAACACAGCATTAGTACAACAAAAACAAAAAATATAATTATAAGTTAATACAAATCAGAACTAAGAAAGAAGATGTAGTACAAGTGATTTTTTAAATTGGGGAAACATTTTTCTAAACTCTATGTTAATTGATGTTACCACCAAGTGGAAGAAACACAAACAGGCCAAAACATGTTAAGAGATAAAGATTCTGAATGAAGTACAAAAAGCGTGATAAAGAAAAATAACAACACAAAAGGGCATTTTATCCTCAGCATTAGGCTGGATATGTTTTCAAAAATTTTGAAAATGGCATGGATGACACAGATTGTCATAAACTACAGACATGACCTAACATGGGAAGGACAACACAGGCAAGGATGATTATAAATCACTGTCACTTATCAGCCTGAATCCAAACATCAGGAATGCTACCTCAGAGAAAAGAAAATAGTGTTTTTCTTATAATGGTGTTGTGCTCATTCGGAGCTTGCTGGGGGAGACAGAGACAGAAAGGCGGGGGCAGGAGAAGGAGGGGCAGAGGGTACTCTGGGGGGCAGAAAGCCCATGTGGAAACATTAGTATCTAGGGTAATCAGAGTCGTTTCTAATCTTTCTACAATTTCTCAAACTCTGACGCTAGATCAATATAAAAAGGTAAACAAGAAAATTACATATACATATACCCATATTATTAGGTATTAATGATACTTATATTATTAACTTAAATAAATGTTCCATCAAAAAGGAATTAACTACATGAGCTACATTATGAATCTTTTTATTATTATTAATATTTTTAATGCTAGTATCCATCCAGCACACCACTGGATGTGATTCAAGTGAAGGTGATTTTGCCCCTCAGGGGACATGTAGGTCTGTCTGGAGACTTTGTTAATTGTAAACACCAGGAAGCGCCCGTGGTATTAGTGGGTAGAGGATGGGTAGGATGCTGAGCACCCTGCGATGCTCAGGACAGCGCCCCACAACAAAGAATTCTGCCCTCCAAATCTCTGTACGGCCGACCTTAAGAAACCCTAGTCTGTGATCCAGGACAGGGTCGAAAGCTGCAGTGGGAGAAACAAGGTCCTCGAAATTCTGGCTGGCAGGAAGCAGGCCAGAGGACCCACTTCCCTGGACACCAGCTGGCAGAAGGGAGGACCTAGAGACAATCTCAGCTGGTGCAGCCCATGCAGGCATCAAGCTGCACATCAGGAATCAGAGAAGGAGAATTGGGCAGGCAAACGGTCTACTAGGTGGACAGGCTGGGCAGCCTGGTCTTCCAGGGTACAGGGTAGGGAGTGGTGGGACTCTCTCTGCCAGTCAGACAGCAGGCCTCCCCTGCAGCTCTCAGCACATTGCTCCAGAGCCAGGCAGCCTGAGCCCAGCACCATCGGGTAATTCTTCTAGAGCTGCTGGGGCAAAGCTAGGCAGGATGAACTGAACTTATTTTCAAAAGGTATCCACCCTGACTGAGAAGGGTGTGTAGAAAGTTGCTACGAGTCACTGCCAACTTGTAATGGCTTGACTAGACCCTCCCTGCATTTAACACCCCCAGAGGGGTGGCCAAAAGTCAAATATATAATAAGCACCTGATGACTGCCACAGACATGGATATGAGTGATGCTAGTCACCAGACGCAGCCCCCTTCCCACTGCTCACCCACCCTTCCAAGCCTGCCAGAGACCCTCACCCAAAATGAATTAGCAAAATGTGCAAGCAGATGTTTTCATCTCTGGAGACTTTAAAACAATGATCATCAACACGGAGATTTACCAGGAAAGATAATATCTTCCCTCAAAATCTCCTTGGAGTTTACTGTGAGGCATCTCAGACAGTGCTTTCCATATAGAAAAAAACCCAGGTAATAGATATGCTGCAGCGTTTTATCTTGTGTTTGATTTTATAAAACTTACTTATTGATGATGGTGACCCATGTGTATTTTTTGTTGCTACGTGTACTAGTCAAGGGTCTTCAAAATTTGAAGTGACGCCACTAAGATAAGCCTGTAGGAAATTTGTGTGTTTATTTACAAATTTATGTATCTCTTGTGGGAACTGGCTCACATAATTTTGGAGTGAAGTCCCACGATCAGCTGGCTGCAGGACAGAGAAGCGGGAAAGGCCAGCGGTATCATTCAGTGTGAGTCTAAAGGCCTCAGAACAAAGGTGGGGGTGGGAGGCGATGGTGTTAGTCCCTGATCAAGTCTGAAGGCCAGAGAACCAGGAGTGTGGAGGTCCCAGGATAGGTGGAGATGGATGTCCCAGTCAGAGAGGTCAAATTCACCCTTCCTCTGTTTTTTCTTCTCTCTAGACCTTGACAGTTTGTTGGAAGCCCCCTTCATTGCTGAGAGAAATCTTGGCTCAGTCTTCTCATTGAAAGGCAAATCTCTTCTGGTAACACCCTCACAAACACAATGATTTTACCTGCCATCTGAGCATCCCTTAGCCCAGTCAAGTTGACACAGAAAACTAACCATCACATTATGCCACAGGAAACCAAGAACAAAATCACAATTAATTACATTGTGCCTATGGGAGAAAAAGCCTTGACTGCCACAAGATCATTCTTTAATCTTTCTCCTGGAGATGACTAAGCCACCGGTAGAGAATGGGTAAACAGAGAGTTTTATACAGGAGATTCACGAACAAGTAGATTCATAGACTGTGATTCATTGGCAGAAACATGCACAACCTATAAACAAAAAAGGTGAAGGTAGAAAATTTAAGGGTATTCTTTTTGTTGTTGTTGTTGTTGTTGTTGAGGTGGACTCTCACTCTGTCGCCCAAGCTGGAGTGCAGTGTGCAATGGCACGATCTTGGCTCAGTGCAACTTCTGCCTCCCAGGTTCAAGCGATTCTTGTGCCTCGGCCTCCTGAATAGCTGGGATTACAGTTGTCCACCACCACGCCTGGCTAATTTTTGTATTTTTAGTAGAGACAGGGTTTCACCACATTGGCTAGGCTGGTCTCAAACTCCTGACCTCAAGTGATCCACCGGCTTCAGCCTCCCAAAGTGCTGGGATTACAGGCATGAGCCACCATGCCCAGCCAGAATATTTGAAGGTGTTCTTATTAAAAAAAAAATCGTAAGATGAAATTGCGATCTCCTAAGTGCCTAAAATAGTGCAGAAAGGTCCGTGTACTGTACCTTGCTGGTGGCACCATAAATTAAGTTATTGTCTCTGGAGAGCAATCAAATTATCTGTTATACCATTAAACCAGTCTCACCCTTTACCTTATAGTAATCACCTTTGGGGATCTACTCAAAGTAACCAAAAATGGGAAGGAATTAGTCAAAACATGATCACCCTGCTCTAAAAACAAATAAATAAGTTAGAAAAATCCACATACGCCATAGCATAAGAATGACTAGGCAAACTATAGTTAATCCACAGGAACTAATGTGAGATAGCCATCAATATTAGAAGTAGGCATGCATATAGACTGCCAACATATACAGTTTTTTTTTTTTTTTTGAGACAGAGTCTTGTTCTATTGCCCAGACTGGAGAGGAGTGGCACTATCTCGGCTCACTGAAGGCTCCACCTCCCAAGTTCAAGCGATTGTCCGGCCTCAGCCTCCTGAGTAGCTGGGACTACAGGCAAGAGCCACCACACCCGGCTAATTTTTGTATTTTTACTAGGGAAGTGGTTTCACCATGTTAGCCAGGATGGTCTCGCTCTCCTGACCTCGTGATCTGCCTGCCTTGGCCTCCCAAAGTGCTGGGATTACAGGCGTCAGCCACCAAGCCCAGCCCATACACAGATTTTTTAAGTTAAATGTTAGGCCAGGCGCAGTGGCTCACACCTTTAATCCCAGCACTCTGAGGGGTAGAGGTGGGCAGATAACTTGAGGCCCGGAGTTCGAGACCAGCCTGGCCATCATGGCAAAACTTCATCTCTACCAAAAATACAAAAATTAGCCAGGTGTGGTGGTGTATGCCAGTAGTCCCAGTTACTCAGGAGGCTGAGGCACGAGAATCGCTTGAACCCAGGAGGCAGAGGTTGCAGTGAGCTGAGACTGCGCCACTGTGCTCCAGCCTGGGCAACAGAGTGAGACTCTGTCTCAAAAAAAGAAAGAGAAGTAAAATGTTAAAGAGAAAAAATGGTACAATCTAAGAGTATACATGCACACCAGTCTCACCTATCCAAAGAAGTAGGCATGAATAAAAATCTAAAGGGAATTTGAAATCACACCTTTAAGACGAACCTATAATTTGCTTAATAACTATTAAGTGAGCACCTACTATGCTCAAGGACTGTGCTAGGTGATATGCAAACACCCGTTACATCAGTGAACAAGAAGATACAAAAACACATGCCTTCATGACATTGACATATTATGAGGGAAAGCAAACCAACACAAGCACACAAATAATGTAAGACATATGTGCATGCTTTTCATTGAAGTGAATACACATACAGTGTACAGGCCTTAAGTGTGCTACTCTGTGGGCTTTTCCACTTGGATACTCTTCTGGAATCACCTCCCAGATAAAGAGAGAAAACTTACAGCACTGCACCAGGAGCCTTCAATAGGCAACCTTCCAGTTCTCACCAAGGTCACCAATCATCTGACCTCTGATACCATGGACTCATTTCCCTCCCCTGATTTTCGTGTAAGTGGAATGAGATTGTGTGTCCTTTCTCCTGTCTGGATCCTTTTACTCAACACATCTGTGAGACCCATCCATGTTTTTGCACATAGTGTTAGCACATTTATTTTCATTATAGCAGAGTAAGTATTCCATTATACGAATGATGGAATTGTGTTGATAAACCACAGTTCATTTGTTCATTCTTCTATTCATGGAATTTGGATTGTTTTCAGTTATTGGCTATTTAAAATAAAGCTGCTTTTGGCATCATTATACCTGGTTCTTGGAATCCATTAGGACTCATTCCTGTAGGGTAGGACTTCTGGGTCCTGGGTAGATGTATGTTTAGCTCTAGTTGACAGTGCCAGTATTCCAAAGTGGCTTTCCCACCAGCAATGCATGACAGTTCCAGTTACTCCATAAATCACCAACAATTGTCGGTCCTTTCAATATCAGCCATTCTAGTGGGGATACAGTAGGATCTTAGGGGTTTTTAACTTTCTGCTGTCTAATGATGTTGAGCACCTTCTCATGAGCTTAGTGGCCATTTGGATATTCACTTTTGGGAAATGCTTGTTGAAATTCTGACTCATTTTTTAATGAGTTGTATTTTCGGATATATAGTTTTTGGAGAAGAGACCTTTGTTGATTTGTAACAAGTACTCCCTGCTGAGCCTTGCGTGAATACCTGACCCACAGACTCAACAACTATTTCTGGTATCACAGCTTAGGAACTGCTAAGCTATGAGAATCTTCCTCTGAAGCAGTTCACTCTCCAGTGAGATTTTAAATTACTTCAAGAAGATGCAATGCAGATAAAGATATGGGATTGCTGTCAGGGTGGAGGAAGCCTATGCTTAGAAAGTTCCTGCAATGATGTGAGTCAGGAAGAGATCAACCTGTAGATCCCCACACGGCCTTTGGAATTATAGACCTCAGAATGATAAACAGAAAAAGCTTAAGTAAAAAAGCAAAAGATATGGTCAGGCGCAGTAGTTCGCGCATGTAATTCCAGAACTTTGGGAGGCCTAGGTGGGTGGATCACGAGGTCAGGAGTTTGAGACCAGCCTGGCCAACACGGTGAAAACCTGTCTCTAAAACAAAAATACAAAAATTAGCTGGGCACAGTGGTGTGCGCCTATAGTTCCACCTACTTGGGAGGCTGAGGAAGGAGAATCGTTTGAACCTGGGAAGGGGAGGTTGCAGTGAGACAAGATCACACCACTGCACTCCAGCCTGGGTGACAGAGTAATACTCCCTCTCAAAATAATAATAATAATTTTTAAAAAGCAAAAGATGCTGTCAGAACTGGCATCCACCTACTCACCAGAAATGCTCAATTCTAGAAAAGAGCGAGTAAATCTATTAGAGGTCTGAAGGTTTTCATCATAGAATTCTATCCCCAGCTGATATGGTTTGGCTGTGTCACCACCCACATCTTACCTTGAATTGTAATAATCCCCAGGTATCAAGGGTGGGGGCCGGGTGCAGAAAACTGAATCGTGGGGGCAGTTTCCCCCATACTGTTCTCATGGTAGTGAATAAGTCTCACAAGATCTGATGGTTTTATAAGTGGGAGTTCCCCTGCACACGCCCTCTTCCCTGCTGCCATGTAAGACATTACTTTGGTCCTCATTCGCCTTCTGCCATGGTTATGAGGCCTCCCAGGCCCTGTGGAACTGTGAGACCTTTAAACCTCTTTCCTTTATCAATTACCCAGTCTCGGGTATGTCTCTATTAGCAGCGTGAGAACAGACTAAATCCTCAGCCAGAGTATTCAGTAAGCATGTAAAGGCACTTTCAGTTATGCAAGGACTAAAGACATTTCTCTCACAGGTACCCAGGAAAGAGAGGAAGTAAACCCAGAGAGAACGTCCTGATGACAGCTGTGCAGCAAGCCTGGAGAGGGTACCTGGAAGCCATCTGAGAAAAACAATAGAGATTGGGTCCTGGAGACCTAACAGAAGTGATGTAGTCATATAGTGGAGAAGGTAAAAGGGACCCTGGTTCTCTCTGATGGAGATTCCACCCCCTTGGGGTCCTATTCAATGAGACACAAGCTCTGTGCAATTATGGAAAGTACTCAATACGGCTGGATGAATGAATGGGACATCCAGGCCAAGAAAGAGACATCCTTTCCACAGTGCCTCATGGGGCTTCCTGCTCTGAGTCTCTCAGGAATGGGAGCAAGAATTCTCAAGCGCCTTACTATGCCCAGCAGAATCCTTTAGAACCCAGCCACTGCCAGGATCACCAGCCAGTCCCTTGGAAGAGGCAGTGACAGACAGACAGACAGTCTGGGTAGATGGCCAGGAGCAAATAAGACAAGACACACAGCAAATGTGGTTGAGGCTTTACTTCCATCAGGTAGGCCTAAGGCAGGGACCATGCTGCAGGAGCAGGGCCTGTAAACCAGTCAATGCTGCTCCTTCATGCAACACGGGGACAGCTCGGGGCTGAGCTCCACAGGCGAGGGGCCAGGCAGGCCCTTTAAAGCAGACACAACCACTAACAGGAAGGAAGGTCAGGCTGGCTTTAGTGCAGGGAAGGGTAATGATGGGAGGGGATGTTCACGAAGGATAGTGGGTAGCTGAGGCTTCAAAGGGCCTGCATGGGACAGGGGTTTAGGGGGAGTGAAGAGGGACAATGAAGTCTTGGGAGTAAAGATGGGAATAAACAGGAGAAAGGAACGAGGAGGCAGGTGCTGGGATGCAGAGTCCAGCTGCGCTGCACAGCCTGGGCAGCAGGCTGAGTATGGGCTCCTCACTCCCACCTCCTGGCCTTCAAGGCCCTACTTGTTGCCCCAGACAGCCATCTTTGAGAACACAGGTCTTGGGAGGAAGCGGCTGGACTTCATGTAGGCAGAGATCTTCTCCAAGCCCTGAGAGGGGGGAAAATAAGGCCAGAACTCAAGGTCAGCTGCCCATGAGGGCTGGGACAACCCCACTGCAGACACAGCAGGTCAGGGCCCTGGCCACAGCCTTTCCATGTGGGCTCAAGTGCTGAGGCATCACACAGCTTCTTAGGGTCCCCAGATTTGCGGAGTTAACTCTTCCAACTTCCTTTAAGTAATGTTGTACCACAGTAACAGCTAACACTTATGAAGATTCTACACGGTGCTGGGTGCTCTGTACCCAAGAGAAATTACAACGTAAGCTTAGAAAACCCACTCGACTGCTCTGCAAGGCTGAATCTATTATCACCATTTCTCATGTGGGAAACAGAAGTTCAGCAACTTCCTTACATTTAAATACCTAGTAAGGGGAATAGAACTGCAGTGTAGCCTGGTTCTGTCTCTCTCCAGTTCTGGCCTCTTCCTGACAAATTCTCTTCTTCTTCTGCCCCACCACCCCTCACACCAGGCCCTGTCACTCCTTGACTGCACAAACAGTCTCCTTTTCCACAGGGAGGCTCTTGGCTTGTCTGGGTATAGAGACACAGAAGGGACCTCCAGCAGAACAAAGGGGCTCTGAACACACTCACCCAATGTCTCAGTAAAACCTGGATGAAAGTGGAATGGGGGGTGGCAGTGCACAAGAAAATCAAAGGCGAGACTAGGCTCTAAACATTCCCCTTAAAGCAGAAAGTCCAAAGTTCTCCATCTAATACCTGAGCAAAATCTCACTGTGCCCTAACCCATGGCATCTCCAGCCCTGCTGCAGATCAGGCTACATGATACTCAGATGTGCTGTGCACAATCTTACCAGGATTGAATGCCCAGATAAGGTATTCAAAAACATCCGGCTCACACCTGTAATCCCAGCACATTGGGAAGCCGAGGTGGGTGGATCACCCGAGGTCAGGAGTTCAAGACCACCCTGGCCAACATGGTGAAAGCCCATCTCTACTAAAAATAGAAAAATTAGCTGGGCGTGGTGATAGACACTTGTAATCCCAGCTACTCGGGAGGCTGAGGCAGAGAATTGTTTGAACCCGGGAGGCAGAGGTTGCAGTAAGCCGAGGTCACGCAACTGCACTCCAGCCTGGGCAACAGCAAGACACGATCTCAAAAAAAAAAAAAAAAAAAAGATCCAGGACTGCCTGTTCTCAAACTGATTGACCCTGGCATGTCATAGGCCATAGACCTCAGCTCTCCTCCACCCCTCCCTTCCCACCACCTCTTACATAACTCCAAGGCCACTAAGCCTGGACCAGAACCAGAGCTGATGGGAACTAGCTGAGCAAGCAGATTTCTTGATGGGAAAGGGAAACAGATTCTAGGCTCAGAAGCCCGTTGGACTAATGCCTCAAATTCCCAGATCTGTACTAAAGTAGGATTTGTGCTCTGAAACAAGATCAGCAAGGGTGAGGGATGGTTCCCCGTGAGTGAGGGGCAGGCCCCGGGCCTGGTACCCAGGTGGTGCCACACACACCTCACAGGCTGCTCTGCCTGCAGCCCTCTCACTGCACTCATTTCCAGGATGGGGCAGTCATCTATACATCTCCCACTGTGCCTCACTCCCTGCCTCATGCAGAGAAGGTCGGTGAATAGGAGTAAAATCAGCATGCTACTCATCTCACAGGGGGAACACGTGGAACACTGGAGGGAAAAAAGAGGAAGAGGAGTGGCTCATATCTGTAATCCCAGCACTGAGGGAGGCTGATGTGGGCAGATCACCTGAGGTCAGGAGTTCGAGACCAGCCTGACCAACATGGCAAAACCCCATCTCTACTAAAAATACAAAAATTAGCCAGACGTGGTGGTGCACACCTGTAATCCCAACTAATCGTGCAGCTGAGGCAGTAGAATCGCTTGAACCCAGGAGGCGGAGGTTGCAGTGAGCCAAGATCACTCCATTGAACTCCAGCCTGGGCAACAGAGCAAGACTCCAGCACAAAAAAAAAAAAAAAAAAAAAAAAAGAATAGAGGTGGAGTAAGGAAGTGCCCCAGCACCGGGCATTTCAACATATACTCCTTCAACAGGGACACCCACATATGTACCTTAATCCAGCTACAGCCACAGCCCTGGCTCTCAGGATTCCCCACACTGGGGTCCAATCATGCAAAGCTTCTGGAGGTAGCTATGAATATTGCCTGTGGGTTCAGTACTAGACATCAATGTCACCGTTGTGTCAGTCCTACTATTGCCAGCTCCATCTATGGTCATGAAGTTCTCTGCCTCTTCCAAAGTGTCCTGGGCTGTGAAACCCAGGCTAGGTGAAGCCTAAGGCTTTTTCTTCTGTCACAAATGGGAGAGCCCTGACTGCCACCCATAGATCCAGAGGCTCACAGGGAGCCCAGCACAGCCTCCACTAGCTCTGGGACCCTGAGCAAAGGACTGACCCTCTCATTCTTAGTTTCCTTATCTCTAAAATGGGCGAGATAATTCTGTTACCTTACTGGAATGTTATAAAATTCAAATTTCACACAATAGGTATAATGTGCTGGGCACGGTTCGTGGCATGAAACCAGTACTCAATACATGCGAGTTATTCTGTGTGTAGCTCCAGGACTGGGAAAACATCTGAAAGGAGGTAACGGAACAAGGGGCATCAAAGAGAAAGGAGGATGGGGGCATCACCTCAAAGCGGGAGATGAAGTCCTTCAGATTTGGGAAGGCGTCCAAGCACTTGGGCTCAAATATACGGTGGAGGTCAAGGACATCATAGACGAGAAAATCTACAAAAGTGATCTGCAGAAGGCCAAGAATATGTGGGCTGGAACCTCCATAACACGTGAAGCAAAACAGATCTCATTCCCCATATCACTCCTCCTTTACCTTGTTTCCTGCAAACCATGGCCGCTTCCCCAGAAACTCTGAGTAGAGCTTTAGCTTTTCAGGGAGTTCCTCCAAGTACTTTGGCTTCAGTTTCTCCTGAGGCAGAAAACAGCTGTCACCACCCTCGGACAAAAGCTCCCTGCACAGACGTGGCCTCCCCGGGGCTGTGGACGGCCCAGGCTGGCCATGGGCAAGCAGCCATCTTCCCCAAGCTGGAACTGGGGCAGTGCCCAGGCTTCAATTGGATACATCAGCATTTATTAGACTCTGACTGAGTGCCAGACCCTATCTAAACTGATCAGAAGGCAGAGAGGAATGAGATGCTGTCCCTGAATCTGTCCTCACTGACCTCCCAATAGCCTCTGGGTCAGCCCCAGGAGCGCCCAAGCACCTGGCAGCCTCTGGATCCAGACCAGCAGAATCAAGGATGCAAAGAACTAAGGGAGCTCAGGGAAAGTAGAAAGTTCCTTCTAATGGGGTGGCAGAAGAAAACAATGAACATTGACTAGTTTCCAGGGAGATGAGAAGTTCAAGTTGAAAGGAAGGAGGGAGAGGAATAAAGGCCCTCTGACTGCCTCTGAGCTGTCTGTTATGAAAATGCGCAGATCCCTGTGCATGTCAATGACAGCACTCAGAAAACTGTTGAGGAGAAGATGCAATTCGAGGGTGCCATTACATTCCTGAGTCTTCTACTTGAGTCTGCATATTCTAGGAGCAGGCAGGTGATGTGAACTGGCTGACAGAAATGACCCAGGACAGAAGTCAGAGGCCAGAGCTGATGAAGGAGATTCTGAACACAAACTTTACCATACAGGAACTGAATTTCTACCCTGGGATGCCTGGATCGTGTCCTAAGGTTGGTGGGAATTGCCTCTGCTTTTGTTGACATGACATTGGAGTCGTGAGAATAACTGCTGATAGTATGGGAAAGCACTTGGAGGATGAATGGTACCAGGGACTTAAGACCAGTGTGTGCAGGAATGCAAGAGTCCTGGCCCCAAATCCAAACTCTGTCAGATGCAGCTCACTGGGGACACTCACAAATTCTGGATTGTAGCAGATCATGCCCAGCTGCATATGGTTGTCCATGGTCTGGTTCTCCAAAATGTCCACACGAATCTTCTCCTCTTCTGTCTCCCCACCTGCCACCCACAAAACACAGACTCAATCTCAGCATCACAGCCCAGCCAAGGAGGAGGCCACCTTCCCCCCACACATTGCAGCCACCCACACTCACACAGGTTGTGCTTGCGGGCAATGTAGCACAAGATGGCGTTGCTCTGGGTGATCTTGTGAGCCCCATCAATCAAGTAGGGCAGCTGGATGGATGGGAAACCGGCGAAGCTCAGTTGGGCCACCAGGCTCCCCAGCATCCCCTTCCCATAAGCAAGAGCAGAGAGGAGACCGGGCACTCACTGTGCCTGCTCATGGCAGGACTGAAATAAGAATACTGTCACATGAACGAATGCAGGTGGACACAGAACATCATGGAAGGACTGTTTAGACAGCCAGGAGTGAGAGGAATTGGGCAGAAGACTCCTGATCTTAACACCTCTAAGCTGGGGAGAGGAGATGCAGTCAGAGACACGTTGCACTTTCCCCCAAAACCGCCCCTTCCCCTGCACCTACATTGGGAAAGTCCAGGCCCAGCTTGAATTTTTCATTCAGCCACTGGCTTCTGTCATAATCAGGAGCTGTGGTGGGGAAGAAGAAGTGAAAACAAACCTCCCCAGAGCCCAGCCCTCCTTCCCGGGGACCCTCCCACGGAGCCAGTGGCAAGATCCCTGAGACAGGTGGATCTAGAATCTGACCACTCAGTCCCACATCCCAGGGTTCAGGGACAAAGAATCCCGCTGAGGGCTCTGGACCCCACACAGCTAAGGCTTCCAGGGTTTAGGCAAGCCCTGAGGGACACCCGTCCCAATTAGACAGGGGGCCCAGCATCCCACCCCAGCATTCTGCCTTGCAAGGCCAGAGGGCTCCCTCACCGGGGCTCAGGGAAGAGACAGCCTGCAGCTCCAGCAGGGGAGGCCTGCAGAGGCAGCCACAGGTGGCCACCATGGGTTGCTTGGTGCCAACTTAGCGTGAGTGGGCAGAGCCCGAACACGAGGGTGCCATTACCGTCCCCCATCGTGTACTTCTTTTCCTCATAGCTTGAGTCTGTGTATTCCAGGAGCAGGCGGATGGCGTGGGCCAGCTGGGAGAGATGGCCCGCAGGTCGCGTCAGAGATGGAGGGTCCCTGACTTTGTCTGCACCAGGGAAGCCCCCAGTTTACACTGCACGTACCCGTTGCCTCCTCTACCCGCCCACACCCCCAACACACACACAGCGGCATGCACAGGCCCTTCTGAGGCGGGCAGCCCTGAAGAGGAACGGTCCCTAGAGTCCGTCCCGCAGCTGCTTCGCACTTCCCTCCCCTGCGCCCTCGTCCCACCGTCCAGCGGACCCTCGCTCACCCCGCGGATGTCCCAGTACCCCAGTATCATGGGCATGGTGCTGGTTGGTGCGGATTCCGCAGACAGGCCTAAACCGAGCAGGGCTCAGAGTATAAGAGCTCCGGAGAGGGGACAGGCGGGGCCTTGCTGCGACCCCGCCCCTCGGCCCGCCACAACCCGAAAGGCGCCATTCTGGAGGCCCGGGAGAGGGCGCCTGGGGCTGCACTCAGTAAGACTTCCTCCCGCCTCCCAGGCCCGAGGGTTCCGGGAGCGAAGTCAGGGCGCCCAGAAGCCCAAGGCGGGGCTCGGCCTCGCCAGCTTCCCTACCCAGCCCTGAGGCTCCACGAGTCCATCCAGCCCTTGCTAGGTCCACAGCGACTTGGCTGTGCGCTTGAGACACCAGCCAGATCCTAACGGAGCAAAGCTCTTCTCCCTTCTCCTCCCTGCCCGCGGTGTCCCTCAGCCTTCTCTCCGCTGCCGAGTTCCCAAGGGCTCTGGGAGACTCCGGCTGCAGGGGTCAGACTAAAAAGTGGTGGCCCCAACCTGGGAATTTAATTCAGCCCCTGTCACTGTAAGAGCAGGACTTCCTCTGATCCGAAAGCTACTCCCAGGGCTTAGTCTCCCCTCTAGCCCCGCCTACACAGGAACAGTGTCAGTGGTATAGGAAGGACCCCCAGGAAAAGGGCCAGAGTAAAGGAAATGTGGTCTGTGTTTTCTGTTAGGGGCCCTCGGGTACTGAGTCCTTCGGTCATCTGGCTAAGTACTGTGTAAATTAGCCACTTCGTATTTTGGCACAATTTATGAATCGAAATCCAAGGATCAGATCCAGCAAGTTGGTGAGGTATCTGAGGTGCCCCCTAGAAATGTCCAGCCAGTCCACTAGGTGAACCTCACAGAGACCGGAACAGCAACAGCAACAGTGAGTGCAGTGGCCACAGAGAGCAGGCGAGGGAGGATGGAAGAACTTCCCGGACCAAACTGAGGGTCCGGCTGCTATTTCTCTAGGCCCAATAACGAGATGCAGATCAAATGGGGAGGAAGAGAGGTTTTATTTCTGCAACCGGTAACAGGGAGAAGGCCTAGAAATTACCACCAGACCAACTCAATATTACAAAGTTTTCCAGAGCATATATACCTTCTAAGGTATATGTCTACAAGTAAGTGTGCATTCATCTAAAGACATAAGTGATTAACTTCTTTAATCTGTAACTGAGGTCTGGGTCCTGAGGACCTTATTCTGGAGCCTCAGTCTATTTATTTAATCTAAATGGGTCCAGGTGCGGGGGATGATTACCCTTATCTTGTCTCCTGCTAAATCACGGAGGTTTGGGGAGTTCCTTCAGACGCCCAATAAACTTGTTTGTGGAGGCCTGGGGAGTTTCTTCAGACTCACAATAAAACTTGTTTAATTCTAAATAGGTCCTGTTAAGAATTCCTTCATTGTTTTGTCATGCTTTAAGGCCCAGGAAAGGCCTAAGCAAAACTCTTGGTGGGCTTTTGTTACATCCAGCCTCTGTATAAAGGTACTGGCTTTTTTCAGCTTTTAATATTTAACTTCACCACTCAGTCAGTACTGAAACAGTTGTTATGGAGGCCTGTGTTAGTGACGCCTGGCCTGCCACAGAACCTGTCCCTCAGAGAAGCCAGAACCCTGTCCTGCTGAGGAGGGAGGTCAGAGGATGGTGGCCAGAGAGGAGCCTGAGGGCTCCCCACAGGACCACAGGCAGGGACCCTCCCCTCTCCAGATCCACCATTCCGGACCTGGACCTGGCTCCTGACCCATGTGTGTTCTTCAGTATGAGACGGTGGCTCCAGTGGCCTTTGAAGTCACACCGTGATATGTGACCCATGGTACAACCTCCACGAGAACAATGTCCAACCTGCCAACTTTCTTCTTTCAAGGTAGAAGGAAGACTTTCAAAAGAGTTGTGCAATGGATTAGCCTGGGGTTGACTGCTTTAAAGGATATTGCAAATAATAATGGACATATGGAAATAGATGATAGACCTTTAATGAGAAATCATTTTGCAATGTAAACCAGGCTGTTGTGCTGCAAAAAAAGTAGTTTTTTTGTTTTGTTTTGTTTTGTTTTGTTTTGTTTTGTTTTTTGTAAATTAGCTAAAACATTGTTAGGACTCCAGAGGATGAACCCAGTATATCAAAAAAGTTTCAAACCACCTGGATAATGTGTGGTTTGGGGTTGAGTAAACAGGTAGACTTCATCACATCCCTATTAGGCCACAGAAATCAGGTGGTCAGCAGGTGGCTGCTAAGTTGGGGCACTTGGACACTGTGTCACTGAGGCTGGCAAGGCACAGTCCTTGTTGCAAACACTCCCCGCCCATCCAGACCTGGGCAGTACTCCCAGCTCAGATACCTGGCAGGTATCCATGTTTAGGAAGCAGTTTTGGCCTCACAGTGAACTCTTACATAGATTTTCCTGCATTGAGGCAATAGCACCAGCACAGACACAAGTGCCTGGCCCTAGGAAACATTATATTTCTCATTATGCATTAAGAGTTTATGATTCTGAGTTAATCCGTCTTGAGCTGTGAAAGATAAGATGTCTAGATCCAATTGAAAAAAAAAACGATTTTTTAAGAAAGCTAACACTCATGAGAATAATAATTTTGAAACACATAGAACCAGTACTGTTACATTAGTATTGTTTGAAATACTTGTTCCTTGGTGCCATAAAGAAATAGCACTTGAACATAAATTTAATTTCCTCAGCAAGGCTATTGGGGAACCTGCCCCCAATATTTCAACGTAGGTTCTTTCTATTTTCCATAAGTGTCAGCCAGCTGAGAAATAAAGAGAAAGAGTACAAAGAGAAGAATTTTACAGCTGGGCCGCCAGGGGTGACATCACATATCGGTAGGACCATGATGCCTGCCCGAGCCTCAAAACCAGCAAGTTTTTATTAAGGATTGCAAAAGGGGTGGTGGTGTACGAACAGAGGGTAGGTACGAAGATCACATGCTTTAAAGGGCAAAAAGCAGAACAAAGATCACATGCTTCTGAGGAAACAGGACAAAGGCAAAAGTAGAACTCCTGATAAGGGTCTATGTTCAGTGGTGCACATATTGTCTTGATAAACATCTTAAACAACAGAACACAGGGTTCAAGAGCAGAGAACCAGTCTGACCACAAATTTGCCAGGGCCAGGTTTTTTCCCCACCTGAGGGTACTGCAGGAGACCGGGGTGTATTTCAGTCCTTATCTCAACTGCATAGGACAGTCATTCATTCCCAAAGCGGCTGTTTATAGACCTCCCCCCAGGAATGCATTCCTTTCCCAGAGTATTAATATTAATATTCCCTGCTAGGAAAAGAATTTAGCAATATCTTCCCTACTTGCATGTCCATTTATAGGCTCTCTGCAAGAAGAAAAACATGGCTCTATTTTGCCCGACCCTGCGGACAGTCAGACCTTATGGTTGTCTTCTCTTGTTCCCTAAAAATCGCTGTTATTCTGTTCTTTTTCAAGGTGCACTGATTTCATATTGTTCAAACACACATGTTTTACAATCAATTTGTACAGTTAACACAATTATCACAGTGGTCCTGAGGTGACCTATATCCTCAGCTTAAGAAGATAACAGGATTAAGAGATTAAAGTAAGGCAGGCATAAGAAATTATAAAAGTATTAATTTGGGAACTGATAAATGTCCATATTAAAATGAAATATTTGCAATTTATGTTCCTCTGCTGCAGCTCCAGCCGGTCCCTCCGTTCGGGGTCCCTGACTTCCTGCAACAAAGGCCATTTTTACTTTCTGCAGAAAGGGTACACTCGCCAGCAGTTTTACCACGAGAGTACACTGAACAAAGGAGAAAGGGTCATTTATAACTTGATGTGTCCACCCTACTGCTGTGTCCAGTTTCCACTGGCTGGAACGGGACCTCACATTCTGTATTTGTCCTGATTGGCTAGCAACTTAGAACTTTTTAAAAGAGGCAGAGGCAGAGGAGAACAAAGGAAGGGGGAACTCACTTGTGGAATGCTGAGTAAGGTAAAAACACCTTCAAATAAGGAAGAGGAACAGGCTATGACCTCATGCTTGTTTGGATCAGTATAAGCATGCCAGGGCAAGTATTTAGGCTAAATTGTGGGAGTTAAGAACATAAAGTACATTAATTTCTTTATTACAGCTAGCAGATATTTCAGAATATCAGCACCGGTCTTTGAATAAATTTTGCTTCTAAGAGAAGTTACGACTTATTCTTAATTAGATGGGGAGAAAAGTCTCTTTGAAGAGGAACCTCTACTTTACTTTTTACAGTATTAATATATTTGGTCATTCCTTTATTGAAACAACAATTGTCGAGATCCTACTACATTCCAGGCACTATGAATAAAATGATGCTTCAAGGACGCTGTATTTGCCCATCTCCAACTACATATCAGGTGGGAACTTCAGGGGAGAGATTTTGAAAATCAGGACACATCTTCGTGTTTTGGCACACTGAGAGGCAGTGGAGTGGGAGAGGGGTTGAGTGCAGGAGAGAGAAGTAGTGCCTGCTGTTGCAAGGACTCTGAGGAGCCAGGAAGAAGGCCAGGCCCCAGGTGGCTTCTTCAGAAGCAGGAGTAGAGCTCTGCGGAAGGCGGGAAGGACTGGACTAGCGGCTCTCCAAAGTAGCTGCCATAGTGGCCACAAGGATCACACCAGCGGGGAAAGTGGGTCTGTGGACGGGGATCAGGAGCAGCAGGGATGAGGGAAGCTGCAAGTGTTCAGAAGGAAGGGGTTGTAGCCAGTTGTCACCACACAGAAACTCAGTCCCGACAGGGCCTGGACTTCTGCATTTGTATGTGCTGTCTGAACTGCAAAATGTGGAAAAGTTCTAATTTTTAAAACAATGCTGTGCCAGACAGTCAAAATGCACTGGGTCCCACTTTACCAAGGGCCTGTAATGGGACCTCTGGACTGGAATTCATAATTCCTTCTGTCTCTTCTGACAACATTCTTACATTCTCAAGGCAAATTAACAGAAAATCTACCTAACATGTTGTCAGAATTTTAAAAACTAATCTATTAGAAACAAATACTGACAGACAAAATAAAATGTATCCTAATTCATGGAAATGTATTAAAGTCTCTTAAATATTGTTTGGGTAAACTTAGGAAATCTGAAATATAAAGAATCTTTTCTTCAATCTGAAAAGAAGAAAATAGAAATCACCATTTGAAGATGCTACCAAATTTGAATTGAGAAAACATTTTTCCAACATGCCTGTGATACCAAGAATAAGGCAAACAAACTAGAATTTCAAGAAAGTAGAACAGGCACAAAGTTAGAGATGGAAAAAGAAGTGGAAGCAATAAGTGACCTTAAGAGAAATATTGAAACTTTAACCAATTTGCTTGTTATATGTAATAGTTTATTCTGTTAAAAGTTAGGTAACTACACGCCTGTAATCCCCACACTTTGGGAGGCCAAGGCGGGCGGATCACGAGGTCAGGAGATCAAGACCATCCTGGCTAACATGGTGAAACCCTGTCTCCACTGACAATACAAAAAATTAGCTGGGCGTGGTGGCAGACACCTGTAGTCCCAGCTACTTGGGAGGCTGAGGCCGGAGAATGGCATGAACCAGGGAGGTGGAGCTTGCAGTGAGCCGAGATAGTGCCACTGGACTCCAGCCTGGGCGAAAGAGCGAGACTCCGTCTCAAAAACAAAAACAAAACAAAACAAAAAAAACTTAGGTAATTAACACAGCATTAGTACAACAAAAACAAAAAATATAATTATAAGTTAATACAAATCAGAACTAAGAAAGAAGATGTAGTACAAGTGATTTTTTAAATTGGGGAAACATTTTTCTAAACTCTATGTTAATTGATGTTACCACCAAGTGGAAGAAACACAAACAGGCCAAAACATGTTAAGAGATAAAGATTCTGAATGAAGTACAAAAAGCGTGATAAAGAAAAATAACAACACAAAAGGGCATTTTATCCTCAGCATTAGGCTGGATATGTTTTCAAAAATTTTGAAAATGGCATGGATGACACAGATTGTCATAAACTACAGACATGACCTAACATGGGAAGGACAACACAGGCAAGGATGATTATAAATCACTGTCACTTACCAGCCTGAATCCAAACATCAGGAATGCTACCTCAGAGAAAAGAAAATAGTGTTTTTCTTATAATGGTGTTGTGCTCATTCGGAGCTTGCTGGGGGAGACAGAGACAGAAAGGCGGGGGCAGGAGAAGGAGGGGCAGAGGGTACTCTGGGGGGCAGAAAGCCCATGTGGAAACATTAGTATCTAGGGTAATCAGAGTCGTTTCTAATCTTTCTACAATTTCTCAAACTCTGACGCTAGATCAATATAAAAAGGTAAACAAGAAAATTACATATACATATACTCATATTATTAGGTATTAATGATACTTATATTATTAACTTAAATAAATGTTCCATCAAAAAGGAATTAACTACATGAGCTACATTATGAATCTTTTTATTATTATTAATATTTTTAATGCTAGTATCCATCCAGCACACCACTGGATGTGATTCAAGTGAAGGTGATTTTGCCCCTCAGGGGACATGTAGGTCTGTCTGGAGACTTTGTTAATTGTAAACACCAGGAAGCGCCCGTGGTATTAGTGGGTAGAGGATGGGTAGGATGCTGAGCACCCTGCGATGCTCAGGACAGCGCCCCACAACAAAGAATTCTGCCCTCCAAATCTCTGTACGGCCGACCTTAAGAAACCCTAGTCTGTGATCCAGGACAGGGTCGAAAGCTGCAGTGGGAGAAACAAGGTCCTCGAAATTCTGGCTGGCAGGAAGCAGGCCAGAGGACCCACTTCCCTGGACACCAGCTGGCAGAAGGGAGGACCTAGAGACAATCTCAGCTGGTGCAGCCCATGCAGGCATCAAGCTGCACATCAGGAATCAGAGAAGGAGAATTGGGCAGGCAAACGGTCTACTAGGTGGACAGGCTGGGCAGCCTGGTCTTCCAGGGTACAGGGTAGGGAGTGGTGGGACTCTCTCTGCCAGTCAGACAGCAGGCCTCCCCTGCAGCTCTCAGCACATTGCTCCAGAGCCAGGCAGCCTGAGCCCAGCACCATCGGGTAATTCTTCTAGAGCTGCTGGGGCAAAGCTAGGCAGGATGAACTGAACTTATTTTCAAAAGGTATCCACCCTGACTGAGAAGGGTGTGTAGAAAGTTGCTACGAGTCACTGCCAACTTGTAATGGCTTGACTAGACCCTCCCTGCATTTAACACCCCCAGAGGGGTGGCCAAAAGTCAAATATATAATAAGCACCTGATGACTGCCACAGACATGGATATGAGTGATGCTAGTCACCAGACGCAGCCCCCTTCCCACTGCTCACCCACCCTTCCAAGCCTGCCAGAGACCCTCACCCAAAATGAATTAGCAAAATGTGCAAGCAGATGTTTTCATCTCTGGAGACTTTAAAACAATGATCATCAACACGGAGATTTACCAGGAAAGATAATATCTTCCCTCAAAATCTCCTTGGAGTTTACTGTGAGGCATCTCAGACAGTGCTTTCCATATAGAAAGAAACCCAGGTAATAGATATGCTGCAGCGTTTTATCTTGTGTTTGATTTTATAAAACTTACTTATTGATGATGGTGACCCACTTGTGTATTTTTTTTTTTTTTTTTGCTATGTGTACTAGTCAAGGTTCTTCAAAATTTGAAGTGACACCACTAAGATAAGCCTGTAGGAAATTTGTGTGTTTATTTACAAATTTATTTATCTCTTATGGGAATTGGCTCACACAATTTTGGAGTGAAGTCCCACAATCAGCTGGCTGCAGGACAGAGAAGCAGGAAAGCCAGCGGTATCATTCAGTGTGAGTCTAAAGGCCTCAGAACAAAGGTGGGGGTGGGAGGCGATGGTGTTAGTCCCTGATCAAGTCTGAAGGCCAGAGAACCAGGAGTGTGGAGGTCCCAGGATAGGCGGAGATGGATGTCCCAGTCAGAGATATCAAATGCACCCTTCCTCTGTCTTTTTCTCCTCTCTGGGCCCTGACAGTTTGGTGGATGCCTCCTTCATTTGCTGAGAGAAATCTTGGCTCAGTCTTCTGATTCAAAGGCGAATCACTTCTGGAAACACCCTCACAAACACAATAATTTTACCAGCCATCTGAGCATCCCTTAGCCCAGTCAAGTTGACACAGAAAACTAACTAACCATCACATTATGCCACAGGAAACCAAGAACAAAATCACAATTAATTACATTGTGCCTATGGGAGAAAAAGCCTTGACTGCCACAAGATCATTCTTTAAGCTTTCTCCAGGAGTTGACTAAGCCACCAGTAGAGAATGGGTAGAGAGTTTTATACAGGAGATTCACAAACAAGTAGATTCATAGACTGTGATTCATTGGCAGAAACATGCACAACCAATAAACAAAAAAGGTGAAGGTAGAAAACTTGAAGGTATTCTTTTTTTCTTTTTTTGAGATGGAATCTCACTCTGTCACCCAAGCTGGAGTGCAGTGTGCAATGGCACGATCTTGGCTCACTGCAACCTCTGCCTCCCAGGTTGAAGTGATTCTTGTGCCTCAGCCTCCTGAATAGCTGGGATTACAGGTGCCCACCACCATGCCCGGCTAATTTTTGTATTTTTAGTAGAGACAGGGTTTCACCATATTGGCTAGGCTGGTCTCAAACTCCTGACCTCAAGTGATCCACCCGCCTCGGCCTCCCAAAGTGCTGGGAATACAGGCATGAGCCACCATGCCCAGCCAGAAAATGTGAAGGTGTTCTTATTAAAAAAAAAAAATCATAAGATGAAATCGCGATCTCCTAAGTGTCTAAAATAGTGCAGAATGATCCGTGTACCTTGCTGGTGGCACCATAAATTAAGTTATTGTCTCTGGAGAGCAATGAAATTATCTGTTGTAATACCATTAAACCAGTCTCATCCTTTACCTTGTAGTAAGCGCTTTGGGGATCTACTCAAAGTCACCAAAAACGGGAAAGAATTAGTCAAAACATGATCACCCTGCTCTAAAAACAAATAAATAAGTTAGAAAAATCTACACATGCCATAGCATAAGAATGACTAGGCAAAATATAGTTTATCCACAGGAACTAATATGAGATAGCCATCAATATTAGAAGTAGGCATGCATATAGACTGCCAACATATACAGTTTGTTTTTTTTTTTTTTTTGAGAGGGAGTCTTGTTCTGTTGCCCAGGCTGGAGAGGAGTGGCATGATCTTGGCTCACTGCAGCCTCTGCCTCCTGAGTTCAAGCAATTGTCCTGCCTCAGCCTCTTGAGTAGCTGGGACTACAGGCAAGCTCCACCACGCCCAAAAATACAAAAAAAAATAATTTTGATATTTTTAGTAGAGATGTGGTCTCACCGTGTACAAGCCAGGATGGTCTCGATCTCCTGACCTCGTGATCTGCCCCCTCGGCCTCCCAAAGTGCCGGGATCACACTCATGAGCCACTGCGCCCAGCCCATATACAGATTTTTAAGTAAAATGTTAGGCCAGGAGTGGTGGCTCACACCTGTAATCCCAGCACTTTGAGGGGTAGAGGTGGGTGGATAACTTGAGGCCCGGAGTTTGAGACCAGCCTGGCCATCATGGCAAAACCTCATCTCTACTAAAAATACAAAAATTAGCCAGGTGTATGCCTGTAGTCCCAGCTACTCAGGAGGCTGAGGCAAGAGAATCGCTTGAACCCAGGAGGCAGAGGTTGCAGTGAGCTGAGATTGCACCACTGTGCTCCAGTCTGGGCAACAGAGTGAGCCTCTGTCTCAAAAAAAAGAAGTAAAATGTTAAAGAGAAAAAACTGTAGAATCTAAGAGTAAACACGCACACCAGTCTCACCTATCTGAAGAAGTAGGCATGAATAAAAATCTAAAGAGAATTTGAAATGACACCATTAAGATGAACGTATAATTTGCTTAATAATTGTTCAGTGAGCACCTACTATGCTCAGGGACTGTCCTAGGCGATATGCAAACACCTGTTACATCAGTGAACAAGAAGAGAGAAAAACACATGCCCTTATGATGTTGATATCTTATGAGGGAAAGCAAACACAAGCACACAAATAATGTGCATGCTTTTAACTGAAGTGTAATACACATGCAGTGCACAGGCCTTAATGCATGCTTTTCATTGAAGTGTAAGATACATACAGTGGACAGGCCTTAAGTGTGCTACTCTGTGGGCTTTTCCACTTGTGTACTCTTCTGGAATCACCTCCCAGATAAAGAGAGAAAACTTACAGCACTCCACCAGGCCCCTTCAATAGGCAACCTTCCAGTTCTCACAAAGTTCACCAATCATCTGACCTCTGATACCATGGAATCATTTCCCTCTCCTGATTTTCGTGTAAGTGGAATGAGATTGTGTGTCCTTTCTCCTGTCTGGATCCTTTTACTCAATACGTCTGTGAGGCCCATCCATGTTTTTGCACATAGCGTTAGCATGTTTATTTTCATTATACCAGAGTAAGTATTCCATTATATGAATGATGGAATTATGTTGATAAACCACAGTTCATTTGTTCATGGAATTTGGATTGTTTTCAGTTATTGGCTATTTAAAATAAAGCTGCTTTTGGCATCACTACACCTGGTTCTTGGAATCCATTAGGACTCATTCCTGTAGGGTGGGATTTCTGGGTCCTGGGTAGATGTAGGTTTAGCTCTAGTTGACAGTGCCAGTATTCCAAAGTGGCTTTCCCACCAGCAATGCATGACAGTTCCAGTTACTCCATAAATCACCAACAATTGTCGGTCCTTTCAATGTCAGCCATTCTAGTGGGGATACAGTAGGATCTTAGGGGTTTTTAACTTTCTGCTGTCTAATGATGTTGAGCACCTTCTCATGAGCTTAGTGGCCATGTGGATATTCACTTTTGGGAAATGCTTGTTGAAATTCTGACTCATTTTTTAATGAGTTGTATTTTCGGATATATAGTTTTTGGAGAAGAGACCTTTGTTGATTTGTAACAAGATCTCCCTGCTGAGCCTTGCGTGAATACATGACCCACAGACTCAACAGCTATTTCTGGTATCACAGCTTAGGAACTGCTAAGCTATGAGAATCTTCCTCTGAAGCAGTTCACTCTCCAGTGAGATTTTAAGTTACTTCAACAAGAGGCAATGCAGATTGCTGTCAGGGTGGAGGAAGCCTATGCTTAGCATGTTCCTGCAAGGATGTGAATCAAGAAGAGATCAACCTGTAGATCCCCACACAGCCTTTGGAATTATAGACCTCAGAATGACAAACAGAAAAAGCGTAAAAAAGCAAAAGATATAGCCAGGCAGAGTGGCTCACGCATGTAATTCCAGAACTTTGGGAAGCCGAGGTGGGTGGATCACGAGGTCAGGAGTTCGAGACCAGCATGGCCAACATGGTGAAAACCCGTCTCTAAAACAAAAATACAAAAATCGGCTGGGCACAGTGTGCACGCCTGTAGTCCCAGCTACTCGGGAGGCTGAGGAAGGAGAATTGTTTGAACCCAGGAAGGGGAGGTTGCAGTGAGACGAGATCACACCACCACACTCCAGCCTAGGCGACAGAGTAATACTTCCTCTCAAAATAACAACAATAATAATAATTTTTAAAAAGCAAAGGATGCAGTCAGACTGGCATCGACCTACTCACCAGAAATGCTCAATTCTAGAAAAAAGTGAATAAATCTATTAGAAGTCTGAAGGTTTTCATCATAGAATTCTATCCCCAGCTGATATGGTTTGGCTGTGTCCCCACCCACATCTTACCTTGAATTGTAATAATCCCCAGGTGTCAAGGGTGGGGGCCGGGTGCAGAAAACTCCATCATGGGGGCAGTTTCCCCCATACTGTTCTCACGGTAGTGAATAAGTCTCACAAGATCTGATGGTTTTATAAGTGGGAGTTCCCCTGCACACGCCCTCTTGCCTGCTGCCATGTAAGACATTACTTTGGTCCTCATTCGCCTTCTGCCATGGTTATGAGGCCTCCCAGGCCCTGTGGAACTGTGAGTCCTTTAAACCTCTTTCCTTTATCAATTACCCAGTCTCGGGTATGTCTCTATTAGCAGCGTGAGAACAGACTAAATCCTCAGCCAGAGTATTCAGTAAGCATGTAAAGGCACTTTCAGTTATGCAAGGACTAAAGACATTTCTCTCACAGGTACCCAGGAAAGAGAGGAAGTAAACCCAGAGAGAACGTCCTGATGACAGCTGTGCAGCAAGCCTGGAGAGGGTACCTGGAAGCCATCTGAGAAAAACAATAGAGATTGGGTCCTGGAGACCTAACAGAAGTGATGCAGTCATATAGTGGAGAAGGTAAAAGGGACCCTGGTTCTCTCTGATGGAGATTCCACCCCCTTGGGGTCCTATTCAATGAGACACAAGCTCTGTGCAATTATGGAAAGTACTCAATACGGCTGGATGAATGAATGGGAGATCCAGGCCAAGAAAGAGACATCCTTTCCACAGTGCCTCATGGGGCTTCCTGCTCTGAGTCTCTCAGGAATGGGAGCAAGAATTCTCAAGCGCCTTACTATGCCCAGCAGAATCCTTTAGAACCCAGCCACTGCCAGGATCACCAGCCAGTCCCTTGGAAGAGGCAGTGACAGACAGACAGACAGTCTGGGTAGATGGCCAGGAGCAAATAAGACAAGACACACAGCAAATGTGGTTGAGGCTTTACTTCCATCAGGTAGGCCTAAGGCAGGGACCATGCTGCAGGAGCAGGGCCTGTAAACCAGTCAATGCTGCTCCTTCATGCAACACGGGGACAGCTCGGGGCTGAGCTCCACAGGCGAGGGGCCAGGCAGGCCCTTTAAAGCAGACACAACCACTAACAGGAAGGAAGGTCAGGCTGGCTTTAGTGCAGGGAAGGGTAATGATGGGAGGGGATGTTCACGAAGGATAGTGGGTAGCTGAGGCTTCAAAGGGCCTGCATGGGACAGGGGTTTAGGGGGAGTGAAGAGGGACAATGAAGTCTTGGGAGTAAAGATGGGAATAAACAGGAGAAAGGAACGAGGAGGCAGGTGCTGGGATGCAGAGTCCAGCTGCGCTGCACAGCCTGGGCAGCAGGCTGAGTATGGGCTCCTCACTCCCACCTCCTGGCCTTCAAGGCCCTACTTGTTGCCCCAGACAGCCATCTTTGTGAACACAGGTCTTGGGAGGAAGCGGCTGGACTTCATGTAGGCAGAGATCTTCTCCAAGCCCTGAGAGGGGGGAAAATAAGGCCAGAACTCAAGGTCAGCTGCCCATGAGGGCTGGCACAACCCCACTGCAGACACAGCAGGTCAGGGCCCTGGCCACAGCCTTTCCATGTGGGCTCAAGTGCTGAGGCATCACACAGCTTCTTAGGGTCCCCAGATCTGCGGAGTTAACTCTTCCAACTTCCTTTAAGTAATGTTGTACCACAGTAACAGCTAACACTTATGAAGATTCTACACGGTGCTGGGTGCTCTGTACCCAAGAGAAATTACAACGTAAGCTTAGAAAACCCACTCGACTACTCTGCAAGGCTGAATCTATTATCACCATTTGTCATGTGGGAAACAGAAGTTCAGCAACTTCCTTACATTTAAATACCTAGTAAGGGGAATAGAACTTCAATGTAGCCTGGTTCTGTCTCTCTCCAGTTCTGGCCTCTTTCTGCCAAATTCTCTTCTTCTTCTGCCCCACCACCCCTCACACCAGGCCCTGTCACTCCTTGACTGCACAAACAGTCTCCTTTTCCACAGGGAGGCTCTTGGCTTGTCTGGGTATAGAGACACAGAAGGGACCTCCAGCAGAACAAAGGGGCTCTGAACACACTCACCCAATGTCTCAGTAAAACCTGGATGAAAGTGGAATGGGGAGTGGCAGTGCACAAGAAAATCAAAGGCGAGACTAGGCTCTAATCATTCCCCTTAAAGCAGAAAGTCCAAGGTTCTCCATCTGGTATCTTAGCAAAATCTCACTGTGCCCTAACCCATGGCATCTCCAGCCCTGCTGCAGATCAGGCTACATGACACTCAGATGTGCTGTGCACAATCTTACCAGGATTGAATGCCCAGATAAGGTATTCAAAAACATCCGGCTCACACCTGTAATCCCAGCACTTTGGAAGGCCGAGACGAGTGGATCACCTGAGGTCAAGAGTTGGAGACCAGCCTGGCCAACATGGTGAAAACCCATCTCTACTAAAAATACAAAAATTAGCTGGTCATGGTGGCGGGCACCTGTAATCCCAGCTACTTGGTAGGCTGAGGCAGAGAATTGCTTGAACCCAGGAAGCGGAGGTTGCAGTGAGCCAAGATCGCACCAATGCACTCCAGCCTGGGTGACAGGCTTGACCCTGGCACATAACGGGCCATAGCTCTCAGCTCTCCTCCATCCCTCCCTTCCCACCACCTCTTACCTAACTCCAAGGCCACTCAGCCTGGACCAGAACCGCAGAACCAGAGCTGATGGGAACTAGCTGAGCAAGCAGATCTCTTGATGGGGAGTGGAAAAGGGAAACAGATTCAAGGCTCAGAAGCCTGTTGGACAAATGCCTCAAATCCCCAAATCTGTAGTAATGTAGGATTTGCTGCTCTCAAACAAGTTCAGCACACACTTCACAGGCTGCTCTGCCTGCAGGCCTCTCACTGCACTCATTTCCAGGATGGGGCTGTCATCTATGCATCTCCCACTGTGCCTCACACCCTGCCTCATGCAGAGGAGAAGGTCAGTGAACAGGAGTAAAATCAGCGTGCTACTCATCTCACAGGGGGAACACCTGGAACATTGGAGGGAAAAAAAGAGAGGAAGAGGCCAGGCGCGGTGGCTCACGCTTGTAATCCCAGCACTTAGGGAGGCTGAGGTGGGTGGATCACCTGAGGTCAGGAGTTTGAGACCAGCCTGGCCAACATAGCAAAACCCCATCTCTACTAAAAATACAAAAATTAGCTGGACGTGGTGGTACACACCTGTAATCCCAGCTACTCAAGAGGCTGAGGCAGGAGAATCACTT
Organism: Homo sapiens; assembly: GCF_000001405.40. Lineage (NCBI taxonomy): Eukaryota > Metazoa > Chordata > Mammalia > Primates > Hominidae > Homo > Homo sapiens. The sequence goes on along the minus strand of NC_000001.11, from coordinate 109,672,968 downwards.
GAACCCAGGAGACAGAGGTTGCAGTGAGCCGAGATTGCTCCACTGCACTCCGGCCTGGGTGACAGAGCAAGACTCCGTCTCAAAAAAAAAAAAAAAAAAAGAGGTAGAGAAGGAAAGTGCTCCAGCACAGGGCATTTCAGCATAAGCTCCTTCAACAGGGGCACCCACATATGTACCTTAATCCAGCTCCAGCCACAGCCCTGGCTCTCAGGATTCCCCACATGGGGGTTCAATCATACAAAGTTTCTGGGTGTAGCTGTGAATACTGCCTGTGGGTTCAGTATTGAACATCAATGCTACTGTGTGTCAGTCCTACTATTGCCAGCTGCATCCGTGGTCCTGAAGTGCTCTGCCTCTTCCAAAGTGTCCTGGGCTATGAAACCCAGGCTGGACAAGGCCTGAGGCTTTTCTTTTGTCACAAAACGGAGAGCCCTGACTGCCAACCATAGATCCAGAGGCTCGCAGGGAGCCCAGCACAGCCTCCACTGGCTCTGGGACCCTGAGCAAAGGACTGACCCTCTCATTCTCAGTTTCTTTGTCTCTAAAATGGGGGAGATAATTCTACCACCCTGTAGGAATGTTGTAAATTTCAAATTCAACACAATAGGTATAATGTGCTGGGTACAGTTCGTGGCATGAAGCCAGCACTCAATAAATGCAAGTTATTCTTTTCTTCTTTTTTTTGTTTGAGATGGAGTTTCACTCTTGTTGCCCAGGCTGGGGTGCAATGGCACGATCTTGGCTCACCGCAACCTCCGCCTCCCAGGTTCAAGAGATTCTCCTGCCTCAGCCTCCCTAGTAGCTGGGATTATAGGCATGTGCCACCACGCCCAGCTAATTTTGTATTTTTAGTAGAGACAGGGGTCTCACCATGTTGGTCAGGCTGGTCTCGAACTCCCGACCTCAGGTGATCCACCCAACTCGGCCTCCCAAAATGCTGGGATTACAAGTGTGAGCCACCATGCCCGGCTCCTTTTTTTTTTTTTTTTTTTTTTCTTGAGATGGAGTCACACTCTGTCATACAGGCTGGAATGCAGTGGCACGATCTTGGCTCACTGCAACTTCCACCTCCCAGGTTCAAGTGATTCTCCTGCCTCAGCCTCCCAAGTAGCTGGGATTACAGGTGCTCGCCACCACGCCCAGCTAATTTTTGTATTTTTTTTTAGTAAAGATGGGGTTTTGCCATGTTGGGCAGGCAGGTATCAAACTCCTAACCACAGGTGATCTGCCTCCCTCAGCCTCCAAAGCGCTGAGATTACAGGCGTGAGCCACCGCACATGGCCAAAAATGTGAGTTATTCTTTGTGTAGCTCCAGGACTGGGAAAGCATCACAAAGGAGGGAAAGGAATAAGAGACATAAAGAGAAAGGAGGCTGGGGGCATCACCTCAAATCGGGAGATGAAGTCCTTCAGGTTTGGGAAGGCATCCAGGCAGCTGGGCTCAAATACTTGGTTTCTCTCAAGGACATCATAAGCGATGAAATCCACAAAGGTGATCTGGATAAGGCCAAGGATATGTGGGCTGAAACCTCCATAATATAGGAAGTATGACAAATCTGTGGTGTCCCCATCACACGCCCCCATTACCTTGTCCCCAAGAAACCATGGCTGCTTCCCCAGAAACTGTGAGTAGAGCTTCAGCATTTCAGGGAGTGCCTGCAGGTATTCTGGTTTCAGTTTCTCCTGAGGCAGAAAACAGCTGTCAACACCCTCAGACACAAGCTCCCTGCACAGATGCGGCCTCCCAGTTTTGTGCATGGCCCCAGCTGGCCGCGGGCAAGCAGTCATCTTCCCCACAGCTGGAACTGGGTCACTGTCCAGGCTTCAGCTGGATACATCAGCATTTATTAGACTCCAACTGGGTAGCTGGAGTCTTTCTGAGGTGATGGGATGGCAGAGCGGAATGTGACACTGTCCCTAAATCTGTCCCCACTGACCTCCCAACAACCTCTGGGTCAGCCCCAGGAGCACCTGAGCACCTGGTAGGCTCTGGACCAGATATGAGCAGAATCAAGGATGCAAAGAACTAAAGGAGCTCAGAGAAAGAAGTAGAAATTTCCTCCTAGTTGGGCAGCAGTAGAATACAATGGACATTGAGTGGTTTCTGGAAAGATGAGGAGATATTCAGAGGATAAGTGGAAGAAAGGAGGGGGAAAAAGAGCCTCTGGCTGCCCCTAAGCTGTCTGTTAGGAAAATTCGCTGATCTCAGTGTATGTCAAGAGAGCACTCGGAAGACACCAAAATTTCAGGTGCCATTACTCCTTTGTTTTGCACTTGTTTTCCTCATAGTTTGTGTATTCCTAAAGCAGGCAGATGATATAAACCACTGGGAGAGATGGCCCAAAGCACAGGTCATGGGTCAGAGATGGAAGGGATTCTGGAAGTAACCATTACTGTCTAGAGAGTGAATTCATACCCTGGGGAGTCAGGATTCTATAAGTAGATTGGTGGGGAATTGATTTAGAGGTTTTATTTGACACGACTTTGGGGTTTGAGGGTCACTCTGGTGGCAGTATAGGAAATAGCTTGAAGGATGAGTAGCACTAAAGAGTTCAAACAGAAAACAGGACCCGTGTATTTGGCAGGACCACAGTCTTGGCTCCTGATCAAAATGAGAGGTGAAGCTGGCTGGGCTTCTGGGTCAGGTGAGGACTTGGAGAACTTTTCTGCCTAGCCAAAGGATTGTAAATGCACAAATCAGCGCTCTGTGTCTAGCTAAAGGTTTGTAAACGCACCAATCAGCACTCTGTAAAAACAGACCAATCAGCACTCTGTAAAACGGACCAATCAGCACTCTGTAAAATGGACCAATCAGCTCTCTGTAAAATGGACCAATCTGCATGTGGGTGGGGCCAAATAAGGGATTTCCCCCCCCACCTCCGCCCTTCCCAAGCAGCAGTAGCAACCTGCTCAGGTTGTCTTCCAGGCTGTGGAAGTGTATTTTCTTTCACTCGTCACCATAAATCCTGCTGTTGCTCACTCTTTGGGTTTGAACTACCTTTATGAGCTATAACATTCACTATGAAGGTCTGCAGCTTCACTCCTGAAGCCAGCCAGACCATGAACCCACCAAGAGGAATAAACAACTCCAGACGCGCCACCTTTAAGAGCTGTAGCACTCACTGCGAAGGTCTGCGGCTTCACCCCTGAAGTCAGCAAGACCACAAACCCACCGGAAGGAAGAAACTGCGGACACATCTGAACATCTGAAGGAACAAACTCCGGACACACCATCTTTAAGAACTGTAACACTCACCGTGTAGGACCGCGGCTTCATTCTTAGAGTCAGCAAGACCAAGAACTCACCAGAAGGAATCAATTTTGGACACAAACTCTGCAGGGAAAGGGGAGACTGGGAGTAGGGAAGGGGAGACTGGGAGTGGGGTGGGGGGACTTACAAAATCTGGGTCATAGCAGAGTTTGGCCAGCTGCATACGGCTGTCCATAAACTGGTTCTCCAAAATGTCTTCGCGAATCTGCTCCTTTTCTGATTCCCCGCCTACCCTCGTAAAGCAGATTCACTCTCAGCCTCACAGCCCAGCCAAGCCGAGGAGGAGGCCACGGTCCCTCCCCGCATCTTGCAACCAAATCTACTCACACAGGTTGTGCTTGCGGGCAATGTACCGCAGGATGGCGTTGCTCTGGGTGATCTTGTGAGTCCCATCAATCAAGTAGGGCAGCTGGATAGATGGGAAACCGGGGAAGCTCAGTTGGGCCACCAGGCTCCCCAGCATCCCCTTCCCATATGCAAGGGCAAAGAGGAGACCAGGGCCTGCTCATGGCAGGCCTGAGATAGAAATACTGTCACACTAATAAATGAGCTGGGACACAGAACATCATGCAAGGGCTGTGTAGACAGCCAAGAGTGAGAGGAATTGGGCAGAAGACTCCTGATCTTAACACCTCTAAGCTGGGGAGAGGAGATGCAGTCAGAGACACGTCGCACTTTCCCCCAAAACCGCCCCTTCCCCTGCACCTACATTGGGAAAGTCCAGGCCCAGCTTGAATTTTTCATTCAGCCACTGGCTTCTGTCATAATCAGGAGCTGTGGTGGGGAAGATGAAGTGAAAACAAACCTCCCCAAAGCCCAGCCCTCCTTCCTGGGGACCCTCCCAAGGAGCCAGTGGCAAGACCCCTGAGACAGGTGGATCTAGAATCTGACCACTCAGTCCCACATCCCAGGATTCAGAGAAAAAGAATTCCAGTGAGGGCTCTGGACCCCACACAGCTAAGGCTTCCAGGGTTTAGGCAAGCCCTGAGGGACACCCATCATAATTACCCAGACGGGGGCCCAGCATCCCGCCCCAGCATTCTGCCTTGCAAGGAGCTCCCTCACCAGGGCTCAGGGAAGGGACAGCCTGCAGTTCCAGCAAGGGAGGCCTGCAGAGTCAGCCACAGGTGGCCACTATCGGTTGCTTGGTGCCAACTTAGTGTGAGGGGGCAGGGCCCAGACTCGAGGGTGCCATTACCGTCCCCCATCGTGTACTTCTTTTCCTCGTAGCTTGAGTCTGTGTATTCCAGGAGCAGGCGGATGGAATGGGCCAGCTGGGAGAGATGGCCCACAGCTCGGGTCAGAGATGGAGGGTCCCTGACTTTGTGACGACTCTGCACAAGGGGAGCCCCATCTCCTCCTCTCGTTCCTGCCTCACCCGCCCCCACCCCGCACGCCCAGCCACACGCACAGACAGCGGCAAGCACAGACCCCGCTGTCAGGGACAGCCCTGAAGAGGAACCGTCCCTAGAGCCCGTCCTGCAGCTGCTCCACACTTCCCCGCCCCCACGCACCCCCGTCCCACCGCCCAGCGGACCCTGGCTCACCCCGCGGATGTTCCAGTACCCCAGTGTCATGGGCATGGTGCTGGTTGCTGTGGATTCTGCAGACAGGCCTCAGCGGGGCGGGGCTCAGCGTTTGTGAGAGGCCCAGAGAGGGTAGAGGGGAAGCCTTGCTGCGACCCCGCCCCACGGCCCGCCCTGCCCCCGAAACGGGCCAATCTGGAGGCCTGGAGCGCGCTCATGGGGCTAGGAGTAGGATCTCCTCCCACCTCCCAGCCCCGTGGGTTTCAGGAGAGAGATCAGGACGCCCAGAAGCCCAGGGCGGGGGAGAACTGGTTGAGTCCAGGGGTTCAAGACTGAACTGAGCTATGATCGCGCCGCTGCACTCTAGGTTAGGCAAGAAAGAAAGGCTCTCTCTAAAACAGAGAGATTCTGAATAAAGTAATAATAGCCTAATAAAGAAAAATAACACAAAAGAACATTTGGTGCTCAGGGATTCACTGGATAAGTTTTCAAAACTTTTCAATGTATGATAGAGATTGTTATAAACTGCGGACATACGTGGCATGACAGACCTAACGTGGGAAGGACAACACAGGCAAGGATGATTATAACTCACTGTCACTTATCAGCCTAAATCCAAACGTCAGGAATACCGCCTCAGAGAAAAGAAAATGATGTTTTTGTCATAAGTGGTGCTGTGCTCCTAGGGAGCTTGCTGGGTGGGAAGAGAGACAGAAAGGTGGGGAGCAGGGGCTGGTGGACTTGGGGAGGGAGGAGAAAGCCCATGTGGAAACGTTAGAATCTGGGGTAATCAGAGGTCTTTGTATTCATTCGTTTTGTAAATTTCTCAAACTCTCATGTTAAATCAAAATAAAAAGTTAAAAAAAAAAAACTACCAGGACAGACATACACAAATATTATTAACTGAAATAAATGTTCCATCAAAAAGGACTTACCTTAACTACATGAGTTATATTATGATTTCTATTATTATTATTATTATTATTTTAATATTAGTATCCATCCAGCACACCACTGGTCTTCAAGTGGAGGTAACTTTGCCCCTCAGGGGACATGTAGGTCTGTCTGGAGACTTTGTTAATTGTCACCACTGGGAAGCGCCCATGGCATCTAGTGGGTAGAGTTTGCGTAGGATGCTGAACACCCTGCAATGCTCAGGACAGTGCCCCACAACAAATGATTTTGCCCTCCAAAATGACAGTACTGCTGAGGTGAAGAAACCCTAGTCTAAAACCCAGCCAACGTGGTGAAATCCCGACTGTACTAAAAATGCAAAAAAATTAGCCAGGCCTGGTGGCGGGTGCCTGTAATCCCAGCTACTCAGGAAGCTGAGGCAGGAGAATCGCTTGAACCAGGGAGGTGGAGGTTGTAGTGAGCTGAGGTTGCACCACTGCACTCCAGCCTGAGCGACAGAGTAAGACTCCGTCTCAAAAAAAAGAAAAAGAAACCCAGGAATGGGTCAAAAGTTGCAGTGGGAGAAACAAGGTCCTCAAAATTCTGGTGGCAGGAAGCAGGCCAAAGGACCCACTTCCCTGGACACCAGCTGGCAGAAGGGAGGACCTAGAGACAATCTCAGCTGGCACAGTCCCTGCAGGCATCAAGCTGCACATCAGGAATGAGAGAAGGAGAATTGGGCAGGGAAATGGTCTACCAGGTGGACAGGCTGGGCAGCCTTGATCTTTCAGGGTACAGGGTAGGGAGTATGGGACTCTCTCTGCCAGTCAGACAGCAGGCCTACCCTGCAGCTCTGAGCACATTATTCCAGAGACAGGCAGCCTGAGCCCAGCACCAGAGTGGGTAATTCCTCTAGAGCTGCTGGGGCAAGGCTAGGCAGGATGAACTGAACTTATTTTTGAAAAGTATCCACCCAGCCTGGGAAGCATGGTGAAACATTGTCTACCAAATATACGAAAATTAGCTGGCCATGGTGGCCCTTTACCTGTGGTCCCAGCTACTTGAGAGGCTGAGGTGGGAGGATCATTGGAGCCTGAGAAGTCGAGGCTGCAATGAGCCGTGATCACACCACTGCACTCCAGCCTGGGTGACAGAATGAGACCCTGTCTCAAAAAAAAGTAATAACAAGTCAAATTTAAAAAGAAGGTATCTACCTGACTATCGTGTGTAGAAAGGTCCCAAAAGTCAATGCCAATTTGCAATGACTTGACTGGACTCTTCCTGCATTTAACACCCCCATTAGGGGTGGCCAAAAGTCGAATATATAATAAGCACCTGATGACTGCCACAGACATGGATATGAGTGATGCTAGTCACCAGAGGCAGCCCCCTTCCACTGTTCACCCACCCTTCCAAGCCTGCCAGAGACCCTCACCCAAAATGAATCGACAAAATGTGCAAGCAGATGTTTTCATCTTTGGAGTCTTTAAAATAATGATCATCAACAGGGAGATTTACCAGGAGAAAAGAGAATATCTTCCCTCAAAATCTCCTTGGAGTTTACTGCAAGGCATCTCAGAAAGTGCTTTCCATATAGAAAAGCCCCCAGGTAATAGATATGCTGCAGCGTTTTATCTTGTGTTTGATTTTTTAAAACTTATTGATGATGAGTTTTTGTGTGTGTGTGTGTTTTTGTTTGTTGTTGTTGTCGTTGTTGTTTTTTGCTATGTGTACTAGGTCAGGGTTCTTCAAAATTTGAAGTGACACCACTAAGATAAGGCTGTAGGAAATTTGTGTGTTTATTTATAAATTTATCTATCTGTTATGGGAATTGGCTCACACAATTTTGGAGTGAAGAAGTCCCATGATCTGCCGACTGCAGGATAGAGAAGCAGGAAAGCCAGTGGTATCATTCAGAGGCTAAAGGCCTCAGAACAAAGGTGGGGGTGGGAGGCGATGGTGTTAGTCCCTGATCAAGTCTGAAGGCCAGAGAACCAGGAGTGTGGAGGTCCCAGGATAGGCAGAGATGGATGTCCCAGTCAGAGAGGTCAAATTCACCCTTCCTGTCTTTTTCTTCTCTCTGGGCCCTGACAGTTTGGTGGATGCCTCCTTCATTGCTGAAGGAAATCTTTGCTGTCTTCTGATTCAAAGGCAAATCTCTTCTGGAAACACCCTCACAAGCACAATGATTTTACCTGCCATCTGAGCATCCCTTAGCCCAGTCAAGTTGATGCAGAAAATTGACCATCACATTATGCCACAGGAAACCTAGAACAGAATCATAATTAATTACATTGTGCCTATTAGAGAGAAGGTCTTGACTGCCACAAGATCATTCTTTAACCTTTCTCCAGGAGTTGACTAAGCCACAGGTAGAGAATGGGTAAACAGAGAGTTTTATACAGGAGATTCAAGGACGGGTAGATTCATAGACTGTGATTCATTGGCAGAAACATGCACACACTATAAACAAAAAAGGTGAAGGTAGAAAACTTGAAGGTATTCTATAAACCTATAAAAATATTATAAGATGAAACTGCAATCCCTCAAGTACCTAAGGTAGTGCAGAAAGATCCATGTGACTTGCAGGTGTCACCATGAATTAAGTTATTCTCTCTGGGCTGGGCGCGATGGCTCAAGCCTGTAATCCTAGCACTTTGGGAGGCTGAGGCAGGCAAATCACGTGAGGTCAGGAGTTCGAGACCAGCCTGGCCAATATGGTGAAACCCCATCTCTACTAAAAATACAAAAATTAGCCGAGGGTGGTGGCACACGCCCGTAATTCCAGCTACTCAGGAGGCAGAGGCAAGAAAATTGCTGGAACTCAGGAGGCGGAGGTTGCAGTGAGCTGAGATCGCGCCACTGCACTCCAGCCTGGGTGACAGAGTAAGACTCCACATCAAAAAAAAAAAAAAAAAAAAAAAAAAAAAAAAAAAAGCTATTCTCTCTAGAGAGCAATTTATCTATGATAATACCATAACACCATTCTCACCTTTTGCCTTGTAGTAATTGCCTTTGGGGACCAACTCAAATAAAGTACCCAAAAACCAGAGAAGGAATTAGTTTAAACATGATCACTCTGTTCTAAAAATAAATAAATGAGAAAAATCCACATGCCCAATAGGGTAAGAATGACTAAGCAAACTATAATTTATCCACAGGAAGTAATGATAGCCATTAAATGCTAGAAATAGGCATGCATATAGACTGCCAACATGTACAGATTCTTAGGTAAAATGTTAAAGAGAAAAAACTGCAGAACCTAAGAGTGTATGTGCCCATCAATCTCACCTATCCAAAGAAGTAGGCATAAATAAAAATCTAAAGGGAATTTGAAATGACACCATTAAGATAGAGCCTATAATTTGCCTAATAACTATTCAGTGAGCACCTGCTATGCTCAGGGACTGTCCTAGGTGATATGCAAACACCTGTTACATCAGCGAACAAGAAGAGACAAAAACACATGTCCTGAGGACGTTGACATCTTATGAGGGAAAGCAAACCAACACAAGCACACAAATAATGTAAGACATATGAGCATGCTTTTCATTGAAGTGTAATACACATACAGTGCACAGGCCTTAATGCATGCTTTTTTTTTTTCTTTTTGAGACGGAGTCTTGCTCTGTCGCCCAGGCTGGAGTGTGCAGTGGCGTGATCTCAGCTCACTGCAACCTCTGCCTCCTGGGTTCAAGCAATTCTCCTGCCTCAGCCTCCTGAGTAGCTGGGATTACAGGCGCTGCCACCACGCCTGGCTGATTTTTGTATTTTTAGTAGAGACGGGGTTTCACCATGTTGGTCAGGCTGGTCTCAAACCCCCAACCTCATGATCCACACGCCTCGGCCTCCCAAAGTGCTGGGATTATAGACGTGAGCCACCGCACCTGGCCAAGCATGCTTTTCATTGAAGTGTAATACATACAGTGCATAGGCCTTAAGTGTGCTACTCTGTGGGCTTTTCCACTTGGATACTCTTCTGGAATCACCTCCCAGATAAAGAGAGAAAACTTACAGCACTGCACCAGGAGCCTTCAATAGGCAACCTTCCAGTTCTCACCAAGGTCACCAATCATCTGACCTCTGATACCATGGACTCATTTCCCTCTCCTGAATTTCGTGTAAGTGGAATGAGATCGTGTGTCCTTTCTCCTGTCTGGATCCTTTTACTCAACACTTCTGTGAGACCCATCCATGTTTTTGCACATAGTGTTAGCATGTTTATTTTCATTATAGCAGAGTAAATATACCATTATATGAATGATGGAATTATGTTGATAAACCACAGTTTATTTGTTCATTCTTCTATTCATGGAATTTGGATTGTTTTCAGTTATTGGCTATTTAAAATAAAGCTGCTTTTGGCATCATTATACCTGGCTCTTGGAATCCATTAAGACTCATTCCTATAGGGTGGGATTTCTGGGTCCTGGGTAGATGTATGTTTAGCTCTAGTTGACACTGCCAGTATTCCAAAGTGGCTTTCCCACCAGCAATGCATGACAGTTCCAGTTACTGCATAAATCACCAGCAATTGTCAGTCCTTTCAATGTCAGCCATTCTAGTGGGGATACAGTAGGATCTTATGGGTTTTTAACTTTCTGCTTTCTAATAATGTTGAGCACCTTCTCATGAGCTTGTTGGCAATTTGGATATTCATTTTTCGGAAATGCCTGTTCAAGTTTTGACTCATTTTTTAATGGGCCGTATTTCTGGATATATAGTTTTTGGAGAAAAGACCTTTGTTGATTTGTAATAAGTTCTCCCTGCTGGGCATCACCTGAATTCCTAACCCACAAAATCAACAACTATTTGTGATAACACAGCTTGGGAACTGCTGAGTGGGAGAACCTTCTGGTGAAGCAGCTCACAGTAGAGCTTGCGTCCTAGAGATCTAAGCTGTGATGGAGTCAGTCAGTGTGGAAGACAGAAGGATCCTGGTTCTCTGTGATGGGAATTCCACCACCTCTGGGCATCTAAGACGTACTCACTGAGACCTAGCTCTGCCTAACCATGGAAAGCACTGAATAATACTGAATACATAAAAATAAATGAAGATCTAGGCCCAGAAAGAGGCATCCTTTCTATAGAGCACTTTATGTGGCTTCCTGCTCTAAGGCAGTCAGAAAAGAGATCAAGAAGTTGGAAACAGGGCCAGGCATGGTGGCTCACACCTGCAATCCCAGCAATTTGGGATGCCAAGGTAAGAGGATCGCTTGAGCTCAGGAGTTCCAGACCAGCCTGGGCAACATAAAGAGACACATCTCTACAAAAATTTTTTTAATGTGGCCAGGTGTGGTGGCACACCTATAGTCTCAGCTATTTGGGAGGCTGAAGTGGGAGGATTCTTGAGCCCAGGACTGGATGTTGCAGTAAGCTACGATGCCGCCACTGCCCTTCACCTTGGGAAGCAGGAGACCTTATTTCAAAAAAAAAACAAAGTTGGAAACACCTTACTAAGCCCATCATAATCTCTATGAACCCAGCTACTGCCAGGGTCACCAGCCAGTCCCTCAGAAGAGGCAGTGACAGACACAGTCTGGGCAGCCAGGAGCAAATAAGACAAGACTATAGCAAATGTGGCTGAGGCTTTATTTTGATCAGGTAGGCCTAAGGCAGGGGCCATGCTGCAGGAGCAGGGCCTGTAAACCAGTCAATGCTGTCATGCAACACGGGGACAGCTCAGGGCTGAGCTCCACAGGCGAGGGGCCAGGTAGGCCCTTCAAAGCAGATACAACCACTAACAGGAAGGAAGGTCAGGCTGGCTTTAGTGCAGGGAAGGGTAGTGTTGGGAGGGGGATGTTCATGAAGGAAAGTGGGTAGCTGAGGCTTCAAAGGGCCTGCATGGGACAGGGGTTTAGGGGAAGTGAAGAGGCCCAATAAAGTCTTGGGGGTAAAGATGGGAATAAACAGGAGAAAGGAACGAGGAGGCAGGTGCTGGGATGCAGAGTCCAGCTGCGCTGCACAGCCTGGGCAGCAGGCTGAGTATGGGCTCCTCACTCCCACCTCCTGGCCTTCAAGGCATTACTTGTTGCCCCAGACAGCCACCCTTGTGTACAGAGGTTTTGGGAGGAAGCGGCTGGACTTCATGTAGGCAGAGATCTTCTCCAAGCCCTGAGAGGGGGGAAAATAAGGCCAGAACTCAAGGTCAGCTGCCCATGAGGGCTGGGACAACCCCACTGCAGACACAGCAGGTCAGGGCCCTGGCCACAGCCTTTCCACGTGGGCTCAAGTGCTGAGGCATCACACAGCCTCTTAGGGTCCCCAGATTTGCGGAGTTAACTCTTCCAACTTCCTTTAAGTAATGTTGTACCACAGTAACAGCTAACACTTATGAAGATTCTACCCGGTGCTGGGTGCTCTGTACCCAAGAGAAATTACAACATAAGCTTAGAAAACCCACTCGACTACTCTGCAAGGCTGAATCTATTATCACCATTTCTCATGTGGGAAACAGAAGTTCAGTAACTTCCTCACACTCAAATAGCTACTAAGGGGGACAGAGCTGCAACGTAGACTGGTTCTGTCTCTCTCCAGTTCTGGCCTCTTTCTGTCAAATCCCCATCCTCCCCCAAATCCCTCAGGAGGTCCTGTCACTCTCTGACTACACAACATTCTCCTGTTTCACAGGGAGGCACCTGGCTTGCCTAGGTTTGCACACACAGAGGGGACCTCTGAAAATGTCTGTGCAGCCTGGAAGAGAGCCCAGATCTCACCCAAGGACCTGGCAAAACCTGGATGAAAGTGGTCAAGGTGTGTTGGACCAGCAAAAGAAACGCCAGACCAGGCTCTAATCATTCCTTTTAAAGCAGAAAGTCTAAACCTCCCCACCTGGTACCTGAGCTAAACACCACTGTGCCCCAACCCACCTCATCTCCAACCCCACTACCTCAGACCAGGCTGTATGACACTCAGGTGTGCTCTGCACGATCTTTCCAGGATCAAATAGCCGTGTAATTTCTAAGGATTCAGAGAGAGCCAGGGCTGCCTATTCCCAAAGGGCCAAGCCCAGGTGGACCATATGCTGCAGCCCTCAGCTCTCTTCCCCTCCCACTACCTCTTACATAACCCCAAGGCCACTCAGCCGAGACCACAGCCAGAGCTGATGGGAACTAGCTGAGTAACCAGATCCCTTGATGGGTAGTGGGAAAGGAAAACAAATTCTAGGCTGAAAAACTTGTTGGACTAATGCCTCAAATTCTCACATCTGTACTAAAAGTAGGATTTGCTGCTCTCAAACAAATTCAGCACGGGTGAGGGATGGTTCCCCATGAGTGAGGGGCAGGCCCCAGGCCTGGTACCCAGGTGGTGCCACACACCTCACAGGCTGCTCTGCCTGCAGGCCTCTCACTGCACTCATTTCCAGGATGGGGCAGTCATCTATGCAACTCCCACTGTGCCTCACACCCTGCCTCATGCAGAGGAGAAGGTCGGTGAATAGCAGTAAAATCAGTGTGCTACTCATCTCACAGGGGGAACACTTGGAACACTGGAGGGAAAAAAGAGAGGAAAAAAGATAAAGAAGGAGAGTGCCCCAGCACAGAGCACTTCAACATACACTCCTTCAACAGGGGCACCCACATATGTACCCTAATCCAGCTCTGGCCACAGCTCTGGCTCTCAGGATTCCCCACGTGGGGGTCTGATCGTGCAAAGCTTCTGGGAGTAGCTATGAATACTGCCTGTGGGTTTCGTACTCGACGTCAATGCCACCGTGTGTCAGTCCTACTATTGCCAGCTGCATCCATGCTCCTAAAGTTCTCTGCCTCTTCCAAAGTGCCCTGGGCTGTGAAATCCAGGCTGGATGAGGCCTGAGGCTTCTTTCTTTTGTCACAAAAGGGAGAGCCCTGACTGCCACCCATAGATCCAGATGCTCACAGGGAGCCCAGCACAGCCTCCACTGGCTCTGGGACCCAGAACAAAGGACTGACCCTCTCATTCAAAGTTTTCTTATCTCTAAATGGGCAAGATAATTCTGTCACCCTGTAGGAATGTTGGAAATTTCAAATTCCACACGATAGGTATAATGTGCTGGGCAAGGTTCCTGGCATGAAGCCAGCACTCAATAAATGCAAGTTATTCTTTATGTAGCTCCAGGACTGGGAAAGCATCTGAAAGGAGGTAACGGAACAAGGGGCATCAAAGAGAAAGGAGGATGGGGGCATCACCTCAAAGCGGGAGATGAAGTCCTTCAGATTTGGAAAGGCGTCCAAGCAGTTGGGCTCAAATATACGGTGGAGGTCAAGGACATCATAGGCGAGGAAATCTACAAAGGTGATCTGCAGAAGGCCAAGAATGTGTGGGCTGGAATCTCTGTAACGTAGGATGTATGGCAAATCTCTAGTGTCCTCATCACATGCCCCCATTACCTTGTCTCCAACAAACCATGGCCTCTTCCCCAGGAACTGTGAGAAGTGCTGCATCATTGTAGGAAGTTCCTCCAAGTATTCTGGCTTCAGTTTCTCCTGAGGCAGAAAACAGCTGTCACCACCCTCAGACACAAGCTCCCTGCACAGATGTGGCCTCCCCAGGGCTGTGTATGGCCCCAGCTGGCCACGAGCAAGCAGCCATCTTCCCCACAGCTGGAACTGGCTTCAGCTGGACATACCAGCATTTATTACACTCCAAATGGGTAGCTGGAGGCTTTTGTGGTGATGGGAAGGCAGAGAGGAATGCAACACTATCCCTGAATCTGTCCCCACTGACCTCCCAACCACCCTCCTCTGGGTCAGCCCAGGAGCACCTGAGTACCTGGCAGGCTCTGGACCCAGACATGAGCAAAATCAAGGATACAAAGAACTAAAGGAGCTCAGAGAAAGAAGTTGAAAGTTCCTCCTAGTGCAGTGGCAGAATAATACAATGGACATTGAGTAGTTTCTGGAGAGATGAGATTTTGAGAGGCTGCATGGAAGGAGACAGAGGAACAAAGGCCCTCTGGCCGCCCCTGAGCTGCCTGTTAGGAAAATGCATTCATCCCTGTGCGTGTCAAGGAGAAGCACTAGGAAAAGAATAGCACGGAATTCCACAGAGGAGGGTGCTATTACATCCCACTACATACTTCTTTACCCCATAGTGTGAGTCTGCGTATTCCCCGAACAGGCAGATGGCATGAACCAGCTGGGTTAGATGGCCCGTGGCAGAGGTCAGGGGTCAGAGGTGAAGGGAATTCTGAACGCATGACTTTATTGTCTAGGAACTGAATTGCTAGCTTTCATAGGACTTCCTATGATTGGTGGGGACTGATTTCAAGTTTTTATTTTATAAGTTTAATGATATGACAGTCACTCTGCTACAGTACAGGGAACCCTCAGAGGATCAATAGCAGTGAGGAGTTCAAATTGTGAATAGGACCAGAGTAGATGGGAATACAAGCCTGGCTTCTGGTCCAGACCAGGGAGGGACTCACAAAGTCAGGGCTGTAGCAGACTCTGGCCAGCTGATTGGAGACGTCCATAGCCTGGTTCTCCAAAATGTCCACACGAATCTTCTCCTCTTCTGTCTCCCCACCTGCCACCCACAAAACACAGACTCACTCTGAGCATAGCACCCCAATCCAGCCAAGGAGGATGCCACCTTCCCCCCACACACTGCAGCCAACCACACTCACACAGGTTGTGCTTGCGGGCAATGTAGCACAGGATGGCGTTGCTCTGGGTGATCTTGTGAGCCCCATCAATCAAGTAGGGCAGCTGGATAGATGGGAAACCGGGGAAGCTCAGTTGGGCCAGCAGGCTCCCCAGCATCCCCTTCCCATATGCAAGGGCAGAGGGGAGACCAGGCACTCACTGTGCCCGCTCATGGCAGGCCTGACATAGAAATACTGTCACATGAACAAATGAGCTGGGACACAGAACATCATGCAGGGGCTGTGTAGACAACCAGGAGTGAGAGGAATTGGGCAGAAGACTCCTGATCCGAACACCTCTAATCTGGGGAGAGGAGATGCAGTCAGAGACACGTCGCACTTTCCCCCAAAACCGCCCCTTCCCCTGCACCTACATTGGGAAAGTCCAGGCCCAGCTTGAATTTTTCATTCAGCCACTGGCTTCTGTCATAGTCAGGAGCTGCCGTGGGGAAGAAGAAGTGAAAACAAACCTCCCCAGAGCCCAGCCCTCCTTCCCGGGGACCCTCCCAAGGAACCAGTGGCAAGATCCCTGAGACAGGTGGATCTAGAATCTGACCACTCAGTCCCACATCCCAGGGTTCAGGGACAAAGAATCCCGCTGAGGGCTCTGGACCCCACACGGCTAAGGCTTCCAGGGTTTAGGGAAGCTCTGAGGGACACCCAACCCAATTAAACAGGGGGCCCAGCATCCCGCCCCAGCATTCTGCCTTGCAAGGCCACAGGACTCCCTCACCGGGGCTCAGGGAAGGGACAGCCTGCAGCTCCAGCAGGGGAGGCCTGCAGAGGTAGCCACAGGTGGCCACCATGGGTTGCTTGGTGCCAACTCAGCGTGAGTGGGCAGAGCCCGGACACAAGGGTGTCATTACCGTCCCCCATCGTATACTTCTTTTCCTCGTAGCTTGAGTCTGTGTATTCCAGGAGCAGGCGGATGGCGTGGGCCAGCTGGAAGAGATGGCCCGCAGGTCGTGTCAGAGATGGAGGGTCCCTGACTTGGTGACTTTCTCTGCACCAGGTGAGCCCCTAGTCTACACTGCACTGCACCCCCCCCCCACCCCGGCGCACGCACACACACACACACACACACACACACACACACACACACAGGCATGCACAGGCCCTCCTGTGAGAGATAGCCCTAAGGAGGGAACCGTCCCTAGAGCCGGTCCCCAGCCGCTCGGCACTTCCCGCCCACGCGCCCGGTCCCACAGTGCAGCGGACCCTCACTCACCCCGCGGATGTCCCAGTACCCCAGTGTCATGGACATGATGCTGGTTGGTGTCGATTCTGCAGACAGGCCTCAGCTGGGCTGAACTGCGACCTCCTCTGGGGTTCCCGGCACGCAGGGGCTGGACCTAGCGCCAGACCCGCCCCCTCGGCCCCGCTGCGCCCGCCGATCTTCAAGGTCGTCACTTCCAACCGGCCGATCTTCAAGGTCGTCACTTCCAACCAACAGGCGCGGGAGGCACGGAGCAGGTTGCTGGATCCTCACTGGCTGGAAGGAGTAAGATCCACCGCCACCTCCGAGTGTTCAGGGAGCAAGGTCCGGAAGCACTAGGAGGGGCTCGGCCTCGCCAGCTTCCGTAGCCCCGCCCCGCCCCGCTCCGCTTCGGACCTCTGCTGGGTCCCCAGGGACTCGGCTGTGCGCGTGAGAGTAAAGCCAGATCGTAAGAGAAAAGTTCTTCCCCCGTTTCTTCTTCTCCGGACGTCGCCCAGCCTTCTGCCTCTCGGCTGCCGAGTTCCCACAGGCTCTGGGAGACTGAGGCTGCCAGGGTCAGACTAAAGAGAGGTCTCAGAGAGTTTAATTCAACACTTCTTGGCTACTAAGTCTTAGAAGTCTGATGGTGTGCTCTCTCTGCTGAGTTGGGGAGCGTGAATGGAGGCTATGTCACCGAAGCTGATAGAGCTCAGTCTCTGTTGCAGATGCTCCCGACCCTTTTGCATTGGGCCAGTTCCCCAGCTCTGAGACTGGGTCCAGGCTCAGGAAGTGGCCTATGTGTCAAGGTGGATTCCCATGTAGGTTTGCCTACAGCAAGACGATAGCACCATGCACACACAAGTGCTTGGACTTCTGAATAGTTATACTTCTCATTATACATTAAGACATTAAGAATGTGTCATTCTGAGTCTTTTTTTTTTTTTTTTTTTTGGAACGGGGACTCGCTGTGTTGCCCAGGCTGGAGTGCAGTAGGGCGATCTCGGTTCATTGCAACCTCCGCCTCCCGGGCTCAAGCGATTCTCCTGCCTCAGCCTCCCGAGCAGCTGGGATTACAGACGAGCGCCACGACGCCCTGCTAACTTTTTTGTATTTTCTGTAGAGATGGGATTTCACCGTGTTGACCAGACTGGTCTTGAACTCCTGGTCTCAAGTGATCCACCCGCCTCCGCCTCCCAAAGTGCTGGGATTACAGGCATGAGCCACGGTGCCTGGCCTGTCATTCTGAGTTTATCCATCTTGAGCTGGGAAAGATAAAATGTCTAGGTCCAATTGTGAAGATGATTTTTTAAGAAAGCTAACACTTATGAGAATAATTATGAAAGAAACAGAATTGATATTGTTACATTAGTATTCACCCATTTGGTCATTCCTTTATTGAAACAACAGTTGTTGAGATCCTACCATATTCCAGGCACTGGGAATAAAACAATCCTTCAAAAACACTGTACTTTGGCCACCTACGACTAGAAGTCAGGTGGGAACTACAGGGGAGAGATTTTGAAAATACGGGACACTTCTTACTGTTTTTGCACACTGAGAGGCAGTGGAGTGGGAGAGGGGTTGAGTGTAGGAGAGAGAAGCGGTGCCTGCTGTTGCAAGGACTCTGAGGAGCCAGGAAGACGGGGCCCAGGTCCCAGGTGGCTTCTTCAGAAGGAGGAGTACGGCTCTGCGGAAGGCGGGAAGAACTGGACCAGCAGGATCTCCAAAGTAGGGGCCACAGTGGCCACGAGGATCACACCAGGGCGGGAAGTGGGTCTGTGGACAGGGATCGGGAGCAGTGGGGATGAGGGAGGCGGAAGTGGTGCCCTGGGGAAGAATGTGCACGCTGTTGTCAGGTTATTTTCTGCATGCCTGTGAGATCTAACCGGTTCATTGTGTGTTCACATTCTGCATTTCCTTACTTACCTTCCGTCTCAGCCTTTCCATAATTGAAAGAGGGGTTTTAGAGCCTCCCATTGTTAATGTAGAACTGTCTATTTCTCCCTTCAATTCTGTCAAATTTTGCTGCATATATCTTGTTTTATTCCTACTATGGGAATTGCATCTTGTATGAGAGAAATCAATTATCCTTCCTGGATGGTCCACCAGATTATCTGTGCTTTCCTCATTTTAGAAGCTTCTGGGTATCCTTCCTTCCTTCCTTCCTTCCTTCCTTCCTTCCTTCCTTCCCTTCCTTCCTTCCTTCCTTCCTTCCTTCCTTCCTTCTTTCTTTCTTTCTTTCCTTTCTTTCTTTCTTTTCTTTCTTTCCTTTCTTTCTTTCTTTCTTTCTTTCTTTCTTTCTTTCTTTCTTTCTTTCTTTTCTTTCTTTCTTTCTTTCTTTCTTTCTTTCTTTCTTTCTTTCTTTTCTTTCTTTCTTTCTTTCTATGGAGTTTCAATCTTGTTGCCCAGGCTGGAGTGCAATGGTGCGATCTCGGCTCACCACAACCTCCGCCTTCCTGGTTCAAGCAATTCTCCTGCCTCGGCCTCCCGAGTAGCTGAGATTACAGGCATGCGCCACCATGCCCGGCTAATTTTGTATTTTTAGTAGAGACACTGTTTCTCCATGTTGGTCAAGCTGGTCTCGAACTCCGATGTCAGGTGATCTGCCCCCCTCGGCCTCCCAAAGTGCTGGGATTACAGGCGTGAGCCAACGCGCCTGGGCACTTCTGTATATCTTTTTCAAGAAAACATGATTTCCTGGTGGGATGATAGTTTTAAATATCTGGCAATCTCTAACAATTCATTGGAATCACAGGGTAGCAGTGGACAGAATGATCCTGATGTCATGTAAGAAACAGGATTTTAGTGGAGCACTGATTATACTGGTATTAAGTATCATTTATTACAATAGGAATGAGTCACTTTTGTGTTCCTCAAGATGGACAGATTCCTTGAGTGGAATTAAATAGTTTCTGCAAAGCAGGCTCAGATGTCTCTGAAGAAAGCAAACAACCGTGG
Source organism: Homo sapiens (assembly GCF_000001405.40). Lineage (NCBI taxonomy): Eukaryota > Metazoa > Chordata > Mammalia > Primates > Hominidae > Homo > Homo sapiens. The sequence continues at coordinate 109,653,500 of NC_000001.11, read as the reverse complement.
TAGCCAGAATAGACCCAATATTAGTCCTGATTTATTGGCCTTGTAATGGCCTCAGCAGAAGCAATTTGTTGGCACGAAGTCTAAGCACAATTGTTGCAAGACTGAAGGTTGGGATGAATGATGTGAGTGAAACATAATTACCATAAGGAGCCAGTTAAAGGGAGGTTGCCTTGTGAAGGTTTTAAAAGGACAGCTATGAAATTTTTGTCAGCAGGGTTGTTAGATTCAGAGTGGCAGCAATGGTTTGGGAAAAAAAAGTATAAGAAAATTTTGTTTTCTGTTAAGTGGTAGATAGAGAACATAAGAGGTCAGAAGTAACAGGATGAGGGCCAGGTACAGTGGCTTGTGCCCATCATACCAGGTACTTGGGAAACTGAGGTGGGAGAATCACTAGAGCCCAGGAGTCTGAGGCTGCAGTGAGCCATGATTGTGCCACTGTACTCCAGCCTGAGCAACAGAGTGAGACCCTGGCTTTTAAATAAAAATAAATAAATAAATAAATAAATAAATAAATAAATAATAGGATGAAAATAGGAAGCTAACATTAATATTTTAGATGGCTTCAGAGTAGAATAATAGCCAGGAAAGGGTGTTGAGTCAGATTGTTAATCCTTATCCAAAGTGCTGGGCAGAAGCTATCCACCTCTGAAGTCAGCATCTTCTGGAGCATACCTAAGAATCTCAGTTTAAGATTTCCAGTGGAATGGGTGTCCAAGAGTCAGGAGGAAATATTGTATGTCTTTTGAGCTAGGAAATAATTTACCTAAGGATCCATACTTTGGAATATTACTGCTGGGTCAGTTGTTAAGTATCTGATAAGGTCCATTTCCTCGAGGATCAAAGGCAGTTAATCTCAGGTCTTTTCCAGAACACTAAATCTCTTGTTGTGAATCACAGGTGAGTTGTTTGGAAATGAAGATCATATCTGTTGATGATAAAGCTGAAGGTATTCTATGACGCCCTTGCAATTCTTAATCATATTTCATCATAATTGTAATAGGACCAAATCAAAGATTGGTGGTGAAATTTTCAAATACATGGACAGGCCATTTTTCTTTTTCTTTTTCTTTTTTTTAGAGACAGGGTGTTGCTATGTTGCCCAGGCTGGAGTGCAGTAGCTCTTCACAGGTGCAATCATAGTGCACTACAGCCTCAAACTCTTGGCTTCAAGCAATCTCCCACCTCAGCCTCCTGAATAGCTAAGATTATAGACGCGAGCCACCGCACCCAGCTTGGCCTCGTATTAATTCATAAGGAGGTAACCTGTGGGTCCCAGAAGGGGCTGATCTTATACACACTGAAGCTAGAGGTAAGATTTTATTTTATTTTTATTTTTTCAATTTGAGAGCAGGTACTGTTTATTAACTGACCAGCTTAGAAAAATAATCATGGAAGACACCTTAGTTCATTCTTCTAATAAGCCTGTTGATCTGGTCCTCCCTGTTGCCAGCATCTCCACCTTCTACAAAATGGGTGGCCTTTTTCTTCATTCCACCTCGTGGATAAGATAATTTGAAGGGCCACAGGAAGTTATTTGTTTTTTTGCAGACTTTTCCAACAGTATAGATCCCTTGAATCAGATCCTCCATGCAGATAATGCCATATTTACCAAGAGATCAAGCAATCAAAGCGTTGTCTGTCAAAGCAATTCTTTTCTTATTGATTTTGCCATAACCACGCTTGTAGCCTAGTTCATTTACTGACTTCAGATTTGGGTACCCGCATGCAATATATGGCTCTACAATCCTCAGCATGTTAACTGAAGCCCTGTTAAGCTTCACAAAGTTTCCATTGAAGATTTGACAAAGGCGAAGAAGCTGCAACACCTTTTGGACCTTTGGGTTCACACCATTGATACCTCTGATCCTGATGACAAATGCCAATTTGGGTTCTGCACGTACATAGAAGTTGCCAGCTTTTCTTGCCCCCCTCACTATTCAAATTTCAGTTCTGTACATCTGCCTATTCGCTTTTTCACAGATAAGTTTCCTCCTTGCCTTTTGAAGCATCTTTTGGGCAAACTTATTTCTCAGGCACTTGATCTTTAGCTCTGCAAAATTCCTTTTCTTTTTCTGAAGGGTTTCTGGCACAGCAGGAACCTTCTTCTTCTTCTCTTTGACACCCTCTATGGTTCCAGCTGGAAAAGAGAAGATTTTAGACCATTGGAGTTTAAGGGAGCTTTGTTCATCTTAGCTGTCAAATTTCATTAGTTCTCTCTGTTTTTCCTGAGGACCGTGGATGATAAGGACAGTAAAGTTTTTGGGTAAAAGGCAAACTTTACAGAGTTCCTTAATAACAATACCAGTAAAATGAGTGTCGTTGTCATTATTAGAGAAATAAGTGGAAATTCCAGGTTGGAAAACAAAATCAAGCAGAAATTTTTGCCACAGTTATAACAGCCATAACTCTCCGGCAAGGAAAAGCTTTAATCCATCTTGAAGGAGAAAAAAAAAAACCAAAATAATCAGAGCATATTTATAGTCCATTGCAGGAGGCATTTGTATAAAGTGATTGGAGGTCTGAAGGGCCCTCGAGATCTTAGTTCTTGTTCATATCCCACCTTTGCATTTGCTAGGATCGCATTGTTGGCAGTAGGACAAGTTTTTAAAATATCCTTGGAAATACCTCTAAAATTACCCCCACCAATGTTGATTTAGTATAGTTGCCAATTTGTCCCTGCTATTATGAGTAATATCGCAAAGCATTTTTCTGAAATTCCCCTTTAAATCATTTGCCATTATGTGTCAGCTATCCTGACAGCATCAAATAGTCTCTTTTGCCATGAACATCCAAACTTTTCCCACTTCCAGATTTTTTCACTTTTCTACTTTTGGGAATCAGGGGTTTGTCTCTGACAGTTAAAAATGGCCTCTTTGAATCCTCCAAGACCCCTCTTTTCTGTGTGATTTGCAGGAGCATTGATCTTGGTGACGCTACTGGGGTTAGCATGGTGGCCAGCTAAAGTATTACTAGAAATTCTGGGTCTTTGTGCATTGAATGGTGGTCTACTTTTATTACAGCTATTTCCTCAGGTAACAGCAAAGCAGCTGAAAGTTTTATTTTTAATCCGTCATCCAATTTTTGCAGATTTTTGTGGAGGTTAGAAAACTCTTCATTTCCAAAGCATTCCCAATTCACAGACTCCCCAAAAGTGCATCTGCCATTAGTGTATATGCTTACTCTTTTACACTTTAGCAGCCAGCAGACCCAGATGCAGGCAATTATTTCAGTCATTGGAGCTGATTTAATTTCTGGAGTGGTCTCTACTTTAAGGGTGAATTTAGGTCTGTGATAGCATTTTAAAATATGAACAAATAAAATCAGGTCAGGGCTATCCAAGGGAATTTCTAACAAGATGTTTTAAGAGCATGTGAAAAACACTGAGAGTTAACAGAATAATTTGGTGAAAAAAAATAACCTCTAGTAATCTGGGTGCAAAACAACTGAGTCATTTTACATGACAGAGCCAAATCCTAATTTTACTCCTTTGGTACATAATTTTCTAATAGATTATAATAAAGGCTCTATTAATATTCCTTTATTTGTATGCATTTAGGCATACACAGATATATAAATATACAAATAGGTAACAAATTAAAGCTTTCTTTTTTAAGTTGTAATAAAAACACTTAAAATGAGATCTGCTTGTTACCAGTGGAGGGCGTTCAGGTTCTTCGCATTTTGAACAAAGAACTGGACAGAACGCACAAACAAAACAAGGAGCAAACAAATTTTCATTTATTGAAAATGAAAGTACACTCCACAGGGTGGGAGCAGGCCAAGCATAGGGGCTCAAGAGCCCGGATTCAGAATCTTTTGGGGTCCAAATACCTCCTAGAAGTTTGCCATTGGCCACTTGGTGTTCACCCCATGCAAATGAATAGTGGTCCACAATCAGAGGCTGAAGTGAAGTTACAAAGTTACACTTCTATGCAAATATCTGATTGGCTGCAGAAAGCAACCAATCAGAGGAACTGTCCATTTTCCATCTGCAGAGCAGAAAAGCAGGGGGTTTGCAAAGGGAGTAGCTTCTGGTCCTTTTGTTACTTAGGCATGGAAAGTTGGGATTTTCCTTTCGATTTAGCTCTAGAAATTCAGTGTGAATCAGCCTTAGGTTCCCTGCCTCCAGACCCTATTCTCCTGCCGCATACTCTCTTAACAAATTTTTAAGTAAACAGGTACACAGTATTGTTAACTATGAGCACGGTGTTGTATAGCAGATATCTAGAATATGTTTATCTTGTATAACTGAAACTTTATACCTCTTGAATAGCAACTCTCCATTTTGTTACCGAAACACCAGGGATTCAGTCTGAGTCCTGCTGTTTGCTGCACAGATAGCCAACGGCTGAGATGATTACTGCCAAGGAAGAAGGCTTTAATAGAGTGCTGCAGTAGGGGAGATGAGAGATCAGTCTCAAATCCATCTCCCTGACTGGCTAAAATTAGGGGTTTATATAGCAGAGAAAAAAATGTAACAATGTATGGGAAAACAGGAATTCTGAAGGGCTAAGGAAGCAATCATGATGAATGAGGGGCCTGGCATCTCATTGTCTGGATGTGATGATCTGGTGAGTTTCCGTTCTTTGATACCTTCTGAGAGGCCTGGTATTTAATTGTCTGGATCTGGTGAGTTTCAAGCTTTAAGTTTATTTTTTAAAAACTGTCTATGTCCAGGCGCGGTGGCTCACGCCTGTAATCCCAGCACTTTGGGAGGCCGAGGCGGGCGGATCACGAGATCAGGAGATCGAGACCATCCTGGCTAACACGGTGAAACCCCGTCTCTACTAAAAGCACGAAAAATTAGCCGGGCGTGGTGGCGGGCGCCTGTAGTCCCAGCTACTTGGGAGGCTGGGGCAGGAGAATGGCGTGAACCCGGGAGGCGGAGCTTGCAGTGAGCCGAGATCGCGCCACTGCACTCCAGCGTGAGCGACAGAGCGAGACTCCGTCTCAAAACAAAACAAAACAAAACAAAACAAAAACTGTCTCTGGACAGTTGGATTGGTTTTAATTTCCTCCTCTCCCGATCCCCTGAAAACCGTCATTCTACTTTGTTTCTATGAGTTGGCCTATTTTGGATACCCCATGTCAGTGGAATCATGCAGTATTTGTTCTTCTGTGACGAGCTAATTTCACTTAGCATAATGTCCTCCAGGTTCATCCATAGTGTTATATATTGCAGAATTTCCTTCTTTTTAAGACTGATTAATATTTCACTGAATGTACATACCAAATTTTCTTTATTCATTCATCTGTTGATGAATAGTTAGGTCATTTTCATGTCTTGGATATTGTGAATAATGCTACAATGAACAAAGGACTGCTAATATCTCTTTGGGATCCTTCAGTTCTTTTGAATATATACCCAGAAGTGGGATTGCTGGATCATTTGGTAGTTCTATTTTTCATTCTTTTATGAACCTCTATATTGTTTTCCACAGTGGCTGCACAATTTTACTTTCCCACCAACCGTGTACAAAAGTTCCAATTTCTCCTCAACAGCACTTGTTACCAGTTGGGAGCTTGTCTCACTTTCTTTACCTTTTTTTTTTTTTTTTTTTTTTTTTTTTTTGACAATAGCCACTCTAACAGGTGTGAAGTGATATTTCATTGTGGTTTTGATTTGCATTTCTCTTATGATTAGTGATGTTGAGCATCTTTTCATATACCTGTTGGCCATTTGTATGCTTTCTTTTGAGAAATGTCTATTCAAGTCCTTTGCAAGGATGGCTCATCATATGTAAAACAATTAATGTGACACACCACGTTAACAAAATGAAGGATAAACATCAAATGATCATCTCAATAGATGCAGAAAAAGCATTTGACAAAATTCAACATCTTTTCATAGTAAAAACTCTCAACAAACTAGGTATAAAAGGAATTTTCCTTGACAAAATAAAGACCATATATGACAAGCTCACAGCTAACATTATACTCAACAATGAAAAACTGAAAGCTTTGTCTGTAAGATCAGGAACAAGGCAAAGAATACCCGCTCTTGCCACTTCTAGTCAACATAGTACTGGAAGTCCTAACGGAGCAATTAGGCAAGGAAAAGAAATTTAAAAGTCATACAAATTGGAAACGATTAAGTAACACTATCTCTGTTTGCAGATGACATAATCTTATATGTAGAAAACCCTAAAGACTCCACACACAAAAAAAAACTTAGAATGAATAAACAAATTCCATAAAGTTGCAGGATACAAGATCAACATACAAAAGTTAGTTATGTTTTGGTACACTAACAACAAAGTATCCAAAAGAAAATTACAAAAAACAATCCCATTTGCAATAGCACCAAGAAGAATAAAATACTTAGGAATAAACTCAACCAAGGAGATGAAAGACTTGTATGTAACACTGATGAAAGAAATCAAAGAAAACTACATAATATTGATGAAAGAAATCAAAGAAGACACAAGTAAATGGAAAAACATCCCATGTTTATAGATTGAAAGATCTAATAATGTTTAAATGTTCACGCTACTTTGATCTACAGATTCAATGTAATCCCTATCAAAATCTAATGGCATTTTTTTTTTTTTTTTGAGACAAAGTCTCACTCTCTTGCCCAGGCTGGAGTGCAGTGGTGCGATCTCAGCTCACTGCAACCTCTGCCTCCTGGGTTCAAGCAGTTCTCCTGCCTCAGCCTCCCGAGTAGCTGGGATTACAGGCACCCGCCACCATGCCTGCCTAATTTTTATATTTTTAGTAGAGACGGGGTTTTACCATGTTGGCCAGGCTGGTCTCGAACTCCTGACCTCAGGTGATCCACCCATCTTGGCTTCCCAAAGTGCTGGGATGACAGGCATGAGCCACCACACCCAGCCTCTAATGGCATTTTTTTACAGAAATAGGAAAAAATAATCCTAAAATTCATATGGAACCACAAAAGATCCCAAATAACCAACACAATCTTGAGAAAGAAGAACAAAGCTGGAGGCATCAACTTCCTGATTCCAAAATATATTACAAAGCTATAGTAATTAAAACAGTATGGTACTGTCATATAAACAGACACAAGGACCAATGGAACAGAACAGACAGCCCAGAAATAACCTAAGTGTATATAATCAACTGATCTTCAACAGGGTGCCAAGAATACACAATGGACAAACGATGGCCTCTTTAACAAATGGTTTTGGGAAAACTGAATATGGACATACAAAAGAATAAAATTGGACCCCTGTCTTACACCACACTCAAAAATGAGCTCACAATGGATTAAAGATTTAAATATAACACCTAAACCTATAAGACTCCTAGAAGAAAACATAGGAGAAAGTCTTCATGACATTGGTCTAAGCGATGATTTCTTTTATATATCAAAAGCACAGGCAACAAAAGCAAAAATAGACGAATGGAACCACATCAAACTAAAAACCTTCTGCACAGCAAAAGAAACAACAGTGAAAAGGCAGTCTATGGAATTGGAGAAAATATTTGCAAACCACATATCTGAGAAGAGGTTAGCTAACATCCAAAATACATATAGAACTCCCACAACTCAATAGCAAAAATTACTTTAAAGCTTTTAACTATAGCCTTAAAATATAATTGAATAAAATATGTGTATATTAAATGTATTTTGAATAAACTGTAGTAACTTTTCTAAATAAACAGAAAATCATACCTTATTCTGTACACATACCTGTATCTCTCTGCATTAGTGTATCCAGTACAATTAACCATCTACTCTCATTATTATATTTAATTAGAGTAACCAATCTTCTTGTTTTCTCAAAAAAAAAAAAAAAAAAAAAGCCCCGAGAAAAGAAAGTTTAAAACTGTCCAGCTAAGACTGGCCACGGTGCCACCATGCCCAGCCCAGTACTGATATTTTCTGAGATTTGATCTCACACTTGGCTGCGGGGCTTTTACCTAATTCCTTTGAGAACAATCCTGCCTCTGCTACCTTTGGCCAGCTATTGGAAGGGGCATCCAGCTCTCTGCCAGCCACCTCACCCTACTCAGACAGGGGGCCCAACTCCACCTCAAACCAGGAGAAGTGGAAAAGAGTCTTTTTTCCTGCTGTTCGTCTGAAGGTGCAGGTCATCCCTAAGTGCACGTGGCAGTCCAGGTCTCCCCTGTGCCCTGGAACATCCTTCTCCCTGGCCTCTGCTCCTGGGTGTCTTGAGAAACATAACTTCTTGATCACCAATTTAAGTATGACAGTGGGGTTTAGAAAAAAGCTATGTTCCCTTTAAAGAAGGGGCTTATTTGCTTTTGCTAATAATCCCAGCCAATACTTACTGAGTGTCTATGACTTGTCTACTATATATACCTCCTCACCAAATTCTCAAAACATCTCTTTGAATTATTTCTTTCTTCCCTCATTTTATGGATGAGAAAACTGAGGCTCAGGAAAATTAAGTAACTTGCCCAAGGACACACAGCTAGCAAGTCACCAAGTTGTATCTGACCAGTCCAGTCAACCCCAAGACCTGGGTCTACCCAGGACACCACACTGCCTACAAAACGCTGCAGGGTGAAACCACAGGATCCAAAGAGCCAACAACAATCCAAGACTTTCCAGACACCGTGGGGGCTGATAGTAGACAAACTTGGCCCTAGGCCAAGAGGCCCTCACGTGCCAAGCACTGTAGGCATTTCTTAGAATTCTTTGTGTCTTTTGTTTTCATTATCAGCAAGAAATGCTACTTCACAAGGCTGGAATATTTCGTGTAATGTGATCCTATAAACACACGCTAAGCGGGGAGTAAACAAGGCAGCAGACATGCCGGAGAGAGACCTGAGCCCGAATGCGTGGGAAAGCTTCAGAGCAGTGCACCGGGGAACACAAACATCATTGGCTGCAAAAAAGGTCCCTGTAATGACCTTTGTCATTTGGGGTTTACTGTTGCTGTTTCCCTAAATACAAAGAAAGTGCACAAAGAGGCCAGGCGCAGTGGCTCACGCCTGTAATTCCAGCACTTTGGGAGGCCGAGGCGGGTGGATCACGAGGTCAGGAGATCGAGACCATCCTGGCTAACACGGTGAAACCCCGTCTCTAAAAATACAAAAAATTAGCTGGGCGTGGTGGCGGGCGCCTGTAGTCCCAGCTACTCGGGAGGCTGAGGCAGGAGAATGGCGTGAACCCGGGAGGCGGAGCTTGCAGTGATCCGAGGTGGCGCCACTGCACTCCAGCCTGGGCGACAGAGCGAGACTCCGTCTCAAAAAAAAAAAAAAAGACAAAGAAAAAGCAAAGAAAAGAAAGCAAGTGCACAAAGAGAGAATGAGGTCAAGTGGGGGAGGCAATGAGTTCAATCTGGCAGGAATGCACAGCAGGTTATAAAGATGGCCCCAGAACACGGGAGCTGGGCCATGGATGCATGCAGGGGTTTGACCTGGGGTTGGGGGGACAAGCAGGAATCTCCAGGTAGCAATCTTGGTGGTGGTGGGGTTCTGGCAGCTCTGCCTGTGGTGCAGCATCAGGGGTTAAGGACGTCCTCCAGAGGAGCGGCGAGGGAAACTAGGGGTGTCAGTAGACGATCTGGGATTCCAGGCCGCCTCCAGCCTGGCTGAGAACTGCCGGATCAAACAGAAAGCAGAGGTGATGCTTTCTCATTCAGACGGGGCTGGGTGGGAAGGAAAGGCTGTGGCTTTATGGCACACACAAAGTGTGTGGGGTCAGGACATACCGCAGATCCCCAGCTCCCTGAACCCTCCGCCTGCCTCTCCCGCGCTGGCCCAGCCCCGCAGGCAGAGGCACGAGCCATTGATGCAGTATTTGAAGGTGGCTGAACCCAAGCAGGAGGTGCAGCCTCTACCCGAGAGGGGGTGCAGGCAGAAGAGTGGGAGAGAAGCCTGGAGGTCTCCTGTGGCCAACGGGCCCCATGCCTGCCCCTCAGCAGCATGGGATGACTGGCGAACCCCAGCCGACCCCACATTTACTAGACTCCACGGCTACCGGTAGGGTTACAAGTTTAAGTGACTCTGAGGCCTAAACCTCCGCCCGATTTCTGGGGAGAGTCCAGCAGCGCGCCCTGGTGGCCAACCGTGCACCTCCCAGGTAGGGAAAGGCCCGCGGGGTCCCTCCTGCCTGCGGGATCCTCAGGCCAGTCCCGCGGGCGCTGCTCTGCTCTCAGCGCTACCCACCTGCAAGGGGCACGGCTCTGACCACAGTAGAGGGACAGCCCGTTAGGCGCCACCTCGCAGCTACAGCTCTTTGGGCTTTTCGGTTCTTTGAGCAGGAACTTAAGCCACATTCCCCAGGGACCAAGAAAGAGTTTTGGAGCACCCTTGGTGCAACCCCAGAAAGTAGCATTCGGAGAACATTGGCCACCCTTTATTCAATAGCTGAATGGTGGCTACTTTGCGCCTATTATTTTATTTCTTACCACCTCTCCATGAAATAAGTAGTGTTATTAGCCTCTTTTTACTATTAAGAACACTGAGGTTGGTTTTTTTCTTTTTTTTACATTGAAGTGAAATTCACATAATATAAAATGAACAATTTTAGAGTGAACAATTCCGTGGCAATTAGTACATTCACAATGTTGGGCAGCCACCACCTCTATCCAGTTTCAAAATATTTTTATCACCCCCAAAAGACACCCATACCCATTAAGCAGTTGCTTCCCATCACCCCACTTCCCCAGCCTCTGGAAACCACCAATCTGTATATGTCTCTACAGATTTACTTATTCTGGGTATTTCACATAAATACAGTCATACAGCACGTGATCTTTGTGTCTTGTCTGGCTTGTATTGCTCAGCATAATGTTTTCCAGGTTCATCCACTGAATGGAAGAATCAGTACTTTATCCCTTTTATGGCTGAATGATATTTCATTATATGGATATAACACATGTTGTTTATCCATTTATTTGTTGATGCACATTTGGACTATTTTCACCTTTCGGCTATTGTGAACATTACTGCTGTACACATGAGTGTGTGTGTGTGTGTGTGTGTGTGTGTGTATAATTTTTATTTATTTATTTTTTGAGACAGAGTCTCACTCTGTCACCCAGGCTGGAGTGCAGTGGCACAATCTCGGCTCACTGCAACCTCCGCCTCAGGGGTTCAAGCGATTCTCCTGCCTCAGCCTCCTAAGTAGCTGGGATTACAGGCATGTAATCCGGCTAATTTTGTATTGTTTTAGTAGAGACAGGGTTTCACCATGTTGGTCAGGCTGGTCTCGAACTCCTGACCTCAGGTGATCCACCTGCCTCGGCCTCCCAAAGTGCTGGGATTACAGGCATGAGCCACCATGCCCAGAGAGTGTACATATATTTTTGAAGTGCCAGTTTTCACTTCTTTGGGGAATATACCTGGGAGGGGAATTGCTGGGTCATGTGGTAATTGTATTCTAACATTTTGGGGAACCATCAAACTGTTTTTCATAGTGGCTGCACAACTGTACATTTCCACGTGCAATTATGAGGGTTCCAATTTCCCCACATCCTTGCAACACTGATTTTCCATTCTTGTCTTATTGTAGTCATCCTAGTGGGTGTAAAGTTGCGCTGAGGCTTATGTGGATAGGGTGGGTGAGACTGAGAAACCCAAGGCCTACAGCTTGGATAGAAAAGTGCTTTCTGCAGACCTGTCCCTCTCTATTGGCCCCACCACCTCCCCTCTAGTAGCCCATGCCAACCCCAACCCTAACTCCATAAGAGGCCAGCAAATCTTCTTTTCTATCCCGTGCCACGTGGCGAGCTCGGTCATCCTCTTTAAGCCAAATCTCCTCAGTCAGAGGGCCATCATTTTGTCTCTCACCTTAATACCAAGAACCTAACCTTGGAGCCCCAAGTGTCCTTCCTGGGCTCTGCTATGGCCCTGTGTCCTTACCCAAGATCAGCAGGTTCCCAGGGCTAAGCACACACGGGGAACAATTATTGGACTAAGTGCCATGGGACAAGCTTCTTGTGCCAGCAGAGCCTCTCTCTCTCTCTTTGAGGGAGGCAAGGAGATCCTCTGGTTTCCATCTCAGGGAGGCACTGGTCTGAGAGTGAAGGGCAGTGCCATCCTCTTCTACCGTGGGCCTTTGGAGCACTGACCCCACACCAGAGCAGGATGGGAAGATGCCCCCAACACAGTCCCCAAATGCCTTCCTCCTTCCTGCTCCTCCATGCAGGCTCTCCCCATCCATCTGGTCAAAGCCAATCTCCTCCTTGGAGACTTATCCAAGTGCCCCAGACCCTAGAGCTTCCTCCATGTCCTGACTACCCACAGCCCATGTAATCTTCTGCCAGGGCTCTTAGCAAGGAGCTTTATCTCCTGGGGTGTGACCAGTCTATGAGGCTGACAATTAGGCCTTCCTCAAAGCTCTGAAGGTTACTGGAAAATCCACTCAGAGATGAAATAAACACCCCCAGAAAGGCCAGGCATGGTGGCTCATGCCTGTAATCCCAGCACTTTGGGAGACCAAGGTGTGTGGATTGCTTGAAGCCAGGAGTTTGAGACCAGCCTGGGCAATATAGTGAGACCTCATCTCTATAAAAAGTACAAAAATTAGCTGGGTGTGGTGGTGTGCGCCTATAATCCCAGCTACCCGGGAGGCTGAGGTGGGAGGATTGCTTAAGCCCGAAGGTGGAGGTTGCAGTGAGCCAAGATCATGCCAGCCTGGGCTATAGAGCAAGACCCGGTCTTGAAAAACAAAAACAAAACACGCCTGCAGACATCATCTAGAAATTCAGAGGCATTCCACATGAAGAGCAGGAGTCTGGAAACCCCATTAGGTTTTGCCGATGTAAAAGAAGATATGGCCTAACCACACATGGCCCACATTATCTGGAGGAAAAATGTGGTCACGAGATAATGTGGGTGGTGTGGGGGCTTAGGACAGGACAGGCAAAAAGCCAGTGTGTGCATGTGGCTCCAGCCTTGCCCTGCAGAAACGGGGTCCACCTCAGCTAGTGGCAGTGCAGCTCTCCTAGTAGGGATCCTGGCATGAGCCTAAGCCATAGCTCTCACTGGAGGGGTCATACATGAGCTAGCCTGCCCACCAGGCTGGTGAGTGGGGCCCCAAGTGTGCCCGCTGCAGAGTTAGTGGGCATGGGTGCCTAGAGAGGGTGCCCCAGCCCATCCATTCCCAGAACCCAGCCTCAGGCAGAAGCTGTTCTCAGGAGGTACCGCCACCCTGTGGACCAGTTGGGTACTGCACAAGGACTACCAGCCAAAGGGCAAGCAGGAGCTGAAACCCAGCCTACACTCTGCTCACCCAAAAACTCAGGCTGCACAGCTGCAGTCACCTGGAGGGAGAGACACTCTACCAAAATATGCCCTTCGTTCTTTGAGCTTTCAGGGGTATATCTGCCCAGGAGGCTCACCTTTTCCTAACTCACACAAAGGTGGCATGAGGATGTTTCAGCTCTGGGTTTGTGCGTGACCCCAGGGCTCAAGCAGCCCAGCAGGGTATCTGGTGCACAGGGAGAGGACGTGACAGAGGGAAAGGAGAGAGCCGTGCACTGGGCTTCTTCAGGGTGGGGCTCTGGCCGGCCACTCTGGGGACACTGAGGCATGAATATGCACACTCCCATGGCAACCCGAGGTGATTGGCAGCTCTGTGGGCACTGAGAAGTATTCAGCTGCAGGACACAACTGGGTGGAGTGGGGGCTGCTGGAGCTTCAGTTGATTTACAGACTCATGTAGGATGCTGCCTGGAACGTTCAGACCTGGATAGGTGACATCCTCCAAGAGTAGGCACAAGAACTAGTGGCATCAGTGAGAATGCAGCTACACGTGCACCCTCAGGCTGTGGGCACTCCAGAGACCCCCAGCCAGGCTGACACAGATGTCAGGTGGGTTACATGCTGCGCGAGAGCCTCTGGGTGATCAGAGACTGCAAGCCAGCCTGTGCTCTGCTGGCCAAGCTGTGCTCCCCATCAGGAGGCTGTGTCTACCCAAGGAAGGGACATCTTTTTCTAAACCCACAAAGGCACTTTCTGGGCAGAAGGGCTCTGCTCAAGTGCACATGGGTGCAGAGGAGAAGGAGGCCCAGGGCTGACCCAGACTCTTCGAAACCCTGGTTCCAATATATTGCTCATCAAGCCACTTCTGGTTGACTTTTTAAAAAAAATCCTGTGCTTGTTGTTTTCAGTCTTTATTGTAAGCTGATAAGTAGCTTATCAGCTCCTGTGTGCTGGGTTAGAGGGAGTTGGTTTCTATGGGCAGTCACATTTGCATGAGGGAACGGAGTGAGGGCCTGACCAGTGGCCTCCTGAACACCAGCTGCTGGTCCATCTTGCATCTGTCCACCCAGGGCTTTCGATGAACACCATGGAGAAGCCTCTCCTCCTCTCGCCCCTCCTCCTTCCACCTTGCCCCAGCACCTGCTTCTCTCCCAACCAACTTCCATCCTGACTCCAGGCTCTGAGGAAAGAGCTGCAAGGAAAGGCGAGGCACCTGCAGCAGGTATTGGCCTCCTGGCCTGCTGGGGAGAAGGAAGAGGTGGGTAGAGAGAGGGAGGCAGCGAGGAAGCCATCAGGAAGGCAGGAGGACCAGCTAGGAGCAGGCTCACCCACGCTACGAGGCAAGGAATATTCCCCAACAAGGGAGCAGTTGGTGGGCCGCTGGGTATTGTCCCAGGTTCCCCTGCTACCCTGTGACAAAACCCGAAGGCCGCTTATCTCAGCCGTATCCTGGCTGGATGTCGCTGTGTCTCAGCTGATGTGAGATTCAGATGCTCTGAGACAGCCTGGTCATGCAGGATTCTGGAGGTTGCCAGTCCACTGGAGAAGATACGCCATAATGGCTCCACTTGGAATCTGGAGTCAGATGGGCCTGGGGCTGAGTCCTGGCTCTACCTGATGACCGCTGAGTGACCAGAGCTGATTACTTAATTTCTTTGTGCATTAGGATAACCATCTGTGAAATACGGATAACGCTAATACATACTACACAGTGCTGCTGTGAGGGTTTAAAAAGAACAGTTATTCAGGGAAAGAAATGAGATAAATGGGAGTTAGCTGATGGGGCCAGGAGTAGAAGAGCAGGAGCAGGGGCGAAAGAGGCTGAGATGAGGGTGGGGCGCCAAGCCTCCACAGCTGCCCAGGAGGTGCACTGGGATTCAGAGCCAGCAGGGGCTCTCCCAGAGGGTGCGCAGGCCCAAGGTGGTAGGAAAAGTGAGAGGAGGGAGCTCAGCGGAGTTAAACAGACACACATGAGGCCAGGCGCAGTGGCTCATGCCTGTAATCCCAGCACTTTGGGAGGCCAAGGCGGGCGAATCACCTGAGGTCAGGAGTTCGAGACCAGCCTGGCCAACATGGTGAAACCCCATCTCTACTAAAAATACAAAAATTAGCCAAGCGTGGTGGTGGGCACCTGTAATCCCAGCTACTTTGGGAGGCTGAAGCAGGAGAATCGCTTGAACCCAGGAGGCAGAGGTTGCAGTGAGCCGAGATCATGCCACCGCACTCCAGCCTGGGCGACAAGAGCGAGACTCCGTCTCAAAAAATAAAAACATAAATAAATAAATAAATAAATAAACAAACACATGGGCACTTGCCTTTGAAAGTCTTGGCCAGGCACGGTGGCTCACGCCTGTAATCTCAGCACTTTGGGAGGCTGAGGCAGGCAGATCACCTGAGGTTGGGAGTTCGAGACCAGCCTGACCAACAGGGAGAAACCCATGTCTACTAAAAATACAAAATTAACTGAGCGTGGTGGCGCATGCCTGTAATCCCAGCTACTTGGGAGGCTGAGGCAGGAGAATCGCTTGAACCCGGGAGGCAGAGGTTGCGGTGAGCAGAGATCGCGCCATTGCCCTCCAGCCTGGGCAACAAGAGTAAAACTCTATCTCAAAAATAAATAAATAAATAAAAAACCAGTCTTAGTGACCCCATCAAGGCCCAGGCCTCACACCCTGTTCCACCCTCGCCATCCCCACCTCAGCTTCACGGTCACCTGGAGCCATCCTCCCACCCCCAATTAGCCCCCTGGCCAGGCTCTGACTCAAATCTCCAGCAGGTCCCAAAGGGAGCTCAAAATAAGAGCACTGGGCTGGGAGTCCAGCACCAGGTCCTCACTCCACTCTCCACCTCCTATCCCTGTGACCAGGCAAAGTATGGGACTCTCTGACTTTCAGTACCATTATCCATTATGGACTTGTAACATTTTATAACTTTTGTTTAGCTCACACCTGGTTCCAAAAGGATTTGAGGCTGCTGGGAGGAATAATCACACTCTTGACCAACTCAAAAGGCTGTTGCAAAAACCAAATGTGGAAAATTATAAAGCACAAAGCAAGCATGGTATTATTGCTATTTTCTCCAAAAAGGAATTAGCCCACCCTTCTCTGTCCCCGCAGTGGAGTTTCTGACCTAGCTCCATAGTTGTTCAAGTCCCCTGTCGTTGAACTCTGCCTTATAAACAGCATTTAATCTCCATAGCAAACCAATACACGTGGACCCCGATATCCTCATTTGATAGATCAGAGAACTAAAGCTCAGAGTTCCTAGAAATTTTCAGGATCTTATGGCTAATAAGTGACAGCTGTGCCGTGGGATAGAGCCCGGGGATCACAAACCCAGTACCTCTCTGGCAGTGTATGGACTGGGATGGGTATAAGGTAACCGGGAGGGGTCAGGCTAATAGCCGCCTCAGAGCATTCACATTCTCGATCTCATATCAGGCTGTGCCAGCCAATCACAATCCTGTGGCCACCTCTGCCACCTCTGTCTTAACTACTGGTCTTAGCAGCCTCCCCACAAAAGCTCCTCTCCACCCACACTGCCACCAGCCAGGTCCTTGTCAATCACACCCGGGATGTGGCAGGAGCCTCCTCCATGACCCTTCTGCCTCTAGACTCACCCGCACTGATCCTTCTGCTCATCAGAGCCTGACCCTGTCCCTTCCCTGAGCACCCCACCCCTAGAGGGACCCCCTCAACCAGACACGTACCCCAGGGACCATGATAGAGTAGGAGGAACAAAGACTTTGCAGCCTGACAGTTCTGGGGTCAAATCCCAGCTCTGGCACTCATTAGCTGAGTCATCCTGGATAAGTTACATAACCTCCCGAACCTCATTCTCCCTGTTGACGCGAGGGAATATGGTGATAGATATCATGCAGAGTTCTAGGAGCTGGAAGTACATTCACACTTACAAAGAGTTCAGCCCAATGCCAGGTGCTCATAGGTATTTTACCCCACCATGGCAAATGCGTAGTAGACACACCAGCATACCCCAGCAGTAGCTTGGGACCCTGGTGGGAATGGATTGGTAGCCACTCCCCTTTGCATATCTCCTCCAGGCCTGGGAAGTCAGGGAGGAGGGCTGACTTGCCCAGCTAATAAACAGAACACTCAGGTTTAAACCCAGGTCAGTCTCTCATCTGCAAAGGGGAGACAGAAATTCCAGCTGTGCATATCTGTTGCACAGATTCAGAGAAGATGCCAGTGGCAGCAGTAGCTGCTCCAAATCTGCCCAGACTATTTAGGGAGGCAGGAGAGTTGAAGGTGACGGCAAGACCAAAATCTGAGCCAACCCCCCTGGCCCAGAGTGGGACTGCGGGGCTGAGCCATTTTAAGTAAGTCCTTTATAGACCCTGCATCTGATTCTTGGAGGCCCCACACTCACTTGCATTTAAAATGCACCCACACCCCCTCATTAAATATAACTGCTTTGCTTTAAAGGGGTTTTTATAAATTTGCTTTTGAAATTACTTGACTATGAGTAACTCATTTAATTTACTATTGGCTATGCTTTCTCTTTAATCATATTGCATATTCTGGAACTCTTGTCAAAAATCCAACTTACAAATTGTTTTCAAATATAATGGCATGTGACTTAACAAATATTGAAGTTGACATGCTACTTTCTGAAGGCATTTCATTAAACATTTGTCAATTTCAACTTTTTTTTTTTTCCATATTTTGCAGCCCTCAGAGGTTTTCTTTCAGCTCTCCCATGTTGCCAGGGGGTGGGGGTGACATTGAGGGTCTGCCGGGAGAAGACAGGTATGCGCACAAAAGCAAGGCACTTAGATCGCCCCCATTTCTAGACTTGCAGGCTGCCTGCTTCAGGCCCAGCTGCGGAAACCACCCACCCCAGGTTGCCCAGGGCATCCTAATTTGGGCAGTTTCACTCTCATTTTGAAAATATAGTGATTTCTCAAACATTGGATTAAACCTGAGTTAAGGCTTAAGCCTTTATTGGAATTTCATATGAATACATTCATAAGTGAGGCAATACTTTGATAGGGTAAATGTTCTGATGTAGGGTTTAGAAATCAGGATTATTGTCACCCTAACCAAACACCCTTACCCATCCTCTACCGCAGCCTGGGGGCCCAGATAGCTCCCCACTTGCTCCCCTCCACTCCCCCAGGAGTGGACACGGAGAGGGGACCCCGTGCAGGGCATGTGAGATGTGGCCTGGCACACAGCCCTCATACTTCCCAGTCTGAGAGCTTTAGGGACAGATGAGGGACAGTCCCCCAGGGTCGACTTCACTCAGGACAGGTCCCAAACCTTGGAAGGAGACAGGTTGGGTTGCCTATTTTATTTACTCCCTCTGCCACCCACCCTCCTTCCCCCTCACCCCCCCATTCCATGTGAGATCTGGCCCCTGACCAGGAAGAAGATGCGGGCACCTTCACACACGCAGGCACACACAGCAGGTCGAGAGGAAGGGCAGGGGGTGGGGCTCCAAAAGAGGAGAGGAGGTGGCGGGCTGGCATGGAAGGTGCAGGCAAGGTCGAGGGCAAGGAAATGACTTTTTATTTCTGCTCACATACTTTGATTCATTTCTATCAAGAACAGTAAAAAAAATTCTACCTTGGACCTGGTGATTTCACTCAGGGCATCTAGACTAAGGGAATAATCTGGAGAGATTTAGGCAAAGATAATAATAGCTAAGATTTACTGAGTTCTTGCTTGGTGCTTTATATCCAGTGGCTGAATGAATTCAAAATCAACCCGTGAGAAAAGTGCTATTATTATCCCCATGAAATGGGTGAGGACCTGGAGGCACAGCGAGGGGAAGTAACTTGCCTAAGGTCACACAGCCTGAAAGTGGTGGAAACAGAAGTCAAACCCAGAGTGCACACTGTTGGTCACATTAGGACACAGTCATTCTTAACAGAGGAGAGCTGTAATCATAAACCATGGGAGGCTCACCGGGGGTGGTGCACAGTAGTTCACATTCATATTTGCAGAGTATTTTGATGACATGTGGAAAGACGTATGTTAAAATACTTTTTAAAATAGGCCGGGGTCAGGCACGGTGGCTCACACCTGTAATCCCAGCACTTTGGGAGGCTGACGTGGATCACCTGAGGTCAGGAGTTCGAGACCAGCCTGACCAACATGGTGAAACCCCATCTCTACTAAAAATACAAAAAATTAGCCAGGTGTGGTGTCACGCAACTGTAATTCCAGCTACTTGGGAAGCTGAGGCAGAAGAATCACTTGAACCCAGGAGGCAAAAGTTACAGTGAGCCAAGATTGCACCACTGCACTCCAGCCTGGGCGACAGAGTGAGACTCCATCTCAAAAATAATAATAATAATAAAAAATTTTAAAAAGCCTAAATCATTCTTGTGATCTCAACTTAAAAATAGCATTTTAAAAAGAACTGAAAAGAATACAGAAATATGCACAGATATGCATTAAAATATCTACATATATCTCAGGCATGCAGCAAATATTTGGTGAAACTGGTAGATTATGAGTGGGCTTTTATTTCTTCCTATTTTTCTATATTTTCCAAATTTTTTTTAATGAAAATGATTTTCTTTTCAAATAGGAAGAAGTATTAAGGCCTTTTAAGATTATTTTCTCTTGATAAATATTTGAAAGAGAAATTTCTGAGAAACTAAGAAACCAGAGGCAAGTTGTTTAAAAAATAAATTGTGGGTTGGGTGCGGTGGCTCACGCCTGTAATCCCAGCACTTTGAACCCAGGAGTTCAGGATCAGCCTGCACAGCATGGTGAAACCCCGTCTACAGGTGGCACGTGCCTGTAGTCCCAGCTACTCATGAGGCTGGGGTGGGAGGATCACTTGAGCCCAGGAGGTCACTGCAGCCTGGACAATAGAGCAAGACCTCGTTTCAAAAATAAACCGTGAAGAGGCTGCTAAGGAACTTTAAATTAGTAATATTCTTAGAGCTAAGCCTCAACACACACTAAGAAAAACAGGAGACAAGAAAGTGAACTGAAGGATTCTATTAAATGACAAATTCAACAAGTAAATATGGAGTCCTAAGTGCTGGCAGACAGGACAGGCAGTTCTTGCCTCCAAAAGACCTTCTAGAAAAATCTTTTAATCCTGCTTCCTTGTTAAAACAAAGACAAGACACAGCTCACTTGTGTTATTAAATTATTCACCTACTTGAAAAGTGAGTTCCCCTCACCCTTCTAAGGGGGATCCTTGGGCAGCCGAGGCCCAGCATGGGTGAAGGAGCCCTGGACTCACCACCTCCCACCCTCATCGGGCTCCAACGTTCAATTCTGTGACATGTAAGTGGCCAGGATGAATTGGCAAGGGGTGTCTTCTGAACTGAAGGGCCTTGGGTCTTGACCAGGAGAGGGCTTGGCCAATGGGAAGTGGAGAGGGATGAGGAGAGCTTCTTCCCGGGGCACCCACTGGGAGACCCAGGGCCAGGTGCAGACCTGCTTGCTGAAAGAGGCTGGGGTGGGGGAGAGCAGCTGACAAGAAAGGAGGAGGAAGCCAGCAGCCTCCCAGCCTCCCCCTCCTGCTCCAGCTGCTCTGGCTCTGGGCAGGCCCTCAATTAAACAGGCTCATGCTGTTCCAGGGCTAATTGCTTCTGAGGCAGCCAGCCAGGGGAGGACAGGCCTCCCCAGCCAGCAGCAGGGGCAGCGACAGGCTTCTCTCTGCCCACCCAGGACCCTGCACAGCCCAGGGCACATTCCACTTTCCTTCTTTACCTGGGGAACAGACTTCAGCAACCTCTGTGCCAGGGAGGTGCTCCAGAAATTGTGTATTAAACATGGGACAGAGGCTGAGATGGGATTGGGGCGGGGGCGGGGGGCTGGAATCGGAATGCACAGGCTTGTTCCAACCTCTTGCAATAGAATCTGCCCGAGAGTTTGCAGATGTCTGTGCCACACCTTCTGCCTATTGAATCAGAATCTCTGAGAGTATGGCCTGGAGAGGGCCATCTAAACAAGACCCCCCCAGAAGACCCTGGTCTCAGGTTTGTCTGTAGGTGCATATTTCCCATCTACCAGGCCATCCCCTCAGAGGCTGGAAGAGGGGAGGAAGTACAAGGTGGGAAACAGACACCAGCCCCCAAGCTGGTGTGACAGGGATGTGTCACAGACCCGGGGCTAGGTGTTCCCCTCACAGGGAACAGGCTGGATGAGGGTTGGATGGGCATCTCCTCTCTCCCACAGCTTCTTTTGTCAGTTTCCACATGCACAACATACACATCACCCAAGCCTAGTCCCTCCCCTCAGAATGCACGGTGCCTCCATCCACAGCCACCTCCCACCACGGCGTTCCCTCTCCCAACAGAAACCCCACCTGCCTCATTACTTAAATAATCTTTATTTCTCATGCACTAGGAAAGATGGTTCGTATGAAACACTGCAGTTCACAGCAAAGGCCTCAGTCCAGAACACAACATAGGGGCCAGCTGGGATCACAATCTGGTCAAAGCTCTGGGAGCCACACTGGGAACACCACTCCCGGGGTTGAGTGGCAGATCCAGGACTTTGCAGCAACTGTGGCCCCAGACATAACACAAGGCAGCTGCCCTCTCCCACAGAGGCACAGGAAGCTGACACCCAAGGAGCACGTGGGCTGGGGACAGGACGGAGAAGGCTGCTGGGCAGTGACTTGGCGGAGATGTGGTCCAGCACCTCTGCCGCCTGCGTCTACCCACTCAGGCCAGGAAGCCCAGGCCTGTGACTGAGCTCTAGGCCCAGCTCTACCCAGTGCAGAGCTGCTGGAGTTCCACAGACCCTCAGCAGCCCCGTGCCCACAGCAGAGGTGTAGAGGTCCCCCGCCTGCCCCTCGGCTACATGAACAAGACAGGGGCCTAAACTTCGGCCCTGGCCAAGGCTTAGATTTGCCCAGGAAGGACCGGAAAGGCTAGAGGGGCCAGCCCCCCACAACCATCCCAAGCCCCTGTGGACACTGGAGAAGCCCATAGGACAGTCAGGCTTCTGAGGATCCCAGGACAGGGCCACCAGCAGGGGAGGCCCTCAATACCTGGGCCATCAGGCTCAATACCTGAGCCCAAACAACAATGAGCAGATTCCCAGGCTTTGCTTTCACTGGGTGGCCCAGGGACAGTGACATGGTAGGAGACATGCAAGACAGAGACAGAGAAGAATGGAGACATGCAGAGACCACACAGCATGGGCGGGGTCTGAGGACAAAACGTGGTAAAAGTGCTGCGATGTGGTGGGCACTTCATGGACCAGGCTCATTGAGGCCCTGGGCTCATGGTGATACCCGCCTCCTCTGGAATGGTCTCCAGCATCTCACTCTGGACTGCCTGCGTGATGAGCGCCAGCTCCTGGCACAGGGTCTCGTAGCGGTAGCCCACGCGGATGTCTGGCACATTGGTCCGGCGGATGTCATTCCCCTCAGGGCCTTCCTTGGTATAGTTGGGTCCCAGCCAGTGGCTCTTTACCTGCAAGGAGCGGGGGTAATGGGCAGGGCTGCAGCCAGTGCTGAGGGGTCATGCCCCACCCCAAGCCATCCCAGGGACAGGTCAGGACCCCAAATGCAGAGGAGGGGAGGAGTGATGCCATGCCAAGGTCCAGGCAGGCGCTGTAGTACCTTGTGCGAGAAGCCGCTCATGAGCACGCTGTTGCGGGCCAGCTCACACATATCGCAGGAGCTGAGCTTCCACACCTGGGTGGCGATGCTGTACTCCTCCATCAGCGGCTCCTGCACGGGCCAGGTTCCCTCAGACGAGTGCGCCCTGGCCAGCTGCCCCTGCCTCCCTTCCCCAGCCTCCTCACTCACTCTCCCCACCCCCGCCCCCCCATCCCCCCAACCCCCCAACCCCTCAACTCCATAAGACTTGTCAATTGGCCAGCTATGCTCTACCAGCAGGGGGCAGCACCAACCCGAGAGACCGCCCCCCCCACCGCCCCCCACCCAACCCGGGAGACCCCAGCGTCCTGGGACGCCCGCCCGCCTGGCTGCCTGCTGGGCTCTGACCTTGGTGAAGTGGAACTGCAAGGGATCATCAGTGGACAGGGAGACCATGAGGCCGCGGGACAGGTACTCCGGTAGCGGATTCCGGTGATAGCTGAGGAAGAGGCTGTTGTTGCTGAGCGGAGACATGGCGATGCCGATCTGGGCCAGGTAGTACAGGTACTGCAGGACGGGGGCCTGGGCAGGCAACAGGGAGGGAGGGCCTGTCAGGTGGCCCCGAGGCTGGGCAGGGCACAGTGGTTCTGGGGGTCCAGGCCACAGCAGAGGGCAGGGGGAGGGGAATCCAGGCTTGGCCTGATGTGCAAAGGGTGAATTAGTCAAAATCCAAGTTGGGGCCCCAGGCTGAAGGCTGGGGTGGGGAAGGGTAGTTACATTGGGAAGGCAGAATCCAATCTGAGGGCTGGGTGGGAGGAGGATCGGTTGCTGAAGGGGCCCGAATGGTTCAGAGGAAGGTGAACAATTGGGAGGGAAGGCTAGGGGTGCAGATCCTGACCTTGCGCAGAAGGAGCCCGTGGGAAATGTTCTCAGCCAGCATGAAGGCTGACACCAGGTGGTGGATGGGCCCAGCCTCCCCACAGTGTGGCCTCAGCACAAACGTGTGGAAGCCCCTCTGCCTGGGGGACATGAAGACAGTGTCAGCTCCTGAGCCTGGGATCACCTGGGCTCACCGGAGCCCCTGACCCCCACCCAGCACGCATATGTCCTCCAGCCAATAACTATGCAGGCCTGGGATAAGGGGGACAGGGGTAGATTACTGGCTGTGAGGGGTGACAGATGTAGCTCCAAGGGCAGAGAAAGAACCCATCCAGTCCAGGCAACAGGTGGGTCAGAGGTCTAGTGGCCCTGGCCCAAGGTGCCAAGAGTGAGGTTTGTTGGGCGAGAGATGGCATAGCAAGCAGACACAGGGTGGTGCAGGCACCTGCGCAGGTGGTTCAACATGGCCATGTTGGCAAAGGTGTAGTACAGGTAGTAGGCATAGGGTGGGTTGTCCTCCTCCACCCACGCCTCAGGCAGGGGGCTCTCCAGGTTGAAGACATGGTTTTCAGGCTTGGACTCATCATCCACGCTGTCAAAACCATCCACCTAATACAGAACCCTGGGGTCAGAACCAGAGCTGCAGCTGGATGCGAAGCCGGCTGCCCTCCCCATACCCAGCTCTGCGCTGCCTGCTCACGTGCTCTAAGAAGAGATGCAGTTCCGGGTGGCTGGCAGGGTGCACAGTGGCCTCGAACAGTGGCAGGAAGATGTTCTCCAGCATCTCCTGGAAGTTGGCCAGCTGGCCCTTGGTACGGTACACATCACTGCAGGTGAGACAACATGCAGGTATGTGCAAGTCAGGGCCAGTGGGAGGAAACCCAGCGGTCCAGCAAGGGTCAGAGCTTGGCCCAAGAGCGCAGGGGCGCATCTGAACCATATTGGGAAAGCAAGGATACCCAGGTGGGCCAGGCTGGACAGACCATGGATGGGACCAGGAAGCCCTTCCTTGCACTCAGAGGGGTTGGCAGGGACAAGGGAGGCTCAGCCATCCTAGGAGGGCAGGAGGCAGGCCCTGACCCCTTGAATATGACCCCGCAGGTTCCCCTCCCACTCCAGGGACACTCACAAGAGGCGGGGCACCTGCACCAGCCAGCGCACGTTGGGGGAGTGCACGCGGTGCATGACGGCCCAGCGCGCCAGCTTGTCCCACTCATCCCTCGAGCGCCCGTAAATGGAGAGCCGCAGCTCTGCATTCTGGTATTTGCTCTCCTCCAGGTCTGACATCACCTCCTAGACATGAGGTGAGCTGAGTCAGACATGAGGTGAGCTGAGTCAGAGCTCTTCAGGGGGTCATCTGCCTACCCTCCTTGAGTCTCACCCCCTAAAAGCCCCCAGATCCTCAGGCTCGAGGCTTGGCAGGGAAGGCTGCCTCCTTACCTTGATGATGTGAGCAAAGTACTTCCCAGATACCCTGTTGTCCGTCTTGATGAAGATCTCTCGGAGGACGGACTCCCCAATAGGGTTGTATTTGGCATTAAACTTGTCAAAGCGATGGAAAGTGTTCCTGTCCTGGGGGACATGGGAAGGCTCAGGTCACCCGTGACTCCTGGTCCCCTGACTGACTCAGTCCCACAGCCCACGCCACTGGCACAGACCGCATGCACATCCAGCGTGTCCACACTCAGGTCGTAGGCCGTGAGATTCATGCTCTCAAAGACCTCCCGCAGCGTCTGTTCACGGCCCTGCTCCACGTGCACGATCTCCTCCAGGTGCCGCTTCATTGCCCGCTTGATGAAGCGCAGCAGATGCTTCTGGTTCATGCAGGACGAGGCATGGATGTGGGTGTCCACCTGGAATGGAACAGGGCACTGCTGATCCACCAGAGGCCAGGAAGGTCTGGGGCCTGGGGCAGTGCAATGGGAAAGGACCCTCTGTACTGGATGCTGTGTGGGGGGCCTGGCCCTTGAAGGGGAGGCTGGGCAGAGGTGTGGGATGAGGACATGGAGACGGCCACGGGGTGAGGGCCCACCTTGCGGATGTTGTAGAAATCTCGGTGTGGCACTTTCTTCTGGGCGGCCAGCTCCTTCATCTCATTGAGTAGCACATGCATCTGGAACTTGGAGCTCAGGTACTGCAGCCGGCGGTAGCAGAATGACTTTCTGGGCATGAGGAGAACAAGGCAGGGACTTAGGCCCTGAAGGGAGGCACCTGGGGAGGGCTTGGGTAGCAGATCAGAGGGAGCAGGTGGGAGGGTAAGGATGGAGGCTGCCAAGAGGGAAGTAGACTGCGGGGAAGTCGAGGGCTCAGCAACTAGGAAGGGCAAGACACCAGGTGATGGGAGTCTGGGGCAGAACTGGGGCTGGAGAATCTGGGCTGGGAGGGGAGCTAAGTGTCTGGGATGGCAGGGGACTCACATGGGGCCATTGATAATCAGGGCCATCAGCACATTGACGTCAGCCACAAATTCCTGCAGGTCAGGGTATGGCAGCTCCACCTCTGAGCAACTGGCATGGAGGGGAGCTTGGGTGAGGAGAGCAAGCCGAGCCCTGTGGCCTCTCCCAAGCCAACGCAACCTCCCACGCTGCATCCCCCCAACATGCACCACACCCCTCTTACTGCTCGTCGGGTTCCCTGCGGGTGTAGACGTGCACCACACCCCGCACCATGCGCAGACCCAAGCCCAGGTCCCCAGGCATGGTGCTTGGCTCACAGTGCTCATACGGGTGCTGCTCCAGCGCAGGGGGGTGCACCGGGGCATCTGCAGGGGTGAGGAGGGTAAAGTCAGAGCAGGGCTCTTCCAAGCCACCCACTGCCCAACCCAAAGGCCCCACAGAGGGCAAGAGATGTTGAAGACCCAGTAGGTCAGACAGCTCCTGCCCAACCTCCACCCCTGTACCCCAAGAGGTTGGAATGAGCCTGGGTTGTAGGGAGAGGCAGGCAGGGCAGAGGTGCCCAGGCACCAGGCTGAGAAGCCCAGGAGGCTAGGGCACATGGCATGGGGCAGAGATGGGGAGTCCCACCAGCAGACACAGGGGTGTCGGGGCCCTGTTCATAGGTCCGGGTCTCCAGAGGCTTTTCAGCCAGCTGCTGCAGGTAGCGGCGGGTGGTGGGGCAGAAGCTCTGCAGGGACAGGGCCATGTACTTCTCCCGGATGAAGAGCGCCCGCACCACACTCTTGGCTGCATCCAGCAGGTCTGTGAACGGCACCTGGAGATGAGGATATGCGATCACTCTCCTCAGTCTTGGACTCAGAGACCTCCTCCCTAAGGCCTTATCTTAGAACCCAAACTATCCCCACCTCCCACAGGCCCTGACCCCCAGGAACACTCAGATCACCCTGGTCCAGCACATCAAGTGGCTCCTAGGCAGCCCCTCTGCCCCTCCGCCCCTCCAGCTGCTGGAAAGAGAAACGCCCTTTCCAGCCCCCACCCCCAGCTCTCCAGGCTGGGGGAACCCACTAAGACATAGGTGATGGCGACTCACCCAACATACACCCCATACTTACCCCACACTTCTCCTCCCCAGAGATGGTGACCCGCTGAAACTCCCGTTCCAGCACATCACGCTCCCGCAGGCTCCGGTCACCCTGCCCCTCACCCTGTTCCTTGTAGAGCCTGCAGGGGGTGCATTCAAGGGAGGGGTTTAGAGCCGGCAGAAGGGCAGGCTGCAGCTCCGCATCCCCTGTGCCCCTCTGCCCTCCTCACTGTAGGTCCGAGTCACTGTCCGTCTTCAGGAAATCTTGCTTGGCCCGAAGCAGGATGTCTGGCTCCAGCCTAGAGGCAAGAGGGGTGAGAAGTCAGGCAGATCCCGAGGGACGGCCCTTGCTCCCAGGTCCCAGCACCGCACTAGGTGCTGTGCACATGTTGTCACATGTGATCCTCAAAGGCAGAGCTGCAGAACCCTGTGCTGTTCTCACTCACTTTAGAGATGAGAAAGCAGACCCATAAGTTAAGCAACATGACCCAGCCACACCGGCGGCTAGAAGACAGAACAGAACCCAGCAGCCCGACTCCAAAGCCCACTCTATGCTCCCTGTGCAGACCCCCCAAGGCAGGGTGCGAGGGAAAGAGGCAGAAAAGGGGCTCTGAAAGGGTCTGGAAGGGTATGGAGGGAGACTAAGCAGCTGCCTGCCGGGCTCACTTGACATCCTGGCTGATCTGCCGCTCCAGCCGCTGCCGCCGCTCCTCCAGCTGTTCAATGGGGCTCTCCTCGGGGAACTCATACGGGGCACTACGGAGCTCGCTCTCAGCCAGTGAGCGGGTGAACAGCTCCTGGGGGGAGGGAAGGAAGGTCAGCATGGCTGGCCCTCCGCCCTCGGGCACTCTCCTACAGAGTCTGGGGATGGGGTGAGGGCAGCAGGACCAGGGGTACCTGGGAGAGGCTGAGGATCAGGAGACAGCCAAGCGTGAGGTGAGGGGACAGCTTGAGGTGAGGGGTGTGGGGAGCAGAGGCAGGGCATGGAGACACGGGGTGAGGGTGCGGGTGGTGCCAGGTGATACCTCGGCGATCTCCTTGCATTTGCCATCCATAGACGTGCGCAGGTCGAGCGGGAAGTGCTTGAGGCAGGGGGCGGGGCCCGGCAGGGATCGGGCAGACTGCAGCGGAGGGGCCCCCAGACCACCCCGAGCCTCTGCAGAGACAGTGATGCCAGGGTCAAAGGGTGGAGGGGCAGCCCCTGAAAGCCCTGGGCCCCTGCCCTGCCTAGGCCAGCTCCCGAGAGAGCCCAGGGTCGGGAAAGAGGGCAGTCCCTCCTCAGTAGCTGAGGAGTAGGCCTGTGTGTGTGGCTCCCAAAGGGCTCACCCTCACCTCTAACGCAGGGACCCCTCACCCATTCCAGGCTTGGGGTGGGGATTCTGAGTCTGCCCCTAGAACAAGTAGATTCATTACCTCCACAAATGAGACTAGAGCCTGATCCCTCAGGCCATGAGAATCTCCACGTGACTACCTCCCAGAGGCAGGTGCACGTGTGTACGTGTGCACACACATGCACGTACGCACACAGACACCCTCAGAGACACACACCAGGTGCTTGGTAAGGACCAGGCGGCCACACCAGGGACCCCCAGCCTGCAGCTCCCAGGGCAGGCAACCCAGGATCAGACCCGCCCCTGGACTAGCAGATTCTCCACTCAAAGGGGCAGGGCCCTGTGCCTGACATCCTAGACCTGTGCAGCACAAGAGAAGCCGCAG
The DNA here is from genome assembly GCF_000001405.40 of Homo sapiens. Taxonomy (NCBI): domain Eukaryota; kingdom Metazoa; phylum Chordata; class Mammalia; order Primates; family Hominidae; genus Homo; species Homo sapiens. The sequence goes on along the minus strand of NC_000001.11, from coordinate 109,624,742 downwards.
CTGCTGCTCAGCTCTGACCTAGGGACGAGCCCTCAAGGGAAGAGGAGAGGAAGTGGAGGGCCTGGTTGGCAAGGGAACCCTACCTCCTCCCTGGAGGCCCGCCCTGTCCCCCAGGGCCCCAGGGCTGCCAAAATGTGGCCTGGCCTTAGCCTGCCCCTCCAAAAGGAGCTGCCACAAACAGTCTATGCCACTCAGGCCCCAGGATCTGGACCGGGGGCACCACAGAGGGCCCTGGGGAAGGGAGTGTCAGAAGCCAGGGGTCTTTCTTCATCAAGACTAGACTTTCCATCTGTACCACGAGGAGGCTGGCACCAGAGGGCCGTGAAGCTGCTGGTCTATGGGGGCTGCCAAGGCTTCCAGCCTACCCCGAAGGACCCTCCCTGGGCTCAGCAGCCCCAGCTCCTCAGTGAGAAGCTTTCCACACCCAAACTGCCTCTCTCAGCCGGCTGTAAGGAGTGCTCCCCTCCAGCACCCTCCACCCTGGCTTAGGGAAGGATTACAGGATCTGCCTAGGTAGCCGGCCTTAAAGTCTCTGCGCCCATTTCCCAATACTCCAGGACTGGTCCCAAAGCTGGACAAAGGGAAGAGGGAGGGGCCTGCCCCAGATCCAGGACCCCGTCCCCTGCGCACCCCGGCCCCTGCCTGAACCCTACCTGCAGAGTGCAGGCAGCTCCGGCCAGCAGCCCTGTGCCCCTTGCCCGCCTGTTTGCCAGTGAAGCTGCAGCCGGTCCCTCAGGGGCTGGCACAGGCTGTACCAAGTGCAGCTGCAAGCAGGGGAGACCCTGAGATGGCCGTGAGCACGGAGCTAGGGGAGTTCAAGGGAGCCCAGAAACCAAGGGAAGGAGCATCAGAGTTGGGAGATAAGACGAACTCCAGAACTGAAGAGGGCCTCCACCTCTACAGTGCCAGGGAAGACCCAGCCAGATGTGAGGCTCCTAAGGGGGAGTAGCAGGGTAGGCTGACTTGGGCAGGGCAGGCCGACAGGGAGGAGCCAAGCCTCCTTAAAATCCACTGCCCTAGGGGACAGTGAGTGGGCAGGGCCTGGCTGGCCAAAGAGTAAGAGGGGAGAAAAAGGAGGGGAACAGCGCTCTTCATCACACCCACAGCCCCAGGTTGGCCTCTTCTGGCAGTGGCCTTGTTGCTCACCACTGTCCTCTGGGCCCTGATTATGGCATCCCTCAGGAGAGACAGGGCCTTTGCTGGGGTAGGAGCTGGCTGGCAGCTGGGGAAATGGCCCAGTCTAGGTAGGGGCCAGTCACTGAGGCTTCCCCGCTGCCCAGCTGCTCAGGGGGCTGGTTCGCAGGCCCCTAGACCTGCAACCCCTGATCCAAGCCTATCATCAGGGACAGGACAAACTGTCCAGAATAAGTTTGGGAGAAAGGGGGCTAGAATTTGGAGAACATGGATCTGATTCTGTTCCTGCTTCCGGGCATGTCTCTACCTACCTCTGGGAGGCTTTGGGTCCTCATCTACAAGTGGGGCGATAAGTGGTCCCTTCCCTGCCTAGCCACAACTGCCATAAGGCTCACAGAGATAATGGCTCTGCAAGTGTTCTGCAAAACACCAGGCTCTGTGTTGAGGCAAGGCCTGCAATTATGAACTCCTGGGACCCTCAAAATACATTCTACCTGTAGCCCCGCCCACTGAGGACAGTGGGAGGTTCCCTGGGCCCAGTGCAGGGCAAAGGCAATAGGCCAGTAAAGGGCAGTGAAGTGAACTTGGCAGGAGTGGAGATGGGGTGACTCTATCTCTTACTTGGAAAAGGACAAAGTGGGAAGAGGAAGAAAAGAGGGGAAGCTGTCTCACCCCCAGAGTGTAAGATCTTTTCTTGCCCGAGAACCCTGATTTTACACACCTCCTCCCTACATATGGCCCCAGACCACTTCTGACTCCTTCTAGGGGAGGCCGACCACAGACCTCCATGGCTGGTTCATATTGGGTCAGCAGGAGTTGAGTCAAAGGCTCAAATCTCAACCCCCTCTCCTAGCAGGGGGGTCTCAGGCTCCACAGCAATCCTGGGGTGAGCAGGACAGATTCCAACAGCCAGTGCCATCCCCCCAGCCTGCCAGACCACTCTCCAGGGCTGCCGCAGGCTCACTGAAGGTGGCACACGGGCAGTAACCGCTACGTTCTCAGAGGCCAGGCCTAGAAGACTCAGCTGCCTACTGGTCCTTTCTCTAGGGGTCAGCACCACACACATACACCCACACTTACGGAGAAGTCAAGCAAAAGCCAGAGTGGGCTGCTCCAGAGCCACTCCCACCAACTCTGAGATTCTGAGCACCCCATCTCCCCTCTCGACCAGGAGCCCCTCACACACTGCCACGACTGCCTCAGTAGGCACAGGGGTGTCCACGGCTTTGACCCCACAAGTATCAGATGCTCTTACCATCTGACCACCGAAGGGTCTCCAGCTCTGGGCTAGATCCGTATCAGTTGCCCTATTGCTGAACCAAACAGGGCCAGGAAGGGCCCCACCCAGGGGACACCCTTTCTGGATGGCACAGACCTGGGCACAGAGAACACCCTCAGGACAGTAGAGACCTTGCACCAGTCATCTTCAATGAAACAAAAAAATATAGGAGGTTGATACTTGGGCTATAGCTACAGACAGCTGCAAGGGTGGGGGCAGTCGGCATGATCTGGTCATCAAAGTCAGGGTGGGTCTTTCCTTAGCCACAAGGCCTGGGAGCAGACAGCAGGCAGATATCCCTCTGCAAGCACAGAGCCAGGCAGCCAAGCCCTCACTGAGACAGGCACTGCCGCACCTCACTGCCTGCTCCAAATGATGCAGAGATGCTTACTAGAGTGAGAGACGAACCAAAGGGTGCAGAAGCACACACAGTGCGGGCAGCAGCCCCAGCCTGAACCCTGCACGGACCTGACCAAGGACACCCCATACTCCTAAGGAGGCTCACAATATAGACCAGGAATGAGCAAATAGCAAACGATAGATACAGTCAAGCCCCCAGTTGTGGGATGCCAGCCAGCAATGGTTGTGCCCAGATGTCAGACCCCCAGTGAGGGGGATCTAGATGTGGGGTCCTAAAAAGTGGAACTAGCCACAGAACAGCCTAAGCCTGCCTGGTAAAGGCACAGGCGCCAGTCAGAGTGGCCAGTCCACAAAACAGTCAGTCCCACACACCCCCGCTCCATTCACACATGCTTCACACGCAGTCTTAGCACATGCACACGCTGACACGTGTGCATACACACCTCTTGCTGCACCCACACCATGCCCACTCCTTGTGACAGAGGACAGCATCCCTGGCACAGATATCTCAGATCCACCCCCCGCCCCCCACCACCCCTCACCCCACCTTCCAAGCCGGCTGTCCCTGGGACTGAGGTTGAGGGGCACCACCACAGAGAGGATGCCGGAGGAGGTGGCCCCCTCTGAGGGGACCAGCACCTTGGGCGAGAGGTGGCAAGACAGAGCCCAGCATCTATCCTGAGGCCAGGAAGCACACACTCACCTGGAGCTGCAGTGGAGGCCTGCAGGCTGGCCCGCTTCTTAAAGGGATATTTGGCCTTGGGCTTGCCAGAGCCAGATGGATAGGATGCCATGGCTGGGACCACGGCGGCGACAGCGGGGGAGTCTGAGCGGCACCGGCTGGGGCCTGGCTCTGCCACATCCAACCCCTTCCTCCGCCCCGCCCCCAGCGGGAGTGACTGATGCAGGAAGCAGCGGCTCCGCAGGCGGAAGAGGCCCTGGCCACGATTTCTCATGTTGTCTAGGCAACCTCGGGGAGTGGGGCCTCCATCTCTGCCCCTTATCCCTCCCCTGCCTCCTCAGTCCCAGGAGTGACGTGACTGATGGTGGCTGGGCCTGGCGGGGGGCGGGGAGGGGGTGGGTAGAAAAGAAGATGGGGAAGGGCCAGCCCCCAGCTCTCCACTAACCCACCAAGAGCCCTCACCCCATCATGCCAGGGCTCCCGGGCAAAGAAGCCAAAGTCCAGGCTAGCTGGTCCTTCCAGCTAGCCTGGAAGAAAAAAGAATAACAAACAGGAATTCAGCAGCGAGCGAGTCCAAGCTCAAACACAGTCCTCCCGGGGCAGGGCAGGCATACTCCGTGAAAACCCAGCACCCACTTTCCTTCCACATCTGACCCTCAGCTCCCGGGGTAGCCCAGCTCTGGGAGGAGGGGGAAGAACCGAGAATCCCAGCCCAGGAGGGAGGGGCCTGTCCCGGGAAAATTCCACCGTCGCCAAATAGCTACCTCCCAGGAAGGCAGGAAGGCCAGGAGACCCCCTTGTCTGGGGGTCTGGGACAGAGACCCTAGCCTCTTTGGATTTTTCCTCTGTCTCTGCACACTCTGGCTCTGCTCCCCAGGCCCTCCTGGGAGGAGCTGACCGCCTTCCCTAGGTCCTGCTGCTGTGCTGTGACTCCCACCCTCTTGTCACTCTGGCCACAGCACTTCTCTGTCCCAGAGACCCTCCCTCCAACACACGTACACACACTCACCTGAGGCCATGATGCCCGAGTTCCGAGGGGAGGCTGCCCACGAGAAGTCTGTACAGCAGAAAGCCCGGGTCCTGAGGGACGGCAGGGGGATCGGGCCACAGACCCCAGCCAAGTCACTCCAAGGGCCCCTGCCCTGGCACTGAGATGGGGAAAGTAAGGCAGTCTTTCAAAATTGCCAGCTGGCCGGAGGTGGACTCCCGCAGACCTCGGCAGCCGGACTGGCCTCAAGGCGACCCCGGTGTCGCGACCACCCAACCCTGCAATCGAGAGGCTGGTAGGCCACGTGCTCCCAAGGGAGCGGGACCCGAAACTCGTCCAGATTTCTCTCAACACTCCCTGGGCATTCAGGGTCGGACTCCCGCGGCCGGACTGTGGGGGAGTCACGCAACAGGTGAGACCCCACCAAAATCTCGCCGGCTCCGCGCCAGGCTCTGCGGCCCTTGGCCCCGCCCCCGCCTGGCCCCGCCTCCGCCTGCCGACCCCGCCTCGCCATTTTTTTCTCTTCCTGGGCGCCACGTGGGCAGCCACCACACCGCGGTAGGGCTGGCCTGAGCCGACCCTGGGTCTTGGGCCAGTTCCGTGCGTCAGCTTCCTCATCAGTAAGATGGGGTAATGACAGTACCTCACTCAAAGGGGTTACTGTGAAGATTAAACGTAAAGTCCCTTTACACAGTGCCTGGCACGAAGTGAGGGCCCAGTGAAAGGTAGCTGTTATCATTGTCCCAGGATTCATTTTAAGCAGAAGTCCTGCCCCTGCAATCTCACTTGGTCGTCTGTTTTCTTCCGGCCGGCGTAGGTAGGAGGCTGTGCCCTGCAATTCTGGCTCCCCTTCCCACATTTCTGTATTTGGTGGTTAAGAGCTTTAACTCTAGCCAGAATGTCTGGGTTCAAATCCAGATTTCACCTACTTCCTGACTGATACTGGGCAAGTTACCTAACTTCTCTGTGCTTCTATTTCGTCTGTAAAATGAGTGTAAGAGTACCTGCTTTATATGGTGGTTAAGATAAATGAGTTAATATAAGTTAACTGCTTAGAACTGTGCCTGGCCTGTAGTTAGTACTCAGTATTCATGTATTACCATTGCTTTAGCCTTGGCCTTGGTTCTCTATTGACACTCACAGGTTGATTCACTTGCAGCCGTTCTGGGGTCTATCCAACAAGCATCCCCACTGCCAAGGGGTAGATAATCCGACCTAAAGGGAACTTGTGGAGGGAAGTCCCTAAGACTTCACTGAATATAATTAAATGCATTAGCAGGAATTAATCTCTTCCCTATTTTCCCTCTTGTGGGAGGCCTTTGCCCCCCACACCCAGTTGTTCTAATGCTGTTTGTCTGGCTCCTCCCAGTTCTTACCACTCCCACAGCAGAGATCCTTCCCAAACTCTGCCTCCCTCTTCTCTCCCCACGCTGGATTCTGGACCCTGAACCCTTTTCTCCACCTGCATCTGGTGCCACTTCCATTGATCCCTGGCTACTGTTCCCTGAACAAACTTAAAAAAAACTTGGCCTCTTCACCTCACACAGAATCCATAAAACTAAAAAGAGAACAGAGATAACCAGGTTTACCTAATCAAAATAGCAAAGACTAAAAAACAAAAAACCAAAAAATAAACGCTAATGCAGGTTGGCAAGGGTATAGTTAGTGAGATGGGAGACACACACACACGTACATGTGCACAAACACATTACTGGTGGCCTTGAACACTGATATAATCTTTCTGAAAGCCATCTGGTAATATAGAATCAAAATTTTCAAAAAGGTTCTTATTATTTGACCCAGTAATCAACTTTCTGGAAGTTGTTTTTCTAAAAAGAGCTGCCAGAAAAATATGTATGCAAAAAGTTGTTCAGCACCACAATGTGTATTGCATAGAAAAGTTAGATACTTTAAAGGTCGAACAATAGGGGAATGTTTATGTAATATTCATACCATGAAATACAGCCATTAAAAATTGTTCTTGGAGAAATGTTTAATGATGTGGAAATGTTTACAATATAAAGTTAGGTAAAAGAATGGATGCAAAACACTATACACAGTATGGTCCTACTTATGTGATATACATGGGTAGAAAAGAAACACACCAACAAGTTTACCAATGATTATCTGTAGTGATGGAATTATGGGTTATATTTATTTTCTTTATATTTATTTGCATTTTAGAAATTATAATACATACCCATAACTTTTATAATCAAGGGGATAGAAATCAACAAAAATCTGTAAAAATCTGTAATTGCCTCCACAGTCCCCCCAACCCAGCCTTCCCGGGGTCTTAACCCCAGACTTAAACTATTCTGTTTACATTTATGGCCCACTGAATTGGTCTTGGGGCGCTTAGGGATTTTGAGGCTGATGGACTCTCAAGAATGAATAAAATGAATCTCAAAAATCAAGCACCATGTAACTACATAAATGTCATGTATCTTCTGATAAGATGCAAATGTTGACATAGTTTTAAAGATAGTATCTTGCATTGGGCCAGGTCTCTTGAGCATCCTGCTTAATGCAGACCTACCTACCTCAGCAGCCAATAGGTGGCAATCCTTGCCCTCCACCCAGCCCAGGCAAACCAGTTCATTAGTCCCTTTATGCTAGTCCCCTAGTCCCATCTGCAACACACCCTTCACTCTACAACCCTCCCCTATTTCCAGGTCATCTGGTGTATTGTTGCTGCTAGGAAGTCGGCCCTGATTATAGTTAGGCATCAATCCCTCCACCCACTCCATACCAGCAAGAATCTCAGTGAGGTTTCATTGTCTACGCAGAACAGAGCTTGGGAAATAAAGGAGTGAGTCATCCTATGGCCTGGGCTTTTTTCACACTGAGGCCTTAACATTCATTGCCTTTGAGCCTCTGAGATATTCCCTAGCTCCAAACACAGCTTCCTCCCCTCCTAGCCTGTTCCCCACATGGCTCCTTAACTGGCCCTCCCGGAATCCCAGCTCCCTAAAGATGGTGCACTCCTGTTTCTCTGAAGAAGTGCTTTTCTTTGCTTCTGGACTTCAGCTCACTTGTGATGTCCGCCTCCCTAGCTAGGCCAGAACAATCTTCACAGATACTAAACTTGGGAGAGAATATCTGCAGCTCCAAAAAGGTCCTTGGCCAAGGCAATTTCCCAAACCATACCTTATGCCTAGGCCCTTCTAGAAACAAGCTGTTCAGCTCTGGTTTCTCAGCTTCTCCCAGCAGCCAGCTCCCTCTCCCCCTCACCTCAGTCACCCAGCATTGTGTTTATAGCACCATACAGCTGTTTCCATCTATACTTGTTTATAAGACCCCAGTGGATTTTAGTCAAACCCCTTGCCATTGAAGGCGCTTCACTGGCTGGCTCCAATTTCCCTTTCTTGTCTTCATCTTCACCTCCCAACCCTCCACTCCATGCACCTTTCACTCCAGTCCAGTCACATCAAAGTCCCAGTCTTCTCTGAGCACACCTTGTACTTTGTGCCTCTACCTCTTTTTTCATGCTCTTTCCTTTCCCCAAAATGCGTATCTCCCACTTCCACTGTTATTCTGCTTCTCTGTGGAAAGTCTATTCATTTCACAATCACCCTTTTCTTTCTTCCGCTGTAGAACTTTGTCAGTCTGACAGTCAGATGTGTGTTTGATTGCCTTTCCTACCAGGGGTGAATGCTAGGTCTTAAACAGCTCTGAATTTCCCAGCACTACTGCAGTATCCCTTTAACTCATTTGTTTTTCTGTGAATTTCCCCCACCTCTGCCTATGGACTGGAAGGTCCTGAAGGTAGTTCCTCATCCTTCATGTCCTCCCACTCCATCTGGGACAAGTCTTTACCCACAATTCACTTAAGACAAGGCTTACCACGGATGTCAGACAGATCCCTTAACTCAGGAAACATGCCCAAATCACTAAGAAACAGTGATTTACTTTTCATTCAAAATGATAATGGTTATAAAGGGCTGTGAATCAAAACACCTGAGCTCTGGCTTGGCTTCTGATACCAACTTGCTTATTAATGTGAGGATCACTTTTCTGTACTTCAGTTCACTCACCTCCAAAATGGAACTAGCACTACATACCTTATTTACTTCATCAGGAAACTGTTCGTAAATGTGATCATAAAGTGGGACAGCCACAGGAAAGGCACAGGAACTGACGATAGAGGCAGAGGCAGGAGGTCACAGACATCAGGATGATGTATGCACAGTAATGGATCTGTACTCTCAGGCCAGGCGAGGGCTAGCAGTTCCCTCTCTCAGCTTAGCAGTGAGAAAGGGGAACTTCCATCCAGTAAGTTAGGGAACAAAGCAGAAGCAGCACAGAAGTTTGCAGAGGTAGTAGCAGAAAAAGGAACAAGCCCACTTTCCCTGTGTGTGAAACAACTTAGTGGTTCCTTTAACAAGGGCTGCTGTTATAGAGTTCATGCATTTGTCCATGCTTTCTCTCTCTGGCTACTTATGTGGAAGTAATAGAAAGAAGGATCACCGGTTTGTCTGTTTACTAGGCCATATAACTTTGTTTTTTTGTTTTTGAAACAGAGTCTCACTCTGTCACCCAGGTTGGAGTGCAGTGGCGCAATCTCGGCTCACTGCAACCTCCACCTCCCGGGTTCAAGCGATTCTCATGCCTCTATCTCCCAAGTAGCTGGGTGCATGCCACCATGCTGGGCTTTTTCTTTTCTTTTCTTTTCTTTTTTTTTTTTTTTTCTGAGACGGAATCTTGCTCTGTTGCCCAGGCTGGAGTGCAGTGCCTCCCGGGTTCAAGTGATTCTCCTGCCTCAGCCTCCCAAGTAGCTGGGATTACAGGTGCCTGCCACCATGCCTGGCTAATTTTTGTATTTTTTTTAAGTAGAGACAGGGTTTCACCATGTTGACCAGGCTGTCTCGAACTCCTGACCTCAGATGATCTGCCCATTTTGGCCTCCCAAAGTGTTGGAATTACAGGCGTGAGCCACCATGCCCGGCCTAATTTTTGTATTTTTAGTGGATACGGGATTTCACCATGTTGGCCAGGAACTCCTGACCTCAGGTCATCCACCCACCTCAGCCTCCCAAAGTGCTGGGATTACAGGCATGCGCCACTATGCCCAGCTGACTTTAAATGAGTTACTTAACTCTCAAGTCTCAGTTAATCTAGTCTGTAAATTGGGGACAATAGCAGTTATTGTGATAATTAACTGGTATGAGCCACTTACATTGTTCAGCAGTTATTAATTATAATAACTATAACATAATAATTATTAATAGTTCCAGGCAGCCCCTTGAACAGTGTAGCCTTCAGCATGGCTCTGGCCTCAGTGTGAGTTACCAGTATTGTGAGTACGCTGGAGCAGGGCTAGCAGTGGGGTATAATTACTGAAACCTTATAACCAAGATTCCAAGATAGTCACAATTTCAAAGAGACTCTCCTGTTTTTCCTTAAGTCAATAAGGACTTGCCAATTTGATTGGGAAAACATGGCTACCATGGAAAGCACCTCAGCAGCTGCATATTTCTCCATCAGCCCCTACAGTCACTGAAAGGTGGTGCGAAGGAGGAAGATAATTAGCTATGGCTCAGGGTACCTGATAGGCGGGGAGACCTAGATTCTACTCCTGACCTTCCCAGTCCCAACTGGCCACTGCTGCACAAGTCCAGCTCTAAAATGAAAGAGCAAATTACATCCTTCGACCTCAGTAGTTCTCCACCTTGGCTGTACACTAGAATCAGCTGGGGACGTTTTTAAATCCTTGTGCCTGGACTGCACTCCAGACCAATTAAATCAGTATTTTTTAAAAAGCTCTCCAGGTAAATGCCACTGTACACTAAAAGTTGAGAACTGTTTCAGGCCAGGGTTTTTCAAACTTCACAGATGTGATAACTACCTGTATTAGCTTAAAATATTTTCTCTGGCTCTGGAGTTTGATGCTAACATACCATTTAAAAACATACACTATTTTAACATCTCGGAAAGCAGGGTAATCTTCTAGTCAGTGGCACCTAAGACTTGAGGAAACACAGACACCAGCAACCCAGGTGATTCTTAGGATTAGGTAAGTTTAGCGGAAAACAGGTCCCTAGGGCAGTACTTCCCAATCTTTAATGTCTTTAGAGTCACCTGAGATCTTGTTAAACTGCGGATTCTGAATCAGAAGTTCTGGATTAAAGCCTGAGATTCTGCATGTCTAATGAGCTTCCGGGTGATCTGATGTTGCTGGCTCTTGATCCACATTTTGGGCAACAAAATTCTAAAACATCTCCACCTGAGGAGGCTCCGCCAGCAACACTCATTTAAGTAAACTGAAATAATTGGCATAGAGGAGTACAACCTGTGGAGTCCTAAATGTCTGTGAGGCAGTTGCTAGACTGCACCCTCATTTTTCCCCCAGGAAAGGGCAGCTGGGATGAGAGCCAGAAGGAGAGAGAGCTGCCCCAACCTTTGAGAAGCCAGAGTCTGGAGTCCAATTTCCCAAAGAAGCAGAGTTTTTTGTGTGAGGCAGCACAAACCCCACACTGAATACCAGCAAAGTTCATTTATGAAGTGAAGTTGGGACTCAGCTGGCTTTAGTGGGCCAAAGGGAAGCAACCCCATTCTCTTCACCATACACCCTTTTCCTGCATTTATTCATTCACCAAACCTTTTGATCCACAAATAAACTACAAGTTCTGAGAGGTTCAAAGATGAGTCAGATTTGGTCCGTTGAGCTCCAGGGGGAGAAATGCAGTGAGGGAAAAGATTTGTAAAACGACGTACAATATGAAGTGATAAGTGCTAATAACAGAAGTACAAAGAGAGGGGCCAATGCAAAGGAACAATGCTAGTAGCTTCCTGGAGCAGCAGCCACTGCGGGAGCTGAAACATTCCTAATCTTCCCAAGGAAGGGCACCACCCAAAACAAATTTCCTGGCCAGGACCAGCCTATGGTAAACGAGTATGCTTTGATACCCTGAAGCCCTTGAGATCAAGACCTTATAATCTGGAGGCTCAACATAAGGAATGCTTTCTACATATGTGCCAGTAATCTCTAGCTCTATGATGCAAATAAATCTAAGGAAGCAAGAGACTTTCAGGGGATGAACCCCTTAAAGGATGGAAGTAGTCGTGCATCCTATCCTTCCGTCAGAACCCAGCAGATCATTTCCCTAGTTATAGAAACATTTGAGTCTTTACCCCTTGCCATATTGACAAAGCTCTTAATTGGCTTGACCTATCACATTGCTAGATATAAAGGCTACAATCCCTAGACTAAGAAGTAGGTCTCCAGTTGAAGTAGGGAGTCTCAGTCAATGTAGGCAGAGTACAAGACCCTACAGCCTGCTCTCTCACCTGCCATCGTACAGACCAGCTTTTAGGGGAGCCAAGTTGGGATACTCAATCCCAACTTTTTTCCTTCTCTTCCATCTCACATACAGGAAACCTTACGAGAGAGGATTAGGGGCCTGAAAAAGCTGACAAGACGGCAAATATGGGAAGTGGAGCCAGTGCTGAGGACAAAGAACTGGCCAAGAGGTCCAAGGAGCTAGAAAAGAAGCTGCAGGAGGATGCTGATAAGGAAGCCAAGACTGTCAAGCTGCTACTGCTGGGTGAGTGAGATGGGAAGATGAGCCAGAGAAGGCAGGGGTCCTTCCTACTTTCCTGAAGGGTTGGTGGGTTCTACCTCACCCCATGGGAAGGAAGGGTGGCAGGTCATTTTTCCTCTCCTCTACACAGTCTGGCTAGGGGATCAGGAGATCTAGAGCTGAGTTAATATGGGGCCTAAACAGCCACCCCAAGGGGATCCAGAATGCCAAGGCTATTCCAGAGTTTTTCTACTCTTGAGCGAGGAATAGTGCAAGGGCCACCATGAACCCACCCATTTCCAAATCTAACCAAACCTAACACATCCTTTTGGCTTCAAGGACCCTGGACTTGCAGACTGTACCCAATCTGCAGAGAACTCTAAGCCAAGAAATCAGAAGAGAACAGGACCTTCCCTCACCAACAGGCTCACAAGTCCCACCATACAGTCAGTGCCAACAGTACCAGAGATAGTCCCACTGGTTTTTGCCAAGTATAGTGGTTCCTTCTTGCTTTCAGTAAAAACTTTGGAAGTAGGGGGCTCTGAGGAAGGAGGAATGGTGTCTTTATGTACAGCAGTCCCTTCCTGGCTCTCTATTCAATAGCTGCCTGCAAAGCTCCTGCCAGATGGAAGGTTCATCAACTTGATGAGCTCCTAAGCAGATCACTGGTCTGTGCTGAGAAAATAAAAGCACCTCAATTTGTCAGGGAAATTGATCACAGCTGTAAATAAAACCAAGACAAGAACATTTGAGACACGTGGCTTAGGAAAACAAACCACTGGTACCACAGAAGTAGGGTAGCTGGAGCAGGTAGGGTCTACGTAGCAGAAGATTAGATGCCTGAGCTGGGTTTCCAAGCCCCCATAAGGGATCTGGGAGCTGACGCACTAGGCTAAGGCACCTTCTTTTCCCCCAGCTGATCTGTGGCACAGTCGTAAGGACACACTAAAGGAGCATATCTTTGTAAGCTGGACCAGACTCTAAGGAGCCCAGGAGGTTACGCAGGGGGAAACAGAGATGGTGGGGCCACTGAGAGATCTTTTAAGCCTAAGCAGATTTCTTCTACATTCAGGATAAGCTGCTTAGAGGGAACAAGCACAAGCGAAATAGGAGGAGTTCGAGGCATTAGGGTAGTATAAACTCAGTACTAGAAGGTATGAGTTTTTGATGGAGAGAGCAGAGTGTGAATGAGGACATTAGGACACATTAGTCAATAAAGGGAACCCACTTAGCCCCATCCAAGACCAGGTTGAGCAACATGGTGAAAACCTGCCTCTACGGAGGGGCGGGGGGAAATGGCCGGATGCAGTGGCGCACGCCTGTAATCCCAGCGCTTTGGGAGGCCAAGATGGGTGGATCTACCTGAGGTCAGGAGTTTGAGACCAGCCTGGCCAACATAGTGAAACCCCATTTCTACTAAAAATACAAAAATTAGTCAGGCATGGTGGCATGCGCCTGTAGAGTCCCAGCTACTCAGGAGGCTGAGGCAGAAGAATTGCTTAAAACCCAGGAGGCAGAGGTTGCAGTGAGCCAAGATAGCACCACTGCACTCCAGCCTGGGAGACAGAGCAAGACTGTCTCAAAAAAAAAAAAAAAAATGTAGTCGGGCATGATGTCGCACACCTGGAATCCCAACTACTCAGGAGACTGAGGTGGGAGGATCACTTGAGCCTGGGAAGTCAAGGCTGCAGTAAGCCGAGATTGTGCCATTACACTCCAGCCTGGGCTACAAACCTGAGACCCTGTCTCAAAAAAAAAAAAGGGAACCAGCAAGGTGATGAAAATATAGTTATTTTGGTGAAATGATCCAGCTCTCTCCAATCCTACCCCAAGATCACTCTCCTGAGTCAAAAATAGGCAGAGAGGAGAAATGTTAAAGGACTCCCCCTGAATCTGTTAGTGGTTTTCAACAGGAAGATTTTGACTGCCAGTGGTCATTTGGAAATGTCTGGAGACACTTTTGGTTGTCATAACTAGGGAAGTGGGATGCTATTGGCCTCTAGTGGGTAGAGGCCAGGAATGCTGCTGAACATCCTACCATGCATGAGACAGCCCAAACTAAATAGTACTGAAGTTAAGAAACTGCTCTAAATCCAGGTTGAATGGCCTGAGCTCAAGCCTGCCAGAAATTGAGGGCAGCAGTCATCCCTATGTATTCTCCCCTAACAAGACCCCCAAGCAAGCAGTGGCTCTGACTTCTCCCAGGCCATCTCCTGGAAGGCTGAGGAGAACTGGTGGAAATCGAAAGCATAAGCATTTTTCCTTCCAGGTGCTGGGGAGTCAGGAAAGAGCACCATCGTCAAACAGATGAAGTGAGTAGAAACAAAGCCCCAAAAGACAAGATAGGGTGAAGAAGTCAGTACAGCCAGTGGAGGTATTCAAAGTGAAAGGCTCTTTAGCCTCAAGGAGCCCAGGTATAAAGGATCTGATTCCAATGCCCCTCATCTGTACCCCTTGTCCCTCACCCTCCACTTTGAGAAAGCAGTAGCAACAGAGAGATAGGATTCTTATGATCCTTTAAATACCCCCAAATTCCTAATCCCTTAGGTCTGGTTACTCAGGTCCAGCTAAAGACAGAGTGTCTGCCCCTTGCAGGATCATTCACCAGGATGGCTATTCACCAGAAGAATGCCTGGAGTTCAAGGCTATCATCTATGGAAATGTGCTGCAGTCCATCCTGGCTATCATCCGGGCCATGACCACACTGGGCATCGATTATGCTGAACCAAGCTGTGCGGTATGTGATTACTATTATGTGGTTAAGGGTGGAAGCAGAAAGGCTAGCAAGAAGAAACATACCAGAGGCCAACAAACTATATGGAAAGATGGGTAAGAAAAATAGTAACTAAAATCCCACCTGCTGGGTGGGATCTCACTGCTAGGTGTACTGTGTATACCATCTCAAGGCCCTTTACCCATCTACGCAGTAAGACCTTAAGGTAGACGGTACCTTTCTAATTAGCCTCATTTTACACATGGAAAAACTGAAGTTCAGAGAAGTTAATTAACTGCCCAAGGTCATGTAGATAAATAGCAGAGACTGCATTTGCATTGGGCTGCTTGACTACAAAGCTGAATATTTTTCATAATACACCACAATTATGCAGTCCTGGAGAAGTAAGCAACATCCACCCTTATTTTTACTGGGACAGGGTCTTCCTCTCTTACCCAGGCTGGAATGCAGTGGTGTGATCATGGCTCACTGCAATCTCACCCTCCCAGGCTTAAGTGATTCTCCCACCTCAGCCCCAGTAGGTGGGACCACAGGTGTGCACCACCACACCCAGCTATTTTTTAAAATTTTTTTGTAGAGAAGGGGTCTTGCCATCTTGTCTAGGCTGGTGTCAAACTCCTGGCCTTAAGCAATCCTCCTGCCTCAGACTCCGAAAGTGTTGAGATTACAGGTGTGAGCCACCGTGCCTGTCCTCAAGCCCTACTTTATAACACATATTTACAAAATAAAGCTGCTCACAGCTTCCTCTGCTTTTTTACTTTACCATTTAAATTGCTACCCTTGGGTTCCTGGCCATGGAACTTTTGTAAGTGAAATCCCTACTTCTAGTACTGGACTTTTTCTAGCTTTCAATCGCTGAAGAACAAAGGTGATGGGTCCCTGTCTTCTATCTTGTCTATTTCATGGTCAATCTGGCCTTTACATTTTCAGTCTCTCTGCAGCAGAGGACCCACGTTTTGTGGCGGTAAACTTTCAGACTAAGGATGGAAGCCAGAAACTCCAGAGAGGAAATACCTGGGACCCCTGCCCCGCTTTAGACACACCCCAGGGCTGGGTATAGTGCCACCCTCTGCATCTGGGGAGCATACTCAAAAATTCAACAGTATGTTTTCTTACATAGAATCTTCACTGGATACTGCTTCCATCTTAGGTCTTCGTAGTAATGTAAAATGATTTCCATTCAGCAGTATTCCCAGAAGCCTCCTGGAAAGCTATTACTCCTGTGAAGTTCTTAACCAGGTTTCTGCATTACAGGATGACGGGCGACAGCTCAACAACCTGGCTGACTCCATTGAGGAGGGAACCATGCCTCCTGAGCTCGTGGAGGTCATTAGGAGGTTGTGGAAGGATGGTGGGGTGCAAGCCTGCTTCGAGAGAGCTGCAGAATACCAGCTTAATGACTCCGCATCTTAGTAAGACTGACTGGTGAGAGGGTGGGTTGATGCTTAAGCAATCTTCTAGCCAGTCTTCTCTCTGGTTGGGAGAAACCTCACCCAACCCAAAATTTCAGGCATTGAAAGCTGGAGACCCAGACTGAATTCAGCCTGTGGATCTGTTTTGTTAGGCTTCAGCAATGTTTTGAATTTAATGCTATGGGGAGATCTGCCACAGTTGTCATGACTTTCTATTGCTTTACACTGGCTCACTACAGCCTACAAGGCTGAAGATGCAAAATTCAAAAGACGTGTTCTGCCTAGTAGCCCTCAGCCCTGTTCTCTTAATTGAGGTGTACACTAAGCCTCTCCTTCCAGAACCCTAAGATAGCCCTGCAGTTCTGTCATACACTCTCGCAGGAGTAATGTGATTCATGATGGCTCTTTCAGGGCAGAATTTTCTATCTGGTAATCTAGGATCTACTTAGGCCACTAAGCAGAAATGAGTCTCCTACACCTAGAGCATCTTATGTCACGATGCCAAGGCAGGGGACACAAACTACAAGGGCAAACCAAGGGAAGGTGGTCAGGAATTAGTACCATCATTGCAAAGCTGCTTCCAAAAAGCTAAGGGACATAATTTATCAATCCTACCTCAGACAGTATGGGATCATAGACAAGTATGGGCTTCAAAGTCAAACCTGAGTTTATTTAACCTAACCATCTGTCTCCTAATCTTGTAATAATGCTATCACTTACTGTTCCCGGAGCACTCAAAGCCCAGTCACTGCTAGGTGTACTGTGTATACCATCTCAACGCCCTTTACCCATCTACGCAGTAAGACCTTAAGGTAGATGGTACCTTTCTAATTAGCCTCATTTTACACATGGAAAAACTGAAGTTCAGAGAAGTTAATTAACTGCCCAAGGTCATGTAGATAAATAGCAGAGACTGCATTTGCATTGGGCTGCTTGACTACAAAGCTGAATATTTTTCATAATACACCACAATTTCTCTTGACCCTAGCCAAGTATTTAACTCTTCTGAATTTCTCCATCTGTAAAATGGGGATATGAAACTTGATGGCTTAGGAGTTTAAACGAGAATCTGAACATTAAAATGCCTGGCATACAATAGGCACTTGTGTTACTTGTACTTCCCTCCTCCTCTCAGTCATCTCAGTTCACATCTGCCTTCCTCTTGCCTTTTTTTTTTTTGGAGACGGAGTCTCGCTTTGTCACCCAGGCTGGAGTGCAGTGGCGCAATCTCGGCTCACTGCCAGCTTTGCCTCCCGGGTTCACGCCATTCTCCTGCCTCAGCCTCCCAAGTAGCTGGGGATACTGGCGCCCGCCACCATGCCCAGCTAATTTTTTGTATTTTTAGTAGAGATGGGGTTTCACCGTGTTAGCCAGGATGGTTTCGATCTCCTGACCTTGTGATCCGCCCGCCTCGGCCTCCCAAAGTACTGGGATTATAGGCGCGAGCCACCGTGCCTGGCCACCTTTTTTTTTTTTAAAAAAAATAACTTTTTCTTTTTTAAGGTAACTTTCAAACATACAAAAGTAGAAATAACATAATGAATTACCTTCAACAGTTATCAACTCATGGCCAATCTTATTTCTTTTTACCTCCATTCCCTACTGGATTATTTTGAAGCAAATTCCAGGTATCATTTCATCCTAAAAATGTCATTATGGATCTCTAAAATATTGACCCTTTTTATAAAAAGAATATAATCACACCCAAATAGTTAACAATTCCTTAATAGCATCAAATATCACCAAGTCGGTGTTCAAATTTCCCCAGTTATCTCAAATGTTTCCTCCCCAGTTTGATTCAGGATATAAACAAAGTCCATGTGTTGCATTGGTTCAT
This sequence comes from Homo sapiens, assembly GCF_000001405.40. NCBI lineage: Eukaryota > Metazoa > Chordata > Mammalia > Primates > Hominidae > Homo > Homo sapiens. Next base: position 109,606,793 of record NC_000001.11, on the reverse strand, counting down.
GTCTTTAAAGTCTCTTTCAATTTACTGCCTCTTGATGGAACTTTTAGCACCCACTAAATCTCATTCAAAAATCTACAAAAGCTTGCAGTCAGGGCAAACCCAAGGAAAACTTATCTAACTTGATTTAAATGCGCTGGAACTCCAGCCTCAAATGGGCTTGTCCCTCAGTCCATCCCCCATTTCCTCTAGTTAATGACATATGAAGGTTTGAAGGAAAGAATCCTAAATTTAACAATATGGCTTCTAGTCCTGATTTCTATCACCAAATTAGCTGTGTGACTTTGGGTAAGATACCTTTTACGTCTCTTAGCCTCGTCTGTGGAAAATTTGTCATTGATGCTAATCACTTTTCTCTAGCTACCTGAACCAATTAGAACGAATTACAGACCCTGAGTACCTCCCTAGTGAGCAAGATGTGCTCCGATCCAGAGTCAAAACCACGGGCATCATTGAAACCAAGTTTTCCGTCAAAGACTTGAATTTCAGGTAAGTGCATGGTTCCCTAGGGCATCTCGGATACACGTGTGGAATCCTGAAAAGGGGCACAGGCAGGCTTCTTGGCCTTTGGTGAAGCCTAATCTAAATTACTGTTCTGCTTCTCCCCCTTTTCCTCTCCCACTTCACGGGGTGACCATCAAAGGCATATAGGTCGTATGTTGGGCATACCTATGAAAATAGCTGCTTCTTCCCTCAGGATGTTTGATGTGGGAGGGCAGAGATCCGAGAGAAAGAAGTGGATCCACTGCTTCGAGGGAGTCACCTGCATCATTTTCTGTGCAGCCCTCAGTGCCTATGATATGGTGCTGGTGGAAGATGACGAAGTGGTGAGTGGCCTTTGCATCAAGCAGCTTTGGTAGAACAAGTTCTCCCCATGACCCTTTCTCTAAGCCTTGTGTCACTCTACTGCCCCAACTTAGGTAATTTCAGTCTAGCAGCCCTCCAGCAGACCAATCAATGTCTCATGCAAATAATTCTAAAAAACAACTTCTTCTGCAGGTTCTAGATTAGCATTTTAGAGCTCCAAATTTACTGACAGTGAGCTTGGTCTCAAATTAGACATCTAAGTATCACTTGGACATCACAAAGCTCATAAGAGGAATTGAGTGCAAAGAGATAAGGGACCATCAACTAGGCAAAGCAAAGGAGTTACACTTAGTACTCTCCCAAATTGCCTAAGGAAGGAGATGAAAATGACAGAACAGAGAAAATAACATATGATATGAATCTTCATTGCAACATAATAGAAGGGTTGAGCTAGTAACCCCACTTAGGAGGCTAAAAATGTACTGTCCGTAGGAGTTTAAGGAGAGACTGGCAGACCAGCTTTCTCTCATGCCAATTAAATTGGCAGCTGGAAGACTACCCAAGAGTGGTTCTCTTTAGCCTGTAGAATTCTGTAGGACAGGAGTTCTATAGGACAAGTGTTAGAGCCCAGCCAGTTTCTGAATTTGGGAAAGGTTAGAGGTGAGAAAAACGTTAATTTCACCCAAGCATCTGCTTTCTGAATTTGGGAAAAGTTAGAGGCGTGAAAAACGTTAATTTCACCCAAGCATCTGCTCACAAATGGAGGTCCACACCTTGCTGATGACCTCTGAATTTGGGAAAGGTTAGAGGCGTGAAAAATGTTAATTTCACCCAAGCATCTGCTTACAAATGGAGGTCCACAGCTTGCTGATGAAAGGGATACTCCTATCCCTTGCCACAGCTTGTTCTCTTCCCTTCCCTTTGGTAGTTTTAACTTCACATTAGAGCACTCTGAATATCGTCTAATCAAAATGTCTTACAGAGCTATTCACTTCCCATCTTTAAGCCTAAAGATTACAGTCTATGAGACTTTCCATCTTTAACCCTAAAGTCTATGAGTCTATGAGGTTTATTAAAGTCTATGAGACATTAATAAAACAAGTCTATGAGACCTTAAAGGGTTGTACAGGAGTATTATGGGGAAAAAGCCACAAATGGGATTGTTCTTGCTTTATTAGATAAGTAGACTGAACGCAAGTCAGCTGATAGTATACTTCAAAACCCTAAAGACCTGCTCCCTAAAAGCAAGCTGGGCTGGGGCAATGGGCAGCCTCTGCAGATATGCAGCCCGACTTCTCGCTAAGTAGCAATCAGAGAAGGAAATGAGAGAGCAGAAATGCTTGTGGTATGGCACTGGGAAATTCTCTAACTCTCACCATGTGGCAGCAGGACCAAAGTAGCCCAAACTGAGATCTGGGACCCCATGAAAGAAGCCTATCAAAATCATCCTGGAGATGCATATGGGCACATGCTAACTTGGGCCTGTTTCAACCCATTATCAGCACTACTTATAAAATGTCAAGTTCTCAGTTGCATCCTGGCTGCTAAAGATCTGCATAACACATTATAGACCTATATGCCAGCCACTATCATGGACAATATACATACACAATCTCATTTAGCTTTCATTGTAACCCTATAAGATAGGAAAACAGACTCAGAAAAAGCTCAATAATTTTCCACAAGTCACACAGCTATTAGAAAGATAGGGAACTAGAATGATCCCACATCTCTCTGGCTTTACTCTGGTACATTGAGATAAGCTGTTCTCTGTCTTGCTTTTTACATTTGGAGCACTGGTCTCTCCAAGGGGAACAAGAGCAGGAAGTAGGTAGATATTCTATAAGCCAAATCTGATATTTCCAATGGTGTTTCCTCTTACTAGAATCGTATGCATGAGTCTTTGCATCTGTTCAACAGCATATGTAACCACAAATTCTTTGCGGCTACTTCCATTGTCCTCTTTCTCAACAAGAAGGACCTCTTTGAGGAAAAAATCAAGAAAGTCCATCTCAGCATTTGTTTTCCAGAGTATGATGGTAAGTGTCAGGGGCTGGAAATAATAATAATGCCTTTTAGTAGAGACTGGCAATTGTCTCATTTTTTAGGCCAAGATGACACAAAGGAACTTAAGGGAGAACCTTGGGCACAGTTACAGGGTTTAAATTCAGATACTCTGGAATACAGCAGGCATTAGATGCAGGAGAGCCACTGACTTCATATGATACCTACTGAAAACCAAAGGTGGAAAGACACCTCTCCTCAATTTCTTTTCAACTAAAGTGAGAAACACTGGAGTGCAATAGAGAATCTTCCCTCCAAAAATAGGCCCCCAACTGCTGTTGTCTAATAACATTTCAAGGATCAAGTCAATCACCTAAAGTGAGTCAGCAACTAACAAGGGTTCATTTATTCTACTTTTTCACTATTTTTCTGGAAAACCAGGTAACAACTCCTATGATGATGCGGGGAATTACATAAAGAGCCAGTTCCTTGACCTCAATATGCGAAAAGATGTCAAAGAAATCTACAGTCACATGACCTGTGCTACAGATACACAGAATGTCAAATTTGTGTTTGATGCAGTTACAGATATTATCATCAAAGAAAACCTCAAGGACTGCGGCCTCTTCTAATCCTCACCATTCCTCAGGTATAAGTTCTATAAACAGGCTTGGAATCTGGGTAATTAAAAACAGAAAATTATAGTCAATATACCATGACATGAAGAATGAATCCATTCTTTGGAGATGGAGTATACATGACTGCAACTGTATTTCATACGTTCTTTTCAAAGTGGGATAGCTATTGCAGCTTAAAGAGCACAGGCCAGTAGTTAGAAGACCCCCCAGGTTCCAGTACTGGTTTTCCAACTTAATACAAAACTGTGAATACTTTATTTCTGAGTCTTGAGTCTTTCAACTATAAAATGAAGATGACTTCCCTACCTACTTTACAGGGTTATTCTGAGGAGCACGAACATAACTGAAGGGAAGGCACATAAAAACTGCTTGTGCAGGCCAGGCACAGTGGCTCACGCTTGTAATCCCAGCACTTTGGGAGGCCAAGGTGGGCAGATCACGAGATCAGGAATTTGAGACCAGCCTGGCCAACACAGTGAAACCCTGTCTCTACCAAAAATACAAAAATTAGCTGGGCATGGTGGCAGGCGCCTGTAATCCCAGCTGCTCGGGAGGCTGAGGCAAGAGAATTGCTTGAACCCGGGAGGCAGAGGTTGTAGTGAGCCAAGATCACGCCACTGCACTCTAACCTGGGCAACAGAACTGTCTCAAAAAAAAAAAAAAAAAAAAAAAAGCCTGCTTGTGCTTAGGGTCACAGAAATAAATCCTATATAAAAATATAAAAGCTGCCATATATTAAATTCAACACCTGGTTTTTAGAATAAACTATTGCAACAAACTATTCCAAGCAAAATAGCAAGGCTTCCTATAGTCTGTAAAAAACTAGTATTAACCAAACCTAAATAAACCTGCCATTCCCTTTTTACTAACAGACCTCTATGTGCCTTAGCTCAGAGATCTGGATCACTGGATAGGAGATGCGAGTTTGTTAGTTTCTAAGGCACATCCCAAAACGATCATCTTTATTAAGCAAACATTATCCCTCTGCCCCCAGGCTATCAAACAGACCTTTATCTCTACAAATGTTTCTTAGCTACATAAGATACTTCCTGAATAAACTTAGAGGACATCAAATACTCTCATTTAGAGTATTAATGAATGTATTGCTGCCGCCTCTCTATCATAGAATTTGGAACAAGTGAACAATTCTAAACTTTTCAACTGCTACGTGTTTCAGAAGAACCAAGACAGGTGAGCTTGTTTTAGGCACTGAAAATCTTTGCAGTTGGGTCCATGTGATGGTGGATGAAAACATCTCCCCAAACACGCCAAGAAGTTTTCCTTTGAACTCCTTTGAGGGGAAATGAAGTTTGCATTTATCTTGACAGAAGGGGATGAAGTTAAGTATATAGATTTAGCATTTACAACTACCAGTGAGGAAAGCTCTTGGCATCCAAGATTTAGTACATAGAAGAAAATGTCAATTAAAATGGAAATTGCTCCTTGCCAGAAACACCCACTCACACTTAGGCTGCTACTAGCAATATTAATACTAGAGAGCCATATGAGCTTGAAATACACTTAAGAATAAATTTGTAGCTATAAAAGTTAAACTCATTTAATAGTCTTTCTGATTCCCTAAAAAGAAAGCAGCTTGGGAGAATTATCCGAGAAACTACTCTGGCTACTGCTGATGAAAAAACTCAAGCCAAAGAACAAACCTGGCTGGGCACGGTGGCTCACACCTGTAATCCTAGCACTTTGGGAGGCCAAGGCAGGTGGATCACCTGAGGTCAGGGGTTTGAGACCAGCCTGGCTAACAGGGCAAAACCCCGTCTCTACTAAAAATACAAAAATTAGCCAGGCGTTGTGGTGCCTGCCTGTAATCCCAGCTATTCAGGAGGCTGAGGCAGGAGAATCACCTGAACCCAGGAGGCGTTTGCAGTGAGCCAAGATCATGCCACTGCACTTCCAGCCTGGGCGACAGTGAGATTCCATCTCAAAACAAAACAAAACAAAACAAAAAACCTGGGAAAGACTTCTCATATTCAAGAGCTGTTCAGGAACTACTCTGAATATCATGCTCCAACCATTACTAATCTGTTCACTTTAACTCAACATACAGGAGTTCTGAATCTGTTTTGTATCATGGATCCTTCCGGCAATCTGATGAAACCATGTGCCTCTTTTCATCATCATATTTTTAAACACGTAAAATTAAATTCAGAGAAATACAAAGAAAACTAGCATATCAAATAGTCTCTCTGTAGACTCGCTGGAGCTCTGAAGCCCCAGGTTAAGAACCCTTACTATACAAGCTATGATCTTGTCTATTCAGGCCCCAAACATAATTTATCCCATTTATTCCATCTCCAAATAGGATAGCCCTACTTTCCCTCAAATAGTACCAGATTGTTGATTATTTTATTAACTTTTCCTTGGTCTTTCAATCTAGGTATAAATTGGTTATTGACCAAACTATAAGTCTAACTCAGGATCCTTGGTTATTAATGTTCACACAGAACCTGCCTTATAGTACTAGTACAGAAGCAGAGCCAGTGGGACAGGTCTTCTGACAGGTCTTAGGTCAGAACACAAGTCTCTAGCAGACTAAAACATGGTTGTATTTAGTCCTCTTCTTTTGGGATAGCTGGGGGATATCCCAACTTTTAACTGGTTTATCAACAAACTCACACAAGCCACCTTGTACAAACATTATGTAAAGTGTTCATCTTGGAGGATAGAGCAACATTCTATAGCTGTTTTTTTACTGAGTTTGGGATCTGCCTATATTCATCTTATGATGTTTTCAAGCTAAAACTCTTCTGGCAAGTCTACATGAAATGCAACAGGGGCCCTTGAGCACCCATTCACCTATTACCTTAGAACACAGTCAGAATAATTTTCTCAAACCCTTGGTCCAGAATGGGCTCTCCCATGATTAAAGGTAAGAGGACTTCACCTCGATGCTCTTGATAGGCTTCCAGAAAAGGCATTCACCCTTACCCTAGCTCAACTGTTTGTCAGGCCCAACGATTGTTCCCAAACCTTACATGTTAGAGCTGCAGAAAAAGTGCATTTGTACTTTTCCTGCACAATTAGCTTATTTTTATCTCATGGACATTTTGATTGTATTCATGAAAAGTTCTTATATAAAACAGCTATAAGAAAGATTAAAATAAAAATTAAGTCATTATCTTTCTTTTGCCTCATTTTAAATTTACACCGTACTGTTGAATTTTTATTTACTTTAAGCCATCAAGTTTTTTTTTTTTTTGTAACCAGATCAGAAACAAATATTTAACCCTATTTTCTGGCATGCAACCTTAATTCTTAAGACTGCTAAAGTTAGAACAAACTTAAAAATAGTCCAGCCCCATCACTAGCAATTTATAGATCAAAAACTGAAGCCCAGGAAGGAAGAGTATCTTCATCAAGATCACAACGCTAGGCAGTAGCAGAACTAGAACTCCAGAACAGGTCTTCTCAATCCAAAGCCTGTGATGATGTCCAGCTACCAACAGAGCACCATACACTATAAAATCAAAGCCAATTTCTTGTTCTTCTAAGCTCCTCCCATTCCCAACCAAATTCTTGGTCATTTTTTCATTATGCCGTCTCTAAATCGTGGACATTTAACAAAACCACCTCCAAGCTAAGACAAATAGATCTCAAAATAGAATATGAAAACAGCATAAAATCACAAAAATATAACTAAGTTTGCTTGTTTGTTGAAGGTAAAATTTCCTCTTCATATTCTTAGAGGGAGAGACCATAATGTACTTCCCTAGCATAGCATGATTAAAGAGACATTACTAACAGTAAATCAAATGTAAATTACGTTACATTTCACATAAATCTGATAGTTTTCCTTTTTTAGACAAAAATACAATATGATTGACACAAAAGGACAAATACTATGATTCCACTTATATGAGGTATCTAAAATAGTCAAATTCATAGAGACAAAGGAAAATGCTGGTTACCAGGGGCTGAAAGAAGGTGGGGCATGGGGAGTTACTGTTTAACAGGTACAGAGTTTCAGTTCAGGAAGATGAAAACAAGTTCTGGAAATGGATGGTGGTGATGGCTGTGCAACAGTGTGAATGTACTTAATGCCACTGAACTGTACACTTAAGATGGCAAATTTTGTTATATATGCTTTATCACAATTTTAAAAATAGAAAAAATATACTATAATTAGAAATTTGTATTTCTGTGGATAAAAGGAAGAATGGATAAAAGCGGCACAAAAGTTGTCTTAAAAGCAACATAAAAGACACATTAACTTGAAACAGTTCCTACTCTGGTAATAAAATCCACTCACATGTACCTCCAAATAGTCCAAAACAGAGTATTCCTTCCCATCCCCACGGTGAGACATAACAGCATTCAAAACCCACTCTATACTTGGAGATGTGCCGTAGACCAAAGTGTGCCGGCCATGCTGGGTGGAGAAGGTGGTGAAGGGTGAAGAGCTCTTACCTCCCACTGCCCTCTCTACCCGGCACAGCCCCCAGAGCACAGATTCCAGAAGGATTTCGGTGTTGGGCCAGGGACTGCAAGTGTGACAGAGCCTCTGGTGGTCCTGCTAGGTAAAAGCATGAAAACATTTCTGTGAGGTCAGAAGACACTGGAGACTGCAGAAGGGAACTTTTCTGTCTTTTTGCCATGAAAAAGCACTAGTATAAGCAGAAAATAGACAGCTGGATTTAAATGTAAAACAAAGCAAAGACCTTTTCACCCTGCTTCACGAATTTTAGAGCAATTTATAGTTCAACTTCATTTCAGGTCTTCAAAATGAATATGGGCAAAGTAATGCTGTAAAAGACCACCCACTACGTTGAATACCTTTGTTGGTGCTGCCTTAGGATTTTTTTTTTTCTGTGCAGTATAATCCTGAGTATCATAACATTTACAAAGCATTTTCAAATATGTTATTTCTATCTGATGAGAACCACAGAATATCACAGCAGGAAGGAATAATTTAGTCCATCTTTAGATAACAGATGAGTGATTTAAGACTGAAAGAATACACAAGATTCCATAGCTGGTTGGAAGCAGAGACAAGACCAGAACCCAGCATTCCAAACAACTCTCCAACCTCGTAAGATTCTGAGAGGTCTCAGGACCTTTATCCTACATGAGCAAGAATAAACAGAACAGGTGATTTCTTGTGTTTTGTTGTATCTACTGGAAATCTCTCTTACATATAAATAAGCATCTTAGTAAAAATGTCTGGATAACCTAAGGAGAATTTTGGGCGTAGGGAGAGGTAAAAGATAAGAGGAGACAGATAAACCAGGTTGTTCATAATTTAATATTCCTGCTGTCACAGATTTTATAGCTTAGTGAATGCTGGTACACTGAGATACTTCTATCCCAGCAGTGTATTAATATTTATTATTTGATTATTTCTGGTACCTTGTGATTCTCACTAGATTTCAGGAAAACACTAGCACTGGGCATACAAAGGCTTTTACATGTGACTCAATCATTCCCCTTATATACCCCCGTACCCATTTCAAAACGACTTTCATTCTAGTTTAGAGCTAGCTAGCTTTGCTTTCTCTACCAAGTGTAAATAAATATTCATGTTATTACATATACTGTTATCTGTCACAGGGTTTTATCTTTAATTTGGTGTATCTTTCAATTTTCACTGCATAAATAAATGCAGTAAAATAAATGAAATGAATGTTTGGACATCCTAGGTTTCTTGTTGTCTTAATTTTGTATAAAACTAAATACTCTGTATCCAAAGTGTAGGAATGTTATGTGACCCAACAGTTTTCAATAATTTTCTTGGTGGAAGGCACTTTAAGTCATGTACAAATGGTACTTCTTATTGGCAAAAAATAGATCACTCACTAGTGATTTTGAGCTTATTTGTGCACTGAAGTTGCTTATTTTCAATATTTGTGTTGACTTTAAAAAAAAACAAAAAAAAAACAGACTCACTCTGTCGCCCAGGCTGGAATTCAGTGGTGCGATCTCGGCTCACTGCAACCTCTGCCTCCCAGGTTCAAGCGATTCTCCTGCCTCAGCCTCCCGAGTAGCTAGGATTACAGGCATCCACCACCATGCCTGGCTAATTTTTGTATTTTTAGTAAAGACGGGGTTTCACCATGTTGGCCAAGCTGGTCTCAAACTCCTGACCTCAAGTGATCTGCTTACCTCGGCCTCCCAAAGTGCTGGGATTACAGACATGAGCCACTGTGCTCAGCCTGTGTTGATCTTTAATATAGATTGAGCATTTCAAATCTGAAAATCCAAAATCTAAAATGCTCCAAAATCAAAAGCTTTTTGGGTAACAACATAACACTCAAAGGAAGCACACACTGGGGCATTTTGGATTTCAGATTTTTGGATTTGGAATCCCGAACCAATAAGTATATAATGCAAATATTTCAAAACCTCACAAAAATCTGAACTCTCAAACACTTCTGGTCCCAAGAGATTTGGATAAGGGCTATTCAACCTGTATTAGGTCCTACTCAGTTGTCCCCAAATGTTGGCCCAGATTGGCTACATCAAAATCACCTAAGGAATGTATTAAAAACATGTATATTCCCATGACCTGGCTCAGACATTTTAATTTACTAGGGTTTAGCCAAAGAATCTGCTAAATCAAATTAACCATGTACCCCAGGTAACTACTGCTGTTTAACATTCCTTCTTACCTCTTATTCCTGAGAAGATTTGAGTCAGCCCAGGCCTAGGCCTGATATGGTATCAGAAAAAAAACTGCCCTGAGTGGGTGGAGTGGTTCACATCTGTAATCTCAGCACTTTGGGAGGCCAAGGCAGGCAAATCACTTGAGGTCAGGAGTTTGAGACCAGCCTGGCTAACATGGTGAAACCCTGTCTCTACTAGAAATACAAAAGTTAGCCAGATGTGGTGGCACATGCCTGTAATCACAGCTACTTGGGAGGCTGAGGCACAAGAATCGCTTGAACCTAAGAGGCAAAGGTTGCAGTGAGCAGAGATCGTGCCACTGTACTCCAGCCTGGGCAACAGAGCAAGACTGTCTCAAAAAAAGAAAAAAGAAAAACAAGAAAAAACTGCCCTATCCTGACATGTTCTGAAGTATGTTGTTCTCAGCAGAACTAACTCATAAATGTTGAGAAAACTGGGGGGAAAGGAGGGAGAGAAATGATCTTAAAAACTAAAAGATAAAGGCATAAAGACCTTGATCATCATTAAAGTTAGTTCTCCAGTGCCTGAAAAAGGCTTTCTTTTACTCCCTGATAGTTGTCAGCAAAATCAACTTTCAACTTGAGGTCTCTAGGAAGCCTGCCTTTTTCTCTTGTGCTTGTTGGGAGCAATACAACAAAATATGATGATCATAAAGCTATGTAAAGAGCTGAGGCTGATCCAGGTCAGATCCCTGATTTGCACTACGAAGCCTAAAGTAGAACACAATAATTACCTGGCACTGGCAAACTAAGATCATTGCTCTTAAAATCAGTATTACACATGAAAAGGAAAGAACCCACAAGTACTAACGCTCAAGGAAAACAGTGACGTTTTAGGTTTATACAAATGAGTAGAGGGTTGCTTATTTTTTTTTTTTTGAACATGTAAAAAGGGAAAATAATCAATGGTAGCTTTTTAATAGGAACAAGAGACTGACTTTACCTTATATATGACTGCAATACAGCAAGGAGTTCTGCAACAGGAAATTCCAGAACTATGTCACACATGCTAAGCAAATGAATAAATTATATTAAGTAACTAATCAGGCCAGGCAAGTAATGTCCAAAGAATGTCACAGCTATAAATGAGAGAATAATGAGCAGAATATAAGAATATAGGGTGAATGAATGAATTACAAAAACCAGCTGTTATTTTAAAATAGTCTAATGTGTATATACAACAAATAGAATATATATGAAAATTAAAAAAACAAGGCAAGAAGTTTTTTTTAAAATTTTGGTCCATCTAGTCTTACATTGTAAGAATGTAGTACCTTGTGAAAAATAACGATCCATCAGTAAAAATTTAAAAAACGATTCACTGTGAACTAGAGATTTAGAATTCAAACTGTCCAAGATGAAAATGTCATCTCAAGATCCACTTATGAGTAATTGTTAAAGTTTTTGGAATTTTCATGCTAGGAGGTGAAATCTGTTGCAAAGCTGAATTTATAAGGTTAGGGGGGACTGTCCATTAAGAATACTTCTTCTTTACACAGAGACTAATGGCTTCTTTGATGGTCCAAAGCATAGGCACCTGAATTCTGAAACATTATCCATCACAAATCTCCAGCATTCTTCAGAGGAAACACACAAGGCAACTTTCAGCTTCTTTGATTACAAATGCCAAAGTTTTTTTTCAGGCTAGTAGATTTAATGTTTCATCCCACATTTTAGCCCTGCTACAAGAAAATATCTTTTATTTCAATACAAACCAGTGATTTGCAAGCCTGGCTGGTAATCAGAATCACCTTTTAAAAATTATAAATTGCCAGCCAGGTGCGGTGGCTCACGCCTGTAATCCCAGCACTTTGGGAGGCTGAGGCAGGCAGATCACGAGGTCAGGGGATCAAGACCATCCTGGCTAACACGGTTAAACCCCGTCTCTACTAAGACATACAAAAAAATTAGCTGGGCGTGGTGGCAGGAACCTGGTAGTCCCAGCAGGAGAATAGCATGAACCCGGGAGGCAGAGCTTGCAATAAGCCGAGATCGCGCCACTGCACTCCAGCCTGGGCGACAGAGCGAGACTCCGTCTCAAAAAAAAAAAAAAAAAAAAAAAATCGATTGCCAGCCCACCAGCCAAAAGTCAATCCCTTAGATGGGTCCAAGTGATTTTTACTTAAGTCATATTAAAAACTACTGACTTAAATTGTCTCCCTGTGTCCTCAAGGAATGTGCATTTAGATAAGTTATTTGGGATGGTGAAATAAGAGTGATCTTCATGTTAACAAACAGAGAGCAAATGTAAATGGTACAGAGGCAGAAAAATGGGGACCTGCTATTTTTCTTTAACAGAAGGGCTAAAAATTTAACATATCAGATAGATATTCAAATGAAAATACAAATTCAAAGTAAAATGAACTTTTTTGGATTATTGGTTATTTTAGATTATCAACAACACCATTTCATTAGTCCACAGTATAGAAAGACTACAGTTGAAAATAATATTCCACCAGGTCTCATTTCCAGGATCCTATATTACAGAATACAATAAGGAAAAGGTATATTCAAAATGAGTAACAACTACCAACCCTGTTTACATTGTGGGCACTGAATCAATCGCCAATTGAAGCTGATAATTTTCTTTCAGATCAAGTTTTCCCACACCTAAAGAAAATTCCATTATATAATACAGTTATACCATCTGTAAGCTATGATTTTCCAAAAAGAATCACAAAAAAAGTTAAAAACTACCAACAAAGGCACTGAACTGCTATGACTTGCTTTTTTTGTTGACCACCAACCTTTTTTTTGTAAACTAGTGAAAAGTCACATCAAAAGATGAAATAGAATCCAATCCAAAAAGATTGGACCCCAAAAGGCACTGCCCAAACTACTGATTTGAAATGCTCAAAATGCATTCTCTTCATTTGTCTTCCCCCAATAGAGCATTCAATATTTAATGACATTTGCTGTACATTATACAAAAGGGTCTGTAGGTTGAAGTGAACGTAACTTTCCACACAAGCAAAATGTAAATCTGCAAAATGAATCATGATCACATATCACTCATATGCAGATATAACATAAAACCTAAGGTTCAACAATACTATTACACCAAAAGACTAGACTTTCAGGAAACCCTTCTACCTAAACCCATTCTCAGACAAAGGCTAAAGCACATTCTGCAAAGGCAAAAGGAAACAGAAGACAGTATTTCCAGAAAAGACTAGTTACAAACAGGAGCAAACCTGGGCTCTTTACTCACCATTTTAATACTGCCGCCAACTATAACAGATTAAAAATGTACACATGACAAAGTGGAAAAAAGTCCCAAAATGCAACAGTTTCAGCAAAAGAACATACTGGCTAAGGATTACTACAGTTAACATCGGTACAGTAAAAACGATGGCAAACAGGGATTTGGCACCACATTTACAAAGTAAAAGCATGCACTGTTAATACACTTTAGATGTTTCTCAACAGAAAAGGCCATGAAGATGGAAAACAAGAGGCACCATGTACAAAACTCCCTATAACTGAGACAAACAAGCAAGAATCAAAGTGGTCAATTTAGTAAATATGTAGCAGCAAAGTCACTGGTTCTGTTTGGAATTTAGCAATTTGCATTTCTGATTGGCAGCTGCCCTGGGTGTGTCTGTATCCAAGAAGCTGACTTTATCATACTACATCAGCAGTAATTTGGTAATCTGCACAAACAAGGTTAACCTTCAACCATAAGCTTAAAGAAAAGAGAGAACTAGAATCTTATTGCAGAACTTTCCAATGTAATTACCATATGGAAACCATAATGGTACTTTGAGCAGGATAATAACATAAATTTCATTTAAAAAGTTGTATTTATAGCCCCAGTAACCGGAAAGAATTATAAGTAATTATGGAAGTATTATATTCTGACCATACCAAGAGTTAAAAACAAAGAGTTCCTACTAAAGAGGAATATTTTCAAGATGATCTGGTCACATCATGTGCATAGTTAAGATTGTTTGTTTTAATAAAGATTCTTTTGCAAATAAAGAAATAAAATTTAGTAAAGTTATTCTTCTCTTGATGAAAAAACCTTAAAAATGAACCACTGGTGGTTTAAGAAGGGGGGAAAAAAAGAGTAAGCTACATATTGAAGTTCTAGAATGCAGCACCTCAACTTCACATCTTCCATAAGCATTTAAGATTAAGAAATCCAAGTGATGTCTTGACGATCGAATCACACTTTATAGTTCTTCCAATTCCAATGTCTGACTTTAGCATCTCATGTCAATTAAAAGTTCCCTAATACAAAATATTGTGCTAAAGAGTGCTAAGATTCTGCATGCTGCTGCCATTCCCTGGTCCCGTTCATGCTTGTAGCTGCCCCATGAGACAGCAAAAGGTGTCTGGTCTCAACACTCCACACTGTAGTAACTAGAAGAGAAGAATATTCTTAATTAGAAAAAGTTTAAAAACCAAGAGACATCACTGTAGCACTATAACTACCTTGTATGAAACTTTACCTTTCACTAACATCCATGCTTCTCAATAAAGTCCACATTCCTTTAAGTTGTTTTTAATGATGACATCTGTAACAGCATCAAAAACAAACTGCACATTCTTCGTGTCTGTGGCACAGGTGAAGTGAGTATAGATCTCCTTGGTATCTTTTCTTCTGTTCAGATCTTCAAACTGGCATTGAATATAGGCAGCTGCCTCTTCATATGTATTGGAACCTAAAACGGACACCCAGTACTCTCAGTTCAAATTGTAACAGCTGCCTGAACTCAACTAAGTCAGACCATTACCATTTACTTATGGAGAGGGAACATAACCCAATTAAATATGAGTAGAATTCTCTATTTCTATAATCATTAGGTGTTTCTATAATTAGGTTCTTCGTGAGAGTGGACTCTCATGGTAACAAAATAAAATCATCAAACACAAAGATTGAGGAAAACATAACGTTAAATTTCTCTTTACCTTTTCATTTAGACTTTTCAGCTAAAAAAATCTAGAAAGTATAAAAGGAAACTAGGAAAGTAGGAAGGTGCATTTCTAGGGAACACAACTGCTTAAAAGGTCTGAGAGAGGCTGTGTTCCTTGGAGTGATCTTGGAATAAAAATTCAACAGGGTAGTGCTTGCTTTGGTAGCACATGTACTAAAATTGGAACAATACAGAGAAGATTAGCACAGTCCCCGCGCAAGGATGACACGCAAATTCGTGAAGCGTTCCATATTTTTTAAAACAACTGGGTCGGATCATGCTAAAAGGAGATAATATTACTCTGCTACAAAGTGTCTCCAACTAGAAAGGATCAATGAAGTGAGAAATTGTTGAGAAGGATACAGTTTGCTTTTAGATGTCCTTTTTCCAATATGAACATTCATTCATAGTGTTTTGATTACCCTTATGTTACTAAAAGATGGCAATAAACGCTATGGGATTGTTTGTATTAAAACAAAAAAAAAAGGAATTCAACAAGGTAAATTGTTCTTTTCAAAATCATTCCACAGTTTTAAAGAGGTTTAGCTTCAAAGCCTTAAGGTAATAATTTAAATAAGGAAAAGCAATACACTTTAAAAGAGTGAATTTTAGGGTTTCCCAATTATATCTCAATGAAGCTATTATTTTTTACAAAAAGAAAGGTGACAGGAACCAAAAGCAAAGCCTGTCTCAACAATATTTGTAATTAATACCCTTAAATCACCTGCTTTTTACACCATCTTGTCTACTTATAGAACCTTTAGAGTAGCCTTAGAAACTGGCTATAAAGCCAGGGAAACGCAACAAAGACAATTCATTATTCCAATAAACTACAGGCTATTTTCAGTAACGTGAAGCATAACAAAAATATCAATAACAAAGATATAAAGAAGACCAGGTAACAAAACGGAGCTTAAGAAAAAAGGAGCTGGGTGCGGTGGCTCACATCTGTAATCCCTGCACTTTGGGGGCCGCAGCAGGTGGATCGCTTGAGGTCAGGAGTTCAACACCAGCCTGGCTAACTTAGTGAAACCACATCTCTACTAAAAATCAAAAAATCATTAGCTAGGCCTGGTGGTGGGCACCTGTAGTAGAGCTGAGGCACAAGAAGCACTTGAATCTGGGAGGTGGAGGTTGCAGTGAGCCGAGATCATGCCACTGCATTTCTGTCTGGGAGACAGAGCAAGACACTGTCTCAAAAAAAAAAAAGGAAAGGAAAAGAATATTAATTAAAATATTTAAAGAACTGAAGGAAAACAGCTTTGTAGGTGCTTGAAGCAGGTTCTTAAAATCTGGAAAACAACCTCTGTAAATTAAAGGAGGCAGATGAGTGAAAAGTGAATTTTGTCTGCTAGGAACAGATAATAATACCTGGCAAATAAGGACCGTAAGAATCTGTACACAGAATGAAGACAATGGAGGATAGGCTTGGAAGTTAACAACAACAAAGAAAATGGAAATGATATTAAAGGCTCTTTGCTTTGTGTGAAGACTCTAAGCTGGGCCTTCAACATTAATGCCAATTATTTTACTTGTCTTACATCTCTCTCCCCCAATCCTAAAACTTGGTTGCTTTCTATAAACTCACCTTATTCTCACCTCCCTCTGTTCTTTACTCTGAACAGGTAACCACATTTCCAACTTCCTTGATAAAACAGAGGCCATGAGGATTAAACTACATCTCAACTTTTTGGCCTACCACCTCACTCAAAATGTTACATATCTGCACTTATTTGTACTTCTGGTCTTAGAGGTGTCTTACTTCTTGCTCAAAAATCAATTGCTCTACCTATACTCTTTTAAAAAAATTATTGAGGAAAATTAACATAACAGATATTTAACCATTTTAAAGTGTACAATTCTGTGGCACTTAGTGTATTCACAATGTTATGCAATCACCACCTCTCTCTAGTGACAAAACTTTTTCAACACCCTATTCCCATTAAGTAATCACTCCCTTTTCTTCCCATTCTCCCACTTCTCATAACCACTAATATTCTTTCTGTCTCTATGGACAGAAATTGCCCTATTTTGGATATATCATATAATAGAAGTATTGGCCTCTTTTACTTAGCACAGTGTTTTGAGTTTCATACAAGTTGTACCATCTATTATTATTCCTTTTCTTGGGTAAGTAATATTCATTGTATGTATATAACACAATTTGTTTATCCATTTATCCTACCTAGACTCTTAATTCCTTTTTTCCCACCTGCTTGCAAATCTTGCTCCTTCAATTACATCTGTTTTTTAATGTATCTCTTTTGCTTATAGGATCTTAGCCCTCAGCCTATAAACATTCTTAAATCTCTCCCTTCCCTTTAAACCCACGTTGCTCAAGAGTAGTCTACACTTGTCTTCTTTCTTCACTTTCCATTCTGTAACTCACTGTACTCAACTTTCCACTGACACTGCTCTCAACAGCAGGTCAACGACCTCCTAACTGTTAACTCCAAAGGCTCTTTTTCAGTATGTATCTTACTTATCTGCAGATAACACTGTTGACTGAAATATTTAATCAACTCACTTTTTAACCTCTCCTTTTGGTTATGATATCTTTCTTCCTCTCCTGCCAATAGAGGCTGCTATTCTCTCTCGTTCTACCTGTGGTCCTTTTTCTCCTCATTCTATAATATTATCTCCATAGGTCATTTCACCCATTTCCATGTTTTCACTACTGATGATCTCAAACCCCAACCTCTCCTCAACCTCGAATATAACTGTCCATGAGATATTATTTCAACGTTCTATGAATAATTAAAAATCAACATTCCTATACATGAATTCAGGTCACAGCACCAGCATCCAAGACAGAAACCTGGGAGTACCTCTGACTCTTCCCACTTCCTTACCCCTGCTTTACCCCTTCACTTTATTGATTGATTGATTGATTGATTGATTGATGGAGTCTCACTCTGTCACCAGGCTGGAGTGCAGTGGTGCGATCTCGGCTCACCGCAACCTCCGCCTCCCGGGTTCAAGCGATTCTCCTGCCTCAGCCTCCCGAGTAGCTGGGATTACAGGCGCACACCACCATGCCCAGCTAATTTTTCTATTTTTAGTAGAGACAGGGTTTCACCACATTGGTCAGGATGGTCTCGATCTCTTGACCTCATGATCCACCTGCCACGGCCTCCCAAAGTGCTGGGATTACAGGCATGAGCCACTGCACCCAGCCTCACTTTATTATAGAAAGCATTTACAGTGTCTCTGCTAATAAGAGTTCCCCTTCTCTGGAAATACCTGATTCTGATCTATAAGTTTCATAGTGATCCATCCCTGGCAGTTACATTTGTGCCCCTGACCTCAACTGATTGGCCTACAGATTTCTGCCTGACTTAACCACGGCCAGAATCTCTCTCCTTGGAATTTGAAACCAAGGCCAAGCAATCCCAGTCTAGTCTGATCTTTTTTTTTTTTTTGCTCAGTCGCCCAGGCTGGAGTGCAGTGGCGCGATCTCGGCTCACTGCAAGCTCTGCCTCCCGGGTTCATGCCATTCTCCTGCCTCAGCCTCCCGAGTAGCTGGGACTACAGGTGCCTGCCACCAAGCCCAACTAATTTTTTTTGTATTTTTAGTGGAGACGGGGTTTCACTGTGTTAGCCAGGATGGTCTCGATCTCCTAACCTCATGATTCACCCGCCTCGGCCTCCCAAAGTGCTGGGATTACAGGCGTGAGCCACCGCGCCCAGCCTAGTCTGATCTTTTTACCAGAGATACAGAAACTGTGACTAGGCTGTTATCACATAAACTGAATAGCAGAGAAAGCTGGTTAGGAAAGAAAGAATAATAAAAAAGATACACAGAGAGGAGAGAAAAAAGATGGGGATAAAGAGTGCTTCCAGGGTTCCTGACAATTATTTCCTAGTTCTAATTCCATTCTAAGACCTGTCCATTCTTGCCCTTGGGTTCTATGATATATCCCTTAATCCCCATCAAAAGTTTTTATTTCCATCCTGAGTTCTTACTAATTCAAATCCCCTACTATCTATCTTTATTATTTATTGCATAATCTTTCTCAAGCACAGTTTCTTCTATATCATGCACCCCATGATATGGATCATGGTAGGATATTAAACCTTTAACTGATCATCGTCTCAGCATGAGATATAAGGCCCTCCATGAGTTGATCTCTGACCATCTCTCCAACCACTTCTTCCCTGCCACTGTAAACTCTAGTAATACCAAATTCCTTCTGGGTTCCACAACTGGTCATACCATTTTCCTACCTCCATATTCTCATATATGCAATTCCTCTTTTCTAAAATGCTTTTATTCCCGTCTGCCTGATGATTTCTATTTCATCCTCTTAGTAGCTCTAGAAAAAGACTACAGTGACCCCATCAGAAGTAACCACTTCTATTCCACTTCTATTAATGCATATTTTACACTATAATAAAATTATTTATGTGCAATTAAACACTATAATAAAATTATTTATGTCTCTCTGCAACTACATGTCAGTCTCTTGGGCACAATGATTAAAATTTACCCTTGTATTTTCTTCAACATATACCAAATTTTACTTTATTTTTTGTGAGGCAGGGGGGTGTCACTATGTTGCCTAGACTGATCTCAAACTCTTGGGCTCAAATGATCCTCCTGCCTCAAGCTTCCAAGTAGCTAGAATTATAGCCACCATGCCCAGCTCCCAAATTTACTTTTTCTCCTTTTGTATTTTCCTCAAAAAATGAAGATAGAAATTTAAAATAAACACAGAAAACTCAATTGTGTCTGATATGGCACTCTTGACTTAGGGGCTTTTAATCACAGGCTTAATGCCAATGCCACTACCACTGAATACTCTCCCAATCAATCATTAAAAAAAAAAAGGCAGTTTTATGAATGCCACCAAAGTGTTGATCTAAGTAAGATGTGTACCTCCAATAAAATCTTTCATAACCCCTTACCTGTGTATTCTGGATAACAGATAGTTAACGGACTCCTCTTTATTTTTTCCTCAAAAAGGTCTTTCTTGTTAAGGAAGAGAATGATTGAAGTTTCTGTAAACCATTTGTTATTACAAATGCTGTCAAACAGTTTCATGCTTTCATGCATTCGGTTCTGAAAAAGAAATAAAGGATGATAGGTCAGTAGCAAATAGTAAAAGTGGATTAAGTTAATGAAAAAGACAAACCAACAAGTTTTGCAGCACTAAATGGCATTCACGGAAATAAGTCAAACACCAATAAGATAAAGTTGAGTGTCAGTCCTCATTTTTGTAATTTTTGGGGGAGAGGAGGTAGGAGGAAGGGCTGGCTAACATCCTTTCCACATACTCAAGGTGGCTATAACATCTTTTTTAGAGTAATAGGGCACAGATCAAAAAAATTAAAGATACTAAGTTTTGGTTGAATGAGGAAATGGATGCAGATAATCTTCCTAATAAGTTATTTTCCATTTCCTGGCTACATTAGACAGGCTTTTTACCAGAAGCTCCAACATACCATCTCCTCGTCCTCAGCCAGAACAAGGTCATAATCACTGAGGGCCACACAGAAGATAATTGCTGTCACTCCCTCAAAACAGTGAATCCACTTTTTTCGTTCTGATCTTTGGCCACCTACATCAAACATCCTGCGCAAGGGGAAAGAAAGCAAATTCAGCAAGGTCACACATACACCTTCCCCTAAACTGAAATGATTAGGAAACTTCCCACTATTACATATTCAAAACTTCATTTATAATAGAAGAAAAAGAATAGATTAAATGCAGTCAAAATAATTATCCTGGCTAAAAGTACAAGACAACAACATGAGAAAATAAAACTTGTGAATAATCTAGATTCTCATTTTAGATAGCTGAGCCTCTTCTCTATCAAAGCTTGTACCAGATGTGTGAAAAGTCAGCAGAATAAGCACTGAAATGGATTAAAGGAAGGAGGGGAAAAGACAGGAAAAGCAAAGAGCTAAATAAAACAGTTTGAGATAATAATAATAATGGTATATTTATTGAGTGCTTACCATGGTGCCAGACACTACTACTAAACATCTTAACTCATTTTGCCCTTGTAACACTCCTAGAAGTACTATTATTATTATCCCAATTATACAGATAAAGAAATTGAGGCACATTCAATGTTAAATGATTTGCTCAAAGGTACACTACTAACAAACAGGGACTGGGGATCTGAACCTAGGCACTCTAACTCCAGCACCCATGTTCTGACTCTCAAAATGGTTTGCCTCTAAATGCCCTATTTGCACTCTGCTTCCATAACTTCTCCCTATTAAGTTTGTTTTCCTTACCTTAAAAAAAAAATTAGAGATTAATTGTAAAAACAAATAAATTATATTTTTATGGTAGGATTCTATGAACCCAATAACTAAAAAACAGCCTTGACCAATATTTCCAAACTCCGAGTCTTACTTAAACCTAATTAATAAAGTCTCAACTGTTCACAAACTTTATGTTACACTCCATATTAGTTTTAGTCCAATACTGTCTTCTGGGTGACTTACTTGGTATTCTGAGTCAACTGCTGAACTTCTATCAACAGCATCCTCAACTACCTCCTATAGTAAAAAGATCTGCACTGCTTTGTGTTTTAGCTGATACTTAGGTCTAATGATGTACACATGCAAATTGTTACTTGTGATCGGTGTTTGAAGAAAATGACACAATTTTTAAAGGCTAAACTCTGCCAAACTGGTTTAATGTATAAGATCTATAGTGACTAGAGGCCTACATTTCCAGAGATGTTTTCCCCCAGAAATTGAAAGAAATAAGACACAGTTGGTGATTTCTCAATGTATGCTTGAAAGGAATTATCTCTTTATGACCCAACTCTTCCTTTGGGTTGATCTTGCACGATTCTTTTTGACCTTTGGTCATGACACCTGAAATGATGTAATCACAAGTTGGCTTTAATATAGGGTCACAATACAGGTTTTAGGAAGGCTAACATCATATATTTCACCATGGAGGTCTCAAGGGGAGACACACCAGTAACTTCAATTTACTCCCCCATTTTCTTCTACAAAGTCTGTATAACACTGTGAAGTTCCAAGGTGGGCTTTTAGCACATATTAACATTTACAATATCATTCACTAAGAGATCAACATTTTATAAACATTACCTCATTAACTGAGAGGCAAGTAAGCAATTACACAATGCCTTGCATATGGTAGATGCTCAATAAATGTTTGAATAAATGGATAGTAGTTTTGCCTAGAGAGAAGAGGAAAAGGAAGAAATGATAGTACTTCATAACAAGATATCTACATGCCAACAATCAAGTAGGTGTGGCACCTTAATTAGATCTGGCTATTGATCATGGCATAAAAAGACAGGACAGTTAGGATTTGCCTAACTAAAGACTGATTTATATAACAACACCAATAAGAAAGTTTCCAACACTAAATAATGATCACAACTTTTAATTATAAGTAGATTACAAACCTTATACAAAGAAATCTCATTCTTATGGTCTCACGAGTGATAATCCATGTGGTCTTTGCTGCTCTTGCTAAATAAATTCATCAGTACTAAAGATAAGCAGCAAGTCTATTCTAAAAGCATTCATAGCTGAACTGCTATTTTCCTGCACCAGGAAAAAATCTAGTTTGGTGTATTAGGATTTCAAGACCCCAACTGGTATCTAGTAATACGTAAACCCTATGTGGATTTCACAAATCCTGTGGAACAGTTGTTTTCAGAGAAAGAACTGAGAGGATTTGAGGTAGTAGTTACATCTGTATGCAATAATAACAAACATCACATTCTACATATAAGCATAATGCCATAACTAAAGAACACATGGTATATTGAAGGGGAAAAGTTTACTCCTAATCTCAAAGGTCACAAAAGAAGAAAATGGGAACCAAAATAAACATTTCTAATATTTATAAAAGACCATTAACACAGAGACAAGCTGAGGCTTGTTTTAGAATTACTAATGTTGCTGGGTGTGGTGGCTCACACCTGTAATCCCAGCACTTTGGGAGGCCAAGGTGGGCGGATCACCAGGTCAGGAGATAGAGACCATCCTGGCTAACACGGTAAAAGCCCATCTCTACTAAAAGTACAAAAAAAAAAAAAAAAATTAGCCGGGCGTGGTGCAACGCACCTGTACTCCCAGCTACTCAGGAGGCTGAGGCAGGAGAATCACTTGAACCCGGAAGGCAGAGGTTGCAACGAGCCGAGATCGCACCACTGCACTCCAGCCTGGCAACAGAGCAAGACTCCATCTCAAAAAAAAAAGAATTACTAATGCTAATGAGAAAGTTATTTGTATTAGAATACTAGAATTTTCTCTCTCTAAAACAATCACAGTTGGGCTGGGCACGGTGGCTCACACCTGCAATCCCAGCACTTTGAGAGGCTGAGGTGGGAGAATAGCCTGAGCCCAGGAGTTTGAGACCAGCCTGGGCAATAAAGAGAGATCCTGTCTCTACATAAAATTTTTTTAAAACATTAGCCAGGCACAGTGGCATGAGCCTATAGTCCCAGCTACTTGGAAGGCTGAGGCAGAAGGATCACTTGAGCCCAGGAGGTCAAGGTTGCAGTGGGCTGTGATCACACTACTCCACTCTAGCTTGGACGACAGAGTACGACCCTGTCTCTAAAAAAATAAAAATTTAAAAACAAACCAAAAAAATCACTGTTTATATGTCATCTTACCAACCCAAAATACCTCTATCCCCAAGTCTATTTTCCATTCTGCACTGTATTAAGAAGTTAATTGTACATGACACTATGCACAAATTACTTTAAGAGCCATGACAATACTTGCTCCATTCCATTCAACTTGAAGGGAAATTCAAACCAATAAGAAGT
Source organism: Homo sapiens (assembly GCF_000001405.40). Classification (NCBI taxonomy): domain Eukaryota; kingdom Metazoa; phylum Chordata; class Mammalia; order Primates; family Hominidae; genus Homo; species Homo sapiens. The sequence continues at coordinate 109,583,013 of NC_000001.11, read as the reverse complement.
GACACTGGTGAGAAAAGCATTTCTATTTTAAATCAAAATGGCAAAACAAAACCATGTAACTAACCGAAAAAAAACTGGTTTTCATAAGTTTAATATTGTTATCCTATTAAACATTCAATATCTGAATTGGTGAGTCTAACAAAAAAGCAGCTGAAAATAATAAAATTAAAACAAACCAGTTATCACAGGAAAAATTTTACTGGGAGGCAAGTTAAATTTATTTTTGAATTTAAATTCCTCTAAAAGGACACAAACATTTGACGCTATTTGGAGAAACAAGAGATGTTTGGGCCCCCATTCAGTTAAAATATTCAAACAATGCTGATAAATATGTTAAGTTTAAACCAAGGAATACTGCCCAGAGAAATTTTACCCTGATTAAGAGATGGTAAACTAAAATGAAAGATACTTGTATTTGGCACACCTAGCAAAAAGGCTAATGACTTACTTGAAGTATAGGTCTTTGAAGGTGAAATGTGTTTCTACAATGCCTGTGGTCTTCACTCTCGTCCGAAGAACATCTTGCTGAGTTGGAATGTAGTTAGACTGGGATATTCTATCCAGATCATTTAGATAACTAAATAAAAGACACGTTTACTTTTACTTGGTGAAGCCAACCATGTGCATAGCAAATGAACAGACTAAATTAGTTCCTATTTTAAACCTGTTACTAGTTATTAAGTGGCAAAACAGAATCAGATCTTCAGTATCATAGAAATGATAAGCCAGGCATGGTGGCTCACACCTGTAATCCCAACACTCTGGGAGGCCAAGGCAGGAAGGTCGCTTGAGGCCAGGAGTTCAAGACCAGCCTGGGCAACATAAAGAAACCCGTCTTTACAAAATATTTTAAAAATTAGCTAAGCATGGTGGTGCATGCCTGTAGTCCTAGCTAATCCTCCTACCCTTGAGTGAAGCAGGAGGATCACTTGAACCCAAGAGGTCAAGGCTGCAGAGTGCCACTGTACACCAGCCTGAGTGACAGAGTGAGACCCCCGTCTCTTAAAAAAAGAAAGAAATAATAAGAAAAAATATGAATCCAACATAGGACAATTAAAGTATAGAGTCTATATATATTAACAAAAGTAGGTTTTTTTGTTTTGTTTTGTTTTGTTTTGTTTTTTTGAGACAGAGTCTTACTCTGTCACCCAGGCTGCAGTGCAGTGGTGCGAACTCGGCTCACTGCAACTTCCGCCTCCTGGGTTCAAATGATTCTCCTGCCTCAGCCTCCTGAACAGCTGGGATTACAGGTGCCCGCCACTACGCCCAGCTAATTTTTTGTATTTTTAGTAGAGATGGGGTTTCACCATGTTGGCCAGGCTGGTCTCAAACTCCTGACCTCAGGTGATTCGTCTGTCTCGGCCTCCCAAAGTGCTGGGATTACAGGCGTGAGCAACCGCGCCCGGACACAAAAGTAGGTTTAATTCTACAGAATTAAATTGTGAAGGCCAATTTAAAAAATTAAAACAATAGGAACAGGAAATGTTCTTATTAAAGAAAAATTCCTGAAATGTAATACTAAATCAACTGTGTACTGTATAATATCAAAACCAAACTATACCAAAAGTCCTCAGACAATTAAACTCAATAGGTCATGCGTGTTTAACCATTTGACAGGACATTAGAGAATGGTGTTTGATTAACTAAAATTGAGAGAACTATAGTGAGTAAGAATATTTTCCGTTTTCTTTCAGTAAACAGAAGAGCTGGGGAGGTCTGGGGTTTTTTTTTTTAATCTAAATCAAAAACAAATTGTAAATACCTCCAAAAAAATTAATTTGTTCAGGGAAATAATTAAAAGACTGCTTCAAAACTGTATTCTTTGCTGATTCCAGGCTAGAAAACTGATGAGCAGATGGCACCAATGTAAGTGAATCATTAATGATCTATAAAACCAAATACTATCACTAATGTAAAGAGGCAAGCTTAGATCAACAGTTATGAAAATCTCTATAAGCACATGTAGTTAGAGGATTCAGAGCTTTCTGAATGAAAGATGAAAAAAAGCAATTATAATCTACCTTTGATGACCACTGGTAGAATTATTTAAGCTATCAATACTTGCAACTAAGATGTTATTAAAAGGTAGGCAAGAATCCTGAAACGTTTCTAAAGCCAAGTTCTCATTGAAAGAATAAGCAAGTTTTCAAATACAGTCATGTGCTGCATAACAATGTTTTGGTCAACAACAGACTGTATAAATGTATGCTAGTGATCCTGTAAGATTATAATGGAGCTGAAACACTCCTAGCCCCAGTGACATCATAGCCATTGCATTACCCTTTTATATGTTTAGAGATGCTGAGATACACAAATACTTACCATTATGTTACAATTGCCTACAGTATTTAGTACAATAACATGCTGTACAGGTTCATAGCCTAGGAGCAACAGGCTATACCATATAGCTTAGGTGTGTAGTAGGCTATACCATCTAATTCTGTGTACGCATACTCTACAATGTTCACACAATGACAAATCACCTAATGATGCATTTTTCAGAAAGTATCCCTGTCCTTATGCACAGCCTGACTATATCATTTAATTTCTTCTTGTAACAATTTAAGCTAGAATCATGACGTGAAAAGTAGGAAAACAGTAATATTGGAGAAAAAACTTTAATGCTTAAACGTGCCCTCATCCAGTACAGAGAGAAATACAGATAACAAGTGCTCACCAGGCCCCGCAAAAGTACATTAAAAAAAAATACATTCCGGACCAGGCACGGTGGCTCACGCCTGTAATCCCAGCACTTTGGGAGGCAGAGGTGGGTGGATCACGAGGTCAGGAGATCGAGACCATCCTGGCTAACACGTTGAAACCCCGTCTCTACTAAAAATACAAATTAGCCGGGCATGGTGGCGGGCGCCTGTAGTCCCAGTTACTTGGGAGGCTGAGGCAGGAGAATGGTGTGAACCTGGGAGGTGGAGCTTGCAGTGAGCGGAGATGGAGCCACTGCACTCCAGTCTGGGCGACAGAGCGAGACTCCGTCTCAAAACAAAAAAAATACATTCTGAATCTAGGTTTCATAAATAAGTATATGTAAAAGAGGTAAAATAGGATAACATGTAATAGCTTAATATAAGTATTCATTACAAATTCTCTAAAACTATATTAACACTCAAGATAATATCCTTGACAAAAAGATACTTCAACTTCATTCCATGACTCAACCTTCTCTTTCTATACAAAGTCTACTACTGTGATCTGGCAAAAGGGTTACTAGTGAAGTCCATAGTGCGGCCCAGACACAGAGAGCTGGCTGCATAAAAAGGAATACCACTATTCTAATTTCCCTCTCTAGCTGGCTATCAGTGCCAAGCCCTTACACAGAGGGAACTTATGAGTTGGAACAGATTCAGAACCCAGCCACAACAGATGTCTCTCCTCCTTCACTTGCTTATAATAAAATGCCATGGAACTAATTTTGTGGTGCCAAGTCTCCCATTTACATTCCAAGAGGGAACTTTTTTCTCCAAATCATACAAATGACCAAGGGCTCTATAATCCTAAACTTAGACAATTTTTATAAAGTATCCTATAAACGTCTAAGAGTGTCTATTACTTAAACATTTCCTTAAGTGGGGACTAAAATTTCTGTAGTGTCACCAAGTTATTCTCTGTTATAGTTTCACAGAGAAAAATTACTTACTATGAAGCAGAATCATTGAGCTGATATTCCCTGGATCTGCTGAAGCAAGCTTGTACCCCACCATCTCGCCATAACCGTTTAATCACTCCTGCTAGTTCTGGAGTCATGACTCCTTCTTCAGCACTGCCAGCTAAAACAAATAATTGCCGGGCATCATCCTGAAGAAAGCAGTTAAGAAAGAGACAGATGACTCTCCATTTCTTTAAGACTTGATGACAGTCTCTTTAAAATATAGACACATTACATGTTATGTTAAAAGAGGTGTTGTTACAGAGACCTTTTCTGACAGGCCAGCATGACAGAATTTATAATTAAGTCTTTCCTTATTCTCATTTCACTACAGTTTTAAGTCCAGAACTGAGCTGAGGAATGATTTTACTTCCCCACCACTCCTCCACACACCACCATCCCCAGAAAAGATCATTTCTGGCCAGCCCACAAATCTCCATCCAGATTGCTAATAATTTTTGAGAGAAAAAAACTGGTTTATGAGACAGGATTATGTAAAACATTCCCGTTCTATTAAAGGAAGCCTACACTAAAAATAGAAATAAAAAGACTAGCACATAAGAGGTAAAGTCTAAACACCTCAAAGGGAGTAAAACATTAATCAAGTTTAAGAAAAAAGTATTCTCTTCTTTGCCTTCAGCCCAGACAGTAGAACAAGAAGAGGAGATGGAGGCACTTAAGGTCTAGAAGCCTAATGGGGGAAATAAATCCCTCAGGGAAAGATTCAAACAGTCCCTAGATTTCCCTAAAGGAATAAGGAATAATAATAATGTTCTGAGAGAGGGAAAGGAAGGGAGCAGGAGGAAAAGAAAGTAACCATAACTTCATGAGTCATAGCCATGGTTTTCTTTATTTCTTTTCTTTTTTTTTTTTTTTTTTTTTGAGACGGAGTTTCGCTCTTGTCACTCAGGCTGGAGTGCAATGATGTGATCTCGGCTCCTTGTAACCTCCGCCTCCTGGGTTCTAGCGATTCTCCTGCCTCAGCCTCCCAAGTAGCTGGGATTACAGGCATCTGCCACCATGCCCAGCTAATTTTTCTATTTTTAGTAGAGAGGGGTTTCGCCATGTTGGCCAGGCTGGTCTCGAACACCTGACCTCAGGTGATCCACTCGCCTCAGCCTCCCAAAGTGCTGGGATTACAGGCGTGAGCCACTGGGCCCAGACATAGCCATAGTTTTCTAGGTGGTTATAGTTTTTAAACATAAAATATGTGAGGGAGAGGACAGAAATGGATTATGAGATTTTTATTGTTTTCCTTTATTCTATCCATCCCTACTTGTTGGTTTAAAATTAAACACAGGTCTCACGGGATGATTTTCCCATCCACATCTAATATTTATCTACCTTGAGAGATTCCAAATAACTATAAAAATAAAAAATTTAAAAAGTATATAACGTGTAAAGAAAAAGTAAAGGAGAAAGGGGAGCAATCATTTGTATCTTAAGTAGTCATCAAGACAAATAAACTAACAAGCAAAAGTCATTTCAGACCACAGGTGAACTCACAACCTAAAACTCCAAAGACTTGTGAATTACCAGAACTTGTGCATCCACCTTAGCAAAACAAAACCATCCATGGTGCACTCAAATTATTTTTGCCAAACTCTGGGTCTCCAGCTCTAATGGTTTTTACCTAGTAATATTTCCTCCTTTATGATCCTTTCCTGTATTCTTTCTAGTAATATTTAGGCTCAACCCACTCTCATTTAGCTTCTGAGATCAGGCGCATTCAGGGTGGCATGGCGGTAGACTAGGCTCAACTCTAAGACACCTTAGCTGGTCGGGCATGGTGGCTCACACTTGTAATCCCAGCATTTTGGGAGGCCGAGGCGGGTGGATCACAAGGTCAAGAGATTGAGACCATCCTGGCCAACATGGTGAAACCCCATCTCCACTAAAAATACAAAAATTAGCTGGGCATGGTGGCGTGTGCCTGTAGTCCCAGCTACTCGGGAGTTTGAGGCAGGAGAATTGCTTGAACCCAGGAGGCGGAGGTTGCAGTGAGCTGAGATGGTGCCATTGCACTCTAGCCTGGGCGACAGAGCAAAACTCCATCTCAAAAAAAAAAAAAAAACAAAAAAAACACCTTAGCTAAGATCTATATGCCCCTCCCTTTCTTTTCAAAGATAAAATTTTAAACAAATGAATGAGAAAAGTTGAAATATTAGACAAATTGGCAAACATACTCAGCAGTGAGCATGTCCTTGTACATATGCAAGGTATGGTGCTTTATCTAACATGTGAAGTCTTCATAATCCCCTGGTTCTGAAATTTGACCTATACCCATGCACGTATTCAAATAACCTTATTAAGCACTACTTTAAAAAAAAAAAAAAACAGAAAAAAACCATGACTCTAATTTTAGAAACTTCAAAAGAGAGGGAATTATTACTACTTTTTTTGCTGTCCTGACTCTTTAAATATTCTTTTAGGAGCAAACACTTTTTTCTTATCACTTAATTTCTTCCACTGACCTGCTCTTGCTTCCCCACAATAAACCCTCTCTAAAGGTCTATAAAGAGGTGCCTCTTGGCTGGGCATGGTGGCTCACGCCTGTAATCCCAATACTTTGGGCAGCCAAGGCAGATGGATCACCTGAAGTCAGGAGTTCCAGACCAACCTGACCAACATGGAGAAACCCCCGTCTCTACTAAAAATACAAAAAAATTAGGCGGGCATGGTGGTGCATGCCTATAATCCCAGCTACTCGGGAGGCTGAGGCAGGAGAATCGCTTGAACCCAGGAGGCAGAGGTTGCGGTGAGCCAAGGTCACACCATTGCACTCCAGCCTGGGCAACAAGAGTGAAACTCTGTCTCAAAAAAAACAAAAAACAACAACAAAAAAAAAAACAGAAGAGGCCCCTCTTTACAATAAACTTCACACCTCCACACTTAAGCAGATGTGAAAAAGGAACCTATTCCACACTCAGCTCTATTTTTTTTCCATTCACACTCTCTAACCAACTATAAAAAACTAGAGTAGAAGCCGGGCACAGTGGCTCACACCTGTAATCCCAGCACTTGGGGAGGCCAAGGCAAGTGGATCACCTGAGGTCAGGAATTCAAGACCAACCTGGCCAACATGACGAAACCCCATCTCTACTAAAAATACAAAAATTAGTCAGCCGTGGTGGCAGGCGCCTGTAATCCCAGCTCCTTGGGAGGCTGAGGTAGGAGAATCACTTGAATCCAGGAGGCAGAGGTTGCAGTGAGCCAAAATCGTACCGTTACACTCCAGCCTGGGTGACAAGAGCAAAACTCCGCCTCAAAAAACAAACAAACAAAAATACTAGAAGACAATAAGAGAGGAGCTATAAACATAAAACCTTACACACAGAAGGAAAAATAAAAAGCAATGTTTAAAAATTATAATATAGGATTACAGACTAGGTTGTGTGGACACCAGAAAGCTGGATGATTTAGGAGGCCTGAGAGGGACTAATGATGTCAACTGCATCTGGTGACACAAGAGTATTAGGATACAAAGATTAATGACAATTGATTTGATAATGGAAAGAAATGGGGCCGGGAGCGGTGGCTCACGCCTATAATCCCAGCACTTTGGGAGGCCGAGGCGGGCGGATCACAAGGTCAGGAGTTCGAGACCAGCCTGGCCAACATGGTGAAACTCCATCTCTACTAAAAATACAAAAATTAGCTGGGCGTGGAGGTGAGCGCCTGTAATCTCAGATACTCAGGAGGCTGAGACAGGAGAATCGCTTGAACCTGGGAGGCAGAGGCTGCAGCCAGCCATTGCATTCCAGCCTGGGCGACAGGGCGAGAGTCCGTCTCCAAAAAAAAAAAAAAAAAAAAAAAAAGAAATGAAAGGGTAGGGAGATAAATAAAGGAAGACAGACGGCGGGGAATAAAATTAAAGAGGGAAAGAGAAAAGGGACAAACTAAAAGAATAAATAACTGAGACAGAGAAAAAACCAACAGAGAGAAGGAAGAGAATAAATACAGTACTACTGACCAGTTACCAGATACAACAAATACAACAGAGAAGTAGAGTTAGGTGATAGGGAGAAATGAGAAAAGGGAGGAAGAAAAAATAAGACCACAGATAGAGCTGGTATAAAGAAGAAAAAGAGGAAAAGAAGGAAACAAAAGCAGGGGGTGAGAGAAGGAATAGGAAAGGGTAAGACAAGGATAAAGGCTTTATTTTTGCTTGACTGCCAAACTTCCCTGCTCAGATGCATAGAAAAATAGTCTCTGTGATATATTTCACAAAAATATAAAAGTCACATTCACATATTTTCTTATTTTTTGATACAAGTCTCTCATTTCACAATCCCTAATCCAGCTCCTCTTCCTTTATGCCATTTCTAAGACACTTTCTAGTCTAACACTATCCAACTGTGACTACCCTTTCAGTATTTCCCCTCAACAATTTCCTATCTTTTTATCAAATATAAATTCGCATTTGATAAGTTGGGAGTGGCTTATGAGAGTTCCTAAGCAACTTCATAGACATATAGGTTTTGCCTTTCCAGGCAGACCTCCCAAATCATTTCCTTTTATTTCGCCATGGCACATAAGTATGACACTCTGAACACAGCCAGTGAGTCCCTTAGATGTAGGAAATAATTCTATAATTTCCCAGCCTTCTCTGGATTTTAGCTGATAATAATATCAAAGATCTCCTGCCTTCATATTGGCACCCTCCCCAATGGCATAAAACATCCTAATTACACATGCTCTAATTTTATAAACTAGATCTTCAGGGTCCACTAAGTATTATTATAATAATACAACTTTTTAAATAGCTGACATGTGCAAGGCATTAAAGAATTATACTAGGGCATGTTATACTCCAATTCTATAGCCTTAGGTTCCATGTAGTATACAGTATTCTTGAATATCTGACTTAGATATTCAAGAATTTGGACTTAGTGCTCATGTCCTTACAGAATTTATTCTGGGAGACTGATTTTGGCCTTTAATCTGTACACCTCAGAAAGCAGAGCTACATATCATGGCAACCTTTCTCTTAGATTATTTTAATGTACTATTATCTACTACTATAAAAGTCAACAGTGCTGTTAAAAAAAAAAAAAAAGCAATTGAATAGAACAGTTATCCCAGAAACCTACCGTGCACCCACAGAATCCCATTTCCTAGGCTCCTCTTGGGGTGGTTATATCTAACACCTGCTAAAGTAGATTGCTAACATTTCTCAAGTGAGCACAAAGTACTTTGCTACATTTTATCTTGTTGCTTAAATTCATTTCCCTAAAACATGAAGCAAAAATTTTGCTTAACTTAACTGTATCTGCTGAATAAGAGCAAGTGAAGAGGAAATGAGAAACACTTACTGCCCTGGCAGCTTCCCCAAAGTCAATCTTTAGCCGTCCCATGGCTCTTATGATTGCAATGATGGACTGTATAGTATTGCTGTAGACAACTACTTTATATTGTTTACATTCATCCTCTGAATAGCCATCCTCATGAATGATTCTTTAAAACAAAGAAAACCACAAGTCAATACCATGGACCTAAAATGAAAAGATACTATGGACTTTATATGCATTAGGAGAAATCCTAGTCTAACAAAACGCTACATTCCAACTTACTTCATCTGTTTCACAATGGTGCTTTTACCAGATTCTCCAGCACCTGTAAGAAAAGAAAACCAGACTTTGAATTTCTCGGTAATCAACATAAAAGTATAATATCAACATGAATGATAACTCTAGATTGATGAAAACCACGGGTCCTAGGGAAAATTTTGGTGAGGCTTTCATGTCTATCAAGAAAATGTATGGAGCTTCTCCACTACAGCATTTTGCTTTCTTTACATAACTCAGCAACCAAGTATAATTTATTGAAAGTGTCCTAGGGCTTGCTTGGTATCATTTGTGTAAAATAGGCATATCCAAGGACAGATGGCAACATAAACTTTTGGAGGAACTCATTCACTACATAAAACATGATATAAACACTGAACATGGGCAAAAATGAAATCATTATTTTTTGGTCTATTCATTTTTATTAATTCCTCTGTTGCTGCCTGCCTATACCACAGAAATGTTCTGAGAGCAATACTACCAGTCACAGGACTAAAGATGTTTCAAATAGAAGCAGAAAAGGCATTGTTCCTATCAATTTCTCACCATATGTCATCTCAAGACCACCCTGCCCTCCTTAGCCAGCTGGAATCACTTTAAACAAATGACCACAAATGTCAAGCTAGCCTTCTGACCTCCTTGACAAATCCACCTGCTAGATCTTCCCTAGTCAACTCATTTTCCTATCTTCCAAGATGCCTATATCACACCACCTCCTCTCTCTCAAATTTTATAAACCCCCTCCCAATTCTGACTCTCAACTGATGATCCTACCCTACTTTTCCATAAAAATTAAAGCAATCAGAAAAAACTACATTTTCCCACAACGACATCTACCAGTCTATCTGTACCTCCATTAATATTCTCTACCTTCATCAATGGATGAAAAGTCTCTGCCAATGTTTTAAAATCAACTTCTCCCCTTATGCACCTTCATTTTACCTACTCAAGGTCATGGCTGCTGCAATTTCCCATGATATTTTCCACATCTCAAATATGATCAGTTTTTTCTTTCCACTGGGTCATTCTCATCAGCATGCAAACTTACTATACTATTTTCCATCTTTAAATCAACACACATACACACCCCTAACTTTCCTTGACCCCACACATTTTCTTCTAGCTACCACACCATTTTCTCTATCCCTCTTTGCAGCAAAACTCCTCTAATGTGCCATCTATACTCAGTGCCTCCAATTTCGTACATCCAATTCTGTCCTTCAGCTATGCTAATCAGGCTTTCATCCCCACCACTCTAATAAAACTACTTCTCAAGGTCTCCAAAAACTTCCATCTTGACAAACCCAGTTGGTCAATTCTTGGTGCTCATCTTAGCCTCTCAAGCAGAATTTGTCTAAGTTGAAATATTTTCTTCACTAGGCAGGCTTCTAGCCAACATACCCTTCAGGTTTGATTCCTACTTCACTCCTCAATCTCCTCTCTCCAGTTTCTGAATTATTATTATTATTATTATTTGAGATGGAGTCCCGCTCTGTAGCCCAGGCTGGAGTGCAATGGTACAATCTCGGCTCACCGCAACCTCCGCCTCCCAGGTTCAAGCAATTCTCCTGCCTCAGCCTCCTGAGTAGCTGAGATTACAGGCGCCTGCCACAACACCCAGCTGATTTTTGTATTTTTAGTAGAGACAGGGTTTTTCACCATATTAGCCAGGCTGGTCACAAACTCCTGACCTCAGGTGATCTGCCCGCCTCAGCCTCCTAAAGTGCTAGTATTACAGGCGAAAGCCACCGCACCCAACCCAGTTTCTGAATTCTAAAGGTTATATTGCTTCAGGGGTCCCTCCTTGGCCCTTTTCCCTATCTAAACTCATTCTCTAAGTTATCTAATCTCATGGTCTTTATTTTTTGGAGACAGACTCTTGCTCTGTCACCCAGGCTGGAGTGCAGTGGCGCAATCTTGGCTCACTGCAACATCTGCCTCCCAGGTTCAAGTGATTCTCCTGCCTCAGCCTCCTGAGTAGCTGGGACTACAGGCACACGCCACCACACCTGGCTAATTTTTGTATTTTTAGTAGAGACGGGGTTTCACCATGTTTGCCAGGCTGCTCTCGAACTCCTGGGCTCAAGCGATCCACCTGCCTCGGCCTCCCAAAATGCTGGGATTACAGAAGTGAGCAATCGCACCCGGCCCTAATCTCATGGCTTAAACACTATTCAAAAACTGATCCTAACAGTTAACATCTAGTGAGTACCCTCGGCCACACTGTTCTAATCACTTTGTTTGTAATAACTAATTTAATCCTCACAATAACCCTATGAGGTAGACATTATTACCCCCATTTTACAGATGAGATAAATGATGCAGACAGATGTCAAGTAACTTGCCTATAATTACACAGTTAGTAAGTGGCAGAACTGAAATTTGCATTCACAGTTTGGCTCCAAAGCTGGTGTATACTGTCTCTATACTAATGATTTCCAAATTTAGATCTCTAATCTTGGCTTCTAACCTTGGCTCCAGATTCATATATCTAAACCATCTACCTGATATTAGATTTCTAGTAGGTATTTAGATTTCACAAACCTAAAATGCTCAAAACTGAGATACTGATTCCCCAACTCACTCTCACCTCAAAACAAACCCTGCTCCTCCCTCAGTCTTCTCATTCCAGTAAATGGCACCAACATTCACCAGTTGCTCAAGCCAAAAATGTTAAATGACATGTGACTAACGTGCAGATAAGACAAGGATGCCAGTGCCAATCTGTATATTAAATATTAGTAAAGCTTAATTTTTTTAAATAAAGCAATATAAATAGTTAATATAATAGTTTTAACAGTTTGTTCCTGAACATTGGAAACCATAGGCCTAGATCACTGCAAAAGCTTCCTAAATAGTTCAGTGCTTCAGACCTTGCCTTTTCTAAAGCCAGTTTGCCAGTCAGTAGGTGGAATAAACTTTGTAAAATGTAAATTAGATCTTGTCACACGATCTTCAATTATACTCAAAATCCATGGGCATTATGGTGCAATATGCTCTGGCCCCTGCCTACCTCTTCACCCTCATCTCTTGTTACTCTCCACTTTGTCCTCACAGCTCTTGTCAGACCAGCATTCTTGCTTTTCCTCCAACATACCAAACCGGTTCTTACTGAGTTAGGTCCTGACTCTGTCTTTCCTGTCTTTGCGTTTACTGTTACCTGAAATAAGTTTTGCAAGATTTTCTTCCTCACAGGAACAGCCTTTTCTGACTAATCTATCTAAATAGCTCCCACCCCGTCACAGTCTCTCCCCTTATTCTGTGTTATATTTTTTCATAGCACTTACCACTTCTTCACATGACAGATTAGCTCATTTCTTATCTTCCCCACTAAAATATAAGCTCCATGAAGGCTTATTCATCCCTGCATTCCCAGGGCCTTAAACTGGTCATGACATAAATTATCTACTCAAATAAATATTACTAAACAATGAATAATATTTAGTAACCATGATTCTTTACTAAATATTTCTCAACTTTACTAACCAAAAGTTAATTAAAATCCAAATATAAAAATTCTAGACAACTACATTCTTACAGAATCAAAAGGTACATTTATATATGATCTTGTCTTATTACATAATCGATAATCAGGGGTAGTACTAAATAGTTAATACTCAAATAGCACATAGTGACTTTCTTAGGATGCTGTTATAAAAAGGTGAATCCTCTCATTCATATCTAAAAAATCCAATGATTCTACTCTGGGAAGAAAATACAAATGCATACCAGTTATATTTTAAATTGCTTAAAAGACAGAATTCCCAGATTATCCATAGTAACAAGAGCTACTAAATTAAGAAAAGTTGAGATTAATGAATTAATGTGTACCATTCTTTTATATATTGAAAACCACATTTCCATCATTCATGTGAGATTATCTTGAATGAAATAATAAATCCATTAATCTCAGAATCAATTTCTACCTATCTCATTAATCCTACCCTATGGATGCGCTGATTAAAAAAAAAAACAAAAAACCCTCTGTTGCCCTACCTCTCTCACATTTTTCCAAGGCTCCCTGAGAAAATGTCAGTTTGCCTTTCCCTTTATTATCACACTAATATCTTCTCCTGAGCTTCCAGTTCCATCTCAGGGGCACTATTTTTAAAACCATCAGTTTATCTAATAATTCTCCAAATTATTGAAACACTTTCTATAACCCTTTCTTATTAGGTCTGGGCTCTTCACTTTTACCTCAACTCTCTGTGCTCCATTGTTCTAGCAGTAAGCTCCCTTTTCATAACATCTCATTGTTGCGTTTTCCCCAAGCTGCTTCCTATGTTCCATCTCCCTACTCCACAACACATGTGGTGTTCAGAACTTCCTAATTTTATCTGCATCTTTTATCTATCTTTTTTCAAAAATGTATCACAAGTTTAAGGAGAGATTCAGTTGCCCATCTTCAATACACCAGGGAAGTAATAGTTGAAATACAAAGAATGGGAAGATGCAAAGGATACTGCAAAGACAGCAGCTATGGCTTCAAAAGGGAGGAACTGAAGAGGACTCTGTATGCAGAAGGGATGGAACTATGCAGGGGGTTAGGATACACAGGGGAGAAAAAGTTGGAAAGGTCCCAGAAACAGGAGGCAATAGGATCCGTTCAACACAGAAGCTTTATCCTTTAAAGGATATCCTATATAAGTAGGAGAAAAGGATGAGAGGTGAAGTCACGGAGATTTTTGAGAATAAAAGGAGGAAGGAAGCCATGTTAGTTTCATTCTCAATAAAAGAGGCAAGGCAATCTGCAGAGAATAAAGGGAGAGGATTAATTTAGAAAACTATCTGGGGACAGGGAATGGTTGGTTCACACCTATAATCCCATCACTCTGGGAGGCCAAGGCAGGAGGATCACTTGAGGCCATGAGTTCAAGACCAGCCTAGGCAACATAGGCAAACCTCATCTCTACCAAAAAAAAACAAACAACAAGAATAACACAAAAAATTAGCTGGGCCTGGTAGCACACACCTGTAATCCCAGCTACTTGGGAAAATCTCTTGAGCCCAGGAGTTCAAGGTTGCAGTGAGTTACAACTGTGCTACTGCACTCAAACCTGGGCACAGAGCAAGACCTTGTTCTGGCAAAAAGAAAAAGAAAATCATCTGTGTTTATCTACAGTTTGGATACATAATCATCAACACTGTTAGACCAAAAAAAAAATTCAACAATATGTACTCTAATGTAGAATCACTGTATTTACCTAAACATGGGGTTTTGTTTGTTTGTTTTTTGTTTTGAGACAGAGTCTTGCTCTGTCACCCAGGCTGGAGCGTAGTGGCGTAATCACAGCTCACTGTAGTCTCAATCTCCCAGGCTCAAGCAATCCTCCTCCCTCAGCCTCCTGAGTAGCTGGGAGTAGCTGGGACTACAGGGGCACACCACCATGCCTGGCTAATTTTTTTTTATTTTTAGTAGAGATGAAGTCTCACTATGTTGCCCAGGCTGGGCTCAAACTCCTGAGATCAAGCAATCCTCCCGCCTCACCTCCCAAAGTGCTGGTATTACAGGGGCGAGCCACTGCACCCAGACACATGTTCTTAATTGTATTTTTAAAAAGATCTCTGAGCAGGTACCAGAGCATATGCTCTCCACCCCTCAATAACATATATTACATTATGGGTATGCAAAGTGAGAGATGGTGATAATTTCTTTGCAAGATAATTTTTAAACAAGGCCCCAAGTGATTGGAATTTGGAACTGCTAAAACAAATAAACCATTATCACATATGAGCAAACTCATTCAGCTCACATACAGACTGATTTTAAAAATTAACCCTGACAGATGGCTAATTCTCAAAAAAAAAAAAAAACACTATCCCCTGAGTCCTTCTCTTTTTTCTCTTTCATTTGACTAAAGCCAGTCCAAAGAAAGTACATGAGTATACTATGTGAATTTCTATTTCTGTGCCTTCAAGCACAATGAATTTCCTCATCTGAATGGGGGTCAATAAAAAATGCTTAAAACAGTGCCTGGCACATAGTAAATGTTCCATAAATGTTAGCTAGCTATTATTTATGAATGCCATTTCCAATGTTGAGAATATCACCAAGTAACGTTAAGGCCTCGCAAAGTTTTATTTAGTAATAACAACTTGGATACTGATGTTGGTTCAAAATTCCAGTAAAAATGGTGTAACTATTTAGCAGTGGTTTCATAATAATAAAATCCTAGATAGAATCTGAATTCACACACTTAAACTGCAACTTATAACCTAAAAGTTACAGCAAACTATAATATATCAGAGCATTAGTCGTTTTCTTCACCCTATCCTGAAGAACAAAAATATTCTCTTCCTTAAATGTATTTTCAGCCCCAGATATTCCTGTCTACTATCGCCTCTCCTTTTCAACCATTTATACCTCTATAGCTTTTCCTTGAACCTTCCTCACAGGTCTCTCTGCACCACTACCACCTGAGATAGCAGTTATTCCAGGGGTACCTGAAACATCTCCTCTTCCTTTTAAATACTGGTTTCTATATAGAAATCTTAAAATTTTTAATAACAGGATTATAATTAGAGTATAGTCCCTCTTCCAGAGGTCTGGACAGCCAAGTCCCAGTATGGCACTATTTTTAGATAACCTTTTAGTCAGTGCTAGACCAAGACTCTCTCTTCTACGGGCCCCCATTATCAGACATATAGGAACATATGACTAGAATAGGCACAGACAGCCCCTCCCTCATGGCAGGCTGAAAGCTTGATCAGCAAATAAAATTGATTTTTTTGCTAACTTATTCTCACCTTTCATTTACAACAGGAAAGAAAAAAGAATTGTGAGTATCTACAACTAAAGATCATAGGAGTAAGTCCATTCTATTTCCAATAGGAGTACCTACTGCTCCCGGTTGATTCCTTTTAGTAACAGGTATAAGTATGTAACTCTAAAAATTCAGAGTAAGGTTATAAATGACATTTCAGGCCAGGTGCGGTGGCTCATGCCTGTAATCCCAGCACCTTGGGAGGCCGAGGCGGGTGGATCACCTGAGGTCAGGAGTTCGAGACCAGCCTGGCCAACATAGTGAAACCTCATCTCTACTAAAAATACAAAAAATTAGCCAGGTATGGTGGCGGGCACCTGTAATCCCAGCTATTCAGGAGGCTGAGGCAGGAGAATCGCTTGAATCCAGGAGGTGGAGGTTGCAGTGAGCAAAGACCGCGCCATTGCACTCCGGCCTGGGCAACAAGAGCAAACTCCATCTCGAACAAACAAAAAAGAATGACATTTCATTCAAACGGCTTTTCAAGGTACTATACTTAATTAAAAAACCAGTTGCTTCTTAGTTCAATAAAAGAAAAGGCTAGAAGAATAACAGATAGGAAAAACATCACTGAGCAAATAAAAAAATTTTTTTTCAACAAACATGTCTCCTACATGCCTGAAAATGCTGAATATGGTGACTTCAAATACAAATAAGTTTATGGACTTTACGGTCTGGTGGGAGAAGTTACAGATCTATTTTTCTTGTGAAATTACTAAGTTTCCTTAGCCTACAATCTCAAAATAGTTTTTCAGCCAGCCCACTATCCCTCTAAACATGACAAGCCTCTACATATGCTATAAGCATCCGTAAAACCCCTATTCAACTCAGACTTCAACTCCTTGCTGAAGCCCTCCTCATTCTTTCTGAACAGTTATCACTTCCACCCTGGTGGCTGGCACAGATTATTCCCTTTGACCATCAGTTCAAGAGGTTAATTTCCAAAACTAGCCCCCAAACTGTCCTTCCCAGCCACCTCACTTCATTTTATCTCTAGCCAGCTCTGGCTACTGTAAAAAAATTATTTGACTATATTCCTAGCTCCTAATCTCCTTGCTTCTCATAAGCTGCTAACTGGTTTTCTTGATTTTGATTAAAATAGTAATGAAACCCTTTCTGCCACAACCTGAAAACCCTTCCATATCTATGTAATTCTCCCTCAGGGGCACCCTGACCAGGCTCAACCTGGCTTTACAGGGTAATGTCATACACTGTTACATTAGTACTTGGTCAAATTATTGTAATTATTCGGGTTTGTGCCTGTTTAGGACTCCACTAGCCCTAAGCTCAAAGCCCAATCCTTGAAAGCACAAAATTGCTATTTCTTTTTGTGCACCCCCCGCCAATCTAGAGCAAAATCTAGGACAGATTAGGCACTTAATGACTATCTGTGAAATGAATGGCTTGAGTTTCTATAATATTCAGTGGTTGCTTAATAACATTAATCACAATGCCAGATGCAATGGATGGAATCTTCAACGTAGGTAGTTAACAGAAACGGAAGATTTCCATTCCTATGCTATCTTTATTCAGCCTCACACCCACTCTTGGCCCTTCAACTCTCATCCCATGACTATACTGACAATAAATTTGGACTCACTCACTAGCCTCACTCCCTTCTAACCTTACTCTCAAACCCTTGTCCTATCTCCCCTGCACTCATCATCTCATTCTATCCCTAACACCTAGAAGGGTATATAAAACATAGTGAGCACTCATTTATTATTTGTTCAGTGAGATTATGAATGAATTATCTTTTTTTTTTTTTTTTGAGACGGAGTCTCACTCTGTCACCCAGTGGCACAATCTCAGCTCACTGCAACTTCTGCTGCCCGGGTTCAAGTGATTCTCTGTCTCAGCCTCCCAAGTAGCTGGGATTACAGGTGCCTGCCACCACGCCAGGTCGATTTTTTTTGTAGTTTTAGTAGAGACGGGGTTTCACCATCTTGGCCAGGCTGGTCTTGAACTCTTGACCTCATGATCCACCAGCCTCGGCCTCCCAAAGTGCTAGGATTACAAGCGTGAGCCACCGCGCCTGGCTATGAATGAATATCTTAAGGATAAAAGAAGGCAGTGAGTTGTAACTGGAAGAGAGCTAATGGTTTTTCTTTGAAAAAGATTCTTCTAGGAAGCAATCACATACCGATTACCAAAAAGGCTTAAAGGGCACATAAGAAAATTCTGATAAAACTTAATTGACATATTAGAATTTCAGAACATCTGCCTGCCCATAATCTCTTCTATAAAAATCCCTACTTCGCTACCTCAGTGGGAAATGGCCCACACGATCTAGGCCACAACCTTTCCTGTGACCGAATCGAGGGTAAATACCTAACACAGGAGTCACCTAGTCACAGGCTGTTGGTGGCCTATGTGACCTAGCTCTAAAAGATGAGCAGGACCAACTGGATTATCTGAGGAATCTGCACTAGGAGATACATGTGGAAAAAAACCTAGGCTACCATTATAGAGCTTCATGCACAACAAGGTCACAAAGGAAAAGATTCAGAGGAAGGTTGGTCTGGAGAGAAGAGAACAGAAAAATATGCAGTGACTTAAAGGAGAGAGCTCACAAAAAAAGAGACATCAAGTAAGTGAGAAAACAGAATGAATGGGGGAAGGGCACCTTTGTTTTACAACAAAGGTTGTTGACCCAGTTTAAAAAACAAAAAAAAACAAACGGATGGGACCAAGGAAACAGAGAAAGAGACGGGAACAAGCAAAGGTAAGAAAGCAAAAAAAATAAATAAATAAAATAAAGGCAGAAATAGTGAAGCCAGCAAGAGGCAGAAACAGACAAAAAAGAGAAAACAGTCTGGCCAGTCTCAGAGCTGCATCAGTTCTTGCGGCCTGATTCTCCAGCTCTTCCTGTATTCCCACAAACACCTTTCTATATTCTAACAATAACCTATCAACCCACCAACTTTTGGTCCTAGTTTGAATGAGTTTTCTTTTCCTTGCCACCAAAAAAAAAAAAAAACACACAAAAACTGAATGGAATAGGCTTTAAGGACATGAGAATTACCTTTTTTGCCTTTAAAACTTTAGGTTGTTTTTTATTAAATAAATATTGGATACATAAAAGGGAATACTTATAGCATATGTGTAACAAAAAATCTGTGTACCTATTGTCCAGCATAAAAATTAAACATTACCATTTATCTTTGAAGCAACCTGTGTGTCCCTCCCAATATCAGTTACTGTTTCATTAAACATTTCCAGAGGGTAAAACATGTAATGACAGAGGGGGAGATGTTTTTTAAAAGCCCTAACAACTAAAATATGTCCATAACTTACATGGCACTATATGGTTTGTTCTGAGTTTCATATCCTTCACCAATTACATACATGGACAATAATCCTATCATTTTACAAGCATCATAAACCATAAAGCAGAAAGTTAACAAGCATTTTACATTCATAAATCATCTAAGGAAGGGTTGGCTTGAGTTTTTTTTAAAAAAAAGGCAGCTCACTCAGCTAAGCAGCTCTCCTCAAAATGTTATCATTTAAAGGGGGAGAAGTACGTAGAGTTCCTTCCTTGCCTTTGATTGCTTAAGGGAGCAGTCATTTGTGAGCAAGGACAGGGATCATCCTCTGGCTGCCTCAACGTTTTTTGTTTGTTTGTTTGTCTTCTGAGACAGTGTCTTGCTCTGTCACCCAGGCTGGAGTGCAGTGGCATGATCTCAGCTCACTGCAACCTCTGCCCCGCCCCAGGGCTCAAGCGATCCTTCCCCCTCAGCCTCTGGAGTAACTGGGACCACAGGTGCACATCACCACACCGGCTAATTTTTATATTTTTAGTAGAGACGGAGTTTCACCACGTTGCCCAGGCTAGTCTCGAACTCCTGAGCTCAAGTGATCCCAAGGTGCTGAGATTACAGGCATGAGCCACTGTGCCCAGTCTCAGTGTTCTAATTTTGGACTTTGGTAAGTTTCCTTCTCCTTATTTGAAAGCAGGGCAGCAAAAAGCCATTTTGATGCTAACATTAAATTACGTAGTATTTATATATGACATGACTGAAAACTATATTTATTTAGAGTAAAAGGGAACAGAACTGACACAAGCAACTGTAACCCACAAATAATCCAAATATTTCATTTTAACCCATAAAAATAATGATTCATTATACTGCAGATGTCCTCCAAAGTTAATTGCAATGCTAAATCATTTATCAAAGCACCTATATCCCAAAATTGTAAAATTTTGGGATTTAAAATGTTGAAATCATATTCCTCCCTACCTAGGGCCCTCTAACATCGATAGCAGCATAGGGCACGTTTCTACAGGTGTATTTAATCCAATGTAAATCAAACTACACTTTTAAAATTCACCAACAGCAAACACTACAAACTGAGTTGCCAGATAAGGATGCCTACAATTTCAATTTCCTTTACTATAATAAATGCTCACCAAAGCTGTTCAGCCAAAACCCAAAACAGTATGGATTTCACATATGTATTTACTTCTACTTAACCTTTTGTTACAGCATGAATTAGTGGTGGAATGGCAAAAAAAACAAAAAGGCAGGTAATAAGAAGGAGAACAATGCAGTCTCTGGATGAGTTCCCCTAAATTTTATACACACACACATACCTTGGTATCCGCAGGGGACTGGTTCCAGGACCCCCCCTAGGATACCAAAATCCACCAATGCTCAAGTCCCTTACATAAAATGGTGTAGTATTTTCATATAACCTACACACATTCTGCTGTACAGTTTAAATCCTCTCTAGATTACTTATAATACCTAATAAAATGTAAATGCTATGTAAATAGTTATACTTTTTTTGTATTATTTTTGTCATTTAATTTTTCCCAGTATTTTTGATCTGCCATTGGTTAAATCCAGATGCAGAACCTACTCCATACGTGTGCATACATATCTTGTGTATGTATATATACACACATATATTCATATATACACATACATACATAATACAGCTTAAAATACAGCTACCAAAAAACTTCACATAAACACTCTCCAAATCCTCTGCATACCTTTTCAGGCTCACCTTCTACACTCTTCCTGTACCAACCCTTCATTTCAATCAAATCTATTTGCTCACTCATGTTCTGAGTCTTTGTGCTTACTATTCCCTTTGTCTGGATATGCTTCTCTCCAGCCTCTGCCTTAAGAGTTCCTATCTAACTTTCATCCCAGCTTCTCGCTTAGTAAAATATTCTAAAAGGAAGAAACTTAAAAAAAAAAGTTGCTATTTAATTTTCAAAGCCCATTTCAAATGTCACCTCCTCTGGGAGGGCTTCCCTAACGTATATGTCTCTCTCTCTCTTCCTCCTTACAAAATTGGCTATTCCTTCTGTAATCACATTTTATTACCATAGTTTACTTGCATATCTTCCCTACTTGAACTGCTTAAGAATTCTGTATATTTCTCATTTCTATCTCCAGGCTAGAAACTAAGTTAATAAATGAGCCTCCCACTGAACAGTGCAACAATGAAAACCAAAAAGCTTAATAAAAAGTAGCCTTGACTAAATGCAATGGTGTATCCTGGATTGGATCCTGGAGCAGAAAATTAGTGGGAAAACTGCTGAAATCTAAATAAAATGTGAAGTTTAGTTAACATTAAGGCACCAATATTAATCCCTGAGTGTTTTACAAAGGTACCATAGCTATGTAAGATATCAACATTAAGGAAAAACAGGTGTAAAGTATATAGGGACTCTGTACTATCTGCAACTTTTCTGTAAATCTAAAATTTTCCCAAAATTAAAACCTTAGTTTTTAAACATTGAGTAGTCTAGAAAAAGTTGAAAGAACTACTTCAACTTTTGCTGGGGACATGAATGTGGATTTTAATTACAAACATAATAACAAAAATAGAGTAAGAAATATGCTTTTCTTCTTAGAAGCAGAAGAAGAAAAGAAGCAAATTATTTTCAATACCCTGGAATGAACCAAAATTAAGACTGCACTATCCTAACACATACCTCAGGACTACATTACCTACATAAGTCATGGTCATAGTTTTATCATTATATCAAACGAAGCCCTGTTTTGAAGTTAATGATTCCCAAGTTCTAACTTCAAGAAATACAGGAGAAAATGTTCTGTTAAAGATATGTCACTTTGAAACAACCCTTCAATAACTTACAAGATCCTAGGCAAAACTCACTTTCACATCAGCTCTTTAAGAGCAGTGAATCAGGTCAGATGCAGTGGCTCACACCTGTAATCCCAACACTTTGGGAGGCTGAGTTGAGAGGATCACTTGAGCCCAGGAGTTAAAGACTACCCTGGGCACTGTAGAGAGACCTCATGTCTACCAAAAATTTAAATTAGCCTAGCATAGTGGTGCATGCCTGTAGTCCCAGCCACTCAGGAGGCTGACACAGGAGGATCACAAGAGCACTGAATACAGAGTACTTTTGCTGTTTCTCAAATGATTTTTTTTAAGAGACAGGATCTCACTCTGTCAAATTTTTTGTAGAGACAAGGTCTTGCCATCTTGCCCAGGCTAGTCCTCCGGCCTCAACTTCCCAAAGTCCTGGGATTACAGGACTTTGCCCAGCCAGTACAATTAAAATATATAGAGTGCATGTTTTGATCACGGCAAGGCAAGCCTGACTCAACAGCTACTACAGCTAGAAAAAATTCAGATTATTATACTGAGCAGCAAAATAATAATTATCATTATTATGACTTAGAATACTATCTACTTCCAAGGTAAGCAATAAGAATTCTTTGAGATATAAAATACTAACATTATTCAAGAAACAGATGTTTTGTATTAACATTAAAAACATTTATCCATCTGAAAACATGACTTGGCAACAAAAAGAAGCCCTAACAGCAATTAGTAATGGATCAACAAACACAGTAACATCTCAGCTAATCCTTAACAATCTTTCTTAAACTTTTAGGTATCTAAGTCTAACTTGGAAATCAAAGGAAGTTCAGATCTGAAGACTAGCTCTTCCTGAAACTTGTTTCTAACATCACTAGACCACTATTCAGGTATAAGTCAAACAAATTTAGTCTTTTAGGTATCTTTCTTCTTTGCTTAGTTCACATCAGATACATGAATTTGTCACAACTTAACAGAAAGTCATGAAAAATCGGATATTTCACTTACATAAAGCATTGTATCTATCAAAACTAGAACAATTAAACAGTGATCCTAACACTATGTTATTCAGTTCAAACAGCTTGAATTACAGAAATGATACAGCTGATTACTAAGCCGGTAACAGGATCACCTGGACAAGATAAATGCTTAAAGATAACTTTAACTTGCTAAACACCAAAAAAGAATTATACCAAAAGACAATTAAAATTGGAGGGGAAGTCAAATACTGAGTGATTTCTTTGTATTTTCTTTTGAACATGTACATTAGGGGTACTTCATGAATTTATGTTTTTCAGGTTTTTAACTTCAGTTTTTAACTATCTTTCTAACCAGCTTTATGATGTTAAGCTAACTTCAATCAAACTCAAGAATAAGAGACATAACACAAAAATAGTTACCTTTATAACTTGCTAAAATATTCCATCTGGCTAATAATATTAAGTTCACAGACAAAGGACCCCTGAGGTTCAATTTAAATCCCTCAGTGGTAAAAAGAAAGGAAAATGAAGCTCAGTGATAAGGACTAATCTCTCAGTTTTCATTCTCTTTGCCCTGTATTAATTGCATGGTATCTCCTATTTCTGATGTGAGTTACCAGTTCAAAGAGATGTGTTTTATTATTGCTAGTCTACTATATTTTATTGGCTAGAAAACAAATTTTAAAAATGAACTTCAGTAACGTGAACAAATTTAGTGCAGACTGCTCTAGACATTTTTTCTTTTTCTTTTCTTTTTTTTTTCTTTTGAGACAGAGTCTCGCTCTGTCACCCAGGCTGGATGGAGTGCAGTGCCACAATCTCAGCGCGCTGCAACCTCTGCCTCCTGGGTTCAAGCAATTCTCCCGCCTCAGCCTCCTAAGTGGCTGGGATTACAGGTGCGCACCACCATGCCCAGCTAATTTTTTGTATTTTTAGTAGAGATGGAGTTTCACCATGCTGGCCAGGCTGGTCTCGAACTCCTGACCTAGTGATCTGCCTGCCTTGGCCTCCCAAAGTGCTGGGATTACAGGTGTGAGATACTGCGCCTGGCCGACATTCCTTATTATGAAGACCTGCATCCCTTCTTTCCCACTCCCTTCAACAAGTCCTATTCCCCTGCCATAAAACTAAACTAAAGGTAAAAACAAAGCATGGATAGCTAAACTCTATGAGCAATCTACTTTGCCAAACGTTTTTACCTACTCTCTAACAAAAACTTAGAAGCAAATTATTAATAAGGAGCAAAAACAGTGTTTTATTTCTTCTCTTAGCTTTGGATAATTTTCTGGTACTCATAAAAGTAGTAAGAGGAAAAATTAGCACAAAAAAAAAGCCAGGGTGATGATGAAGCACAGACCCTGAGCTGGTTATATGCATTTTAAAAAATTCATTCCTAAATTAAAATCAAAGGTAATTAAATTCAGGTTACATTAACTATTCTGAGTTGAATGTGTTGATAATGGGACTTTAAAATCCTGTACCCTACTTCAATTTATTTTTAAATTTTGTTTTTGTTTTTGTTTTTTGAGACAGAGTCTCACTCTGTCGCCCAGGCTAGAGTGCAGTCATTCCACCTCAGCTGACTGCAACGTCCGCCTCCCAGGTTCAAGCGATTCTCATGCCTCAGCCTCCCAAGTAGCTGGGATTACAGGTGTGCACCACCACGCCTGGCTAATTTTTGTATTTTCAGAAAAGACGGGGCTTCACCATGTTGGCCAGGCTGGTCTGGAACTCCTGACCTCAGGTGATCTGCCCACCTCAGCCTCCCAAAGTGCTGGGATTACAAGCATGAGCCACCATGCCTGGCCTAATTTTAAATCTGAATTTAAGTTCTCTCTCCCAACTATACAAGATGGTAATATTGAGAATGAGCAGGCACGTTCTCATGAACTAATGAGAAAGTAAAGCAGTGATATGTTTAGTTCCTCAATACTCCCATGTCATTCCATTATGTTCAACTTATATTTAGTGAGTGCCTACTAGGTGTCAGGCACTGTCATCTCTTTATTAAACATTAACTCTCTGGCCATGCATTTAATAGAGAATTTGACCTACTCCAGTCCTTGAAAGGGTCACCTTATAAAACTCATGATACCCCATCAACTCTGCTATACCCAACCATACATGACTGGATTGTGGTTGGCAGATGACAAGGCTGGGCCAATCTGATACTCTTTACCAGGAACCGGGAATGGGATCCTGGGAGCCTGCATCAGATAACATGAAGCACTTGAACTACCGGGTCAGGCGGTGCGTGAGCCACAGAAGATGTCAGAGTAAACAAAAGTTGAAGACTCGGGGGAGGCCATTCTGCTCTAGGAGAAATAGGGGAGAGGGTGGGGGTTGGGTATCACAGTCCATGTACATACAACCTACCTGTATTTCATTTCTTACCTATTCTTGAATGTCTAACACCTATGAAGTTGCCTACTTTGTCCTTTCAATATACCTCTCTTTTACTTGTGACTTGTATGAGTGGTGTTCCTATTCCTTATGGGCAAAAACACTTTAGCATTCTATTAAGTCCTGCAACAGACAAAAAGATGAGAAATACTTAGTCCTCCTGCCCTAAAAGACCATATGGTTAGGACCAGGTAAGTATATAAATAACCATATATAAGGCAGACTATAAGTGGCATAAAAAGTACTATGAGGTTTCAAAAATAGAGGATCATATCATATCCAATTCAGAACATCAAAACAGTTTCACCAATGGCGAGGCATGGTGACTCACACCTGTAATCCCAGCCTTTGGGAGGTCGAGGCGGGTAGATCACTTTAGGCCAGAAGTTTGAGACCAGCCTGGCCAACATGGTGAAACCCCGTCTCTACTAAAAATACAAAAAATAGCTGGGCACGGTGGTGCACACCTGTACTCTCAGCTACGCAGAAGGCTGAGGCATGAGAATTGCTCGAACCTGGGAGGCAGAGGTTGCAGTGATCCAAGATCATGCCACTACACTCCAGTCTGGGCAACAGAGTGAGACTGTCTCGGGAGGAAAGAGAACTAAATAGTAATCATAACAGACAGTAGTCTGAGATTTTTAAAATGTATTTACTAAGAAAAATAAAATATTAAAATCCTAGGTCAGTCTACCAAAAACAAGTTTTTAAAAATTTTTCTGGTCCTTAAAGTCCAAAAATCTGGAATCTAGTAATGACTGAGTCATAGGACTTCGCAACTGACTGGTTGTAAGAGATGAGAGTAACAGAGGAGTTAAAAACAACTGCAGTTTTCAGCCTAGATGAAGTTGAGAATGCTGGTACTGAAACAGAAAAGTTCCCAACAGGTGGATTTGGGGGTGAGGAGTGAAGGCAAGTTCTATACTGGATAAACTGACTTGAGGTAAGTAGCAGGATATAGTTCATTAATACACTGGGGGAAAAGCAGAAAGAGAAGCCATCTCAAGTAGAGAAAACAGATTTTTCAAAAATTCCAAGTAAAAAATTGTCCTCTAAAAAAGGAACCAAAAGACTCTTCACAATGTTTCAGTTTTTTCTTCCGCGTTTTGAACATTCCATTTTTGCACAGCTACTGATTTTCCTGCCATCTGTCTCTCTATATTGTTTTTTCCTGGTTACAGATGAGCGACTTTTAAGAATGGAAGTTAGAGGCTATAATCTCAGTCTATAATCTCAACATTTTGGGAGGCTGAGGTGGGCAAATCATTGAACCCAGAAGTTCAAGGCCAGCCTGGGCAATATGGCAAAACCCCATCTCTACAAAAAATTAGCCAACGGTGGTGGCATTAGCCTGTAGTCCAAGCTACTCAGGAGGCCGAGATGGGAGGATCGTTTGAGCCTGGGAGGCAGAGGTTGCAGTGATGTTGCAGAGGTTGCATTGAGATTGCACCACTGCACTCCAGCCTGGGCGACAGAGTAAGACTCAACAAAAAAAAAAAAGAAAAAGAATGGAAGTTAATGGAAGGACCTGATGAAACACACACAAACACACACACACACACACACACACACACACACACACGCACGCACGCACTCCTTTCCCCAGGAGAAAGTATGCTGTAGAAGAAACCAGGGAAGGAAGAGAGACAGGATAGGAAAAAAGGAAGTATCTGCAGAGGCCTAACAACTCCCTTTTCCTTCCCAAGCTAGAGGATGCAGAAGCTCAGCACCACGGGGGAGGAACAGCATAGTGCTTCAGGTTTTACTAACCATCTCTAAAAGATCTCTAGACTACGAATCAATTTTATTAGAGACAACTGCCTAAAAACTAAAAGACTTTTTTGTAATAATGCATATAAGTTTAGTATGCTAAAAATTATTTTTTAAAGAAACGTAGTAGCAGCGCTTATTAGAACCTTACATGCCCTGTGAAATCTAGTATTAAGCACCCTACTCTATGGCCATCAGTGTACTACAGGAATAGCGTAGTCAGGGAAAATTACATTATTTTAATTCCTGAAAAGGGCCGTATTTTCAGACTGCAAAAGTGATTAATGCTTCTACATGTGGCTTGTCAATTATCCCAGCACCATTTGTGGAACAGGGTGTCCTTTCGCCACTTCACATTTTTGTTTCTTTGTCGAAGATTAGTTGACTGGAAGTTATTTGGCTTTATTTCTGGGCTCTCTATTCTGTTCCATTAGTCTATATGCCTGTTTTTACACCAGTACCATGATGTTTTGGTGATTATGGCCTTACAGTATAGTTCGAAGTCAGGTAATCTAATGCCTCTAGGTTTGTTCTTTTTGCTTAGTCTTGCTTTGGCTATACGGGCTCTTTTTTGGGTCCACATGAATTTTAGGATTGTTTTTTCTAGTTCTGTGAAGAATGATGGTGGTACTTTAATGGGAATTGCATTGAATTTGTAGATATGCTTTTGGCAGTATGGTCATTTTCACAATATTGATTCTACCCATCCATGAGCATGGGACGTGTTTCCATTTGTTTGTATCATCTATGATTTCTGTCAGCCGTGTTTTGTAGTTTTCCTTGTAGAGGTGTTTCACCTTCTTGGTCAAGTATATTCCTAAGTATTGTTTGTTTGTTTGTTTTTTGTTTGCAGCTACTGTAAAAGGTTGAGTTCTTGATTTGATTCTCAGCTTGGTTGCTGTTGGTGTATAGGGCTACTGACTTAAATCTAAGACCCAAAACCATAAAAATTCTAGAAGATAACATTGGAAAAACCCTTCTAGCCATTGGCTTAGGCAAAGACTTCACAACCAAGAACCCAAAAGCAAATGCAAAGACAAAAATAAAAATAAATAAATGGGACTCAACTAAACTAAAAAGCTTCTGAGCAACAAAAGAAATCAGCAGAGTACAGACAACCCAGAGTGGGAGAAAATCTTCACAATCTATACATCTGACAAAGGACTAATATCCAGAATCTACAAGGAAATCAAATCAGCACGAAAAAAACAATCCCATCAAAAAGTGGGCTAAGGACTTGAATAGACAATTCTCACAAGATATACAAATGGCCAGCAAACTTACGAAAACATGCTCAACATCACTAATTATCAGGAACTACAAATCAAAACTACAATGTGATACCACCTTACTCCTGCAATAATGGCCATAATAAAAAAAAAATAGATGTTGGTGTGGATGTGATGAAAAGGGAACACCTTCACGCTGTTGGTGGGAATGTAAACTAGTACAACCACTATGGGAAACAGTGTGTAGGTTCCTTAAAGAACTAAAAGTATATCTACCATTTGATGCACCAATCTCACTCCTGAGTATCTACCCTGAGGAAAGAAGCCATTATACAAAAAAGATACTTGCATACGCATGTTTATAGCAGCACAATTCACAATGGCAAAAATATGGAACCAGCCCAAATGCCCATCAATCAACGAGTGGATAAAGAAAATGTGATATACACACACACACACACACACACCCCTCTACACCCATGGAACACTACTCAGCCATAAAAAGGAATGAAATAATGGCATCTGCAGCAACCTGGATGGAACTGGAGACGATTACTCTAAGTGAAGTAACTCAGGAATGGAAAACCAAACATCGTACGTTCTCACTTGTAAGTGGATGCTAAGCTATGAGGATGCAAAGGCCTAAGAATGATACAACGGACTTTGGGGACTCGGGGGAAAGGGTGGGAAGGTGGTGAGGGATAAAGGACT